>NC_000010.11:32139976-32444259 GCF_000001405.40 Homo sapiens | reverse complement strand
AGAGGAACTTTTTCATCTGATGAAGGACATCTGTGAACTATCTCCAGCTAACATCATTTTCAATAGTGAAAAATTGATTTTTCCTTAAGATTGGAAGGAGGCAAGGATATTTGCTCTCACTATGTCTATTCAGTATTATACTGGAGGTCTTAACAAGTGCAATAAGGCAAGAAAAAGAAATAAAGGCATAATGATTTCAATGAAAGAAATAAAGCTGTATTCCCAGACAACATACAATTTCCAGACATCTACAATGAAAACTATATAACATTACTGAGAGAAATTAAAGAAGATCCAAATTAATGGAGATTATGTACCATATTAATGGATTAGAAGACCCAATATTGCTAAAATGTCAACTTTTTAAGTCTATGTCTATCAATATTTATCTACACATTAAATGCGTTTATGATCAAAATCCAAGAAGATTATTTTCTAGAAATTGGGAAAATAATTTTGCAATTTATATGGAAATGAAAAAGGCTAGAGCCAAAACAATCTTGAAAAAAATAAGCAAATATTTAAATGACATATACTACAGGTTTTCAAGAGTTATAAAGTTATAGTAAAATAGTATATTACACGAAGTTAGACAAAAATGGAACAAATAGAGGGTTAAGAAATATATCCACATATATAAAGTCAATTGATTTTAAACAGTGCCAGTGCACTTCAATGGGGAAAGAAAAATCTTTCCAACAATGAAAATGAAAGCTGATATCATTGAGAGAAAAAAAATTATCCATGACCCCTGCCTCGTGCCATACCTGAAAGTTAATTTAAATTAAATCATAGACTTTGTGCCATGGACACATACCATACATATTATCCTTCAAGGGATAATGTGAAGGGTTCTGCTTCCAGCCAAGATGGAGTAACAGCAACTGGGTTTATGTGAAGGGTTCTGCTTCCAGCCAAGATGGAGTAACAGCAACTGGGTTTATCCTCCTGTCTGGAATAAGTAAAGAATCAGACAAAATATATGAAACAATGAATTTTTATACCTCGGTTATCAGATAATGATAATGACCCCTGCATAACAGGAAACAAATTTAAGATGATCCCTATTATTTCCTAAGCTTACTCCCTGAAGACAGGTGGTTCCAAGTCATGATACAAAGAACAGAAAACCCAGGCAGCTTCTAGCGGTCTCTGAGTTGAGGGAAGGAGGTGTCCAGGAAGGCCAAGGAAGCTAGAGTTCAAAGGAGAGAATCCGAGAGAAGAAATTAAAGAACAAAGAGAGCTCCATAAATCTTCAGGGGACCCCTTTAGTCTTCAACTGGGTAATGATCACTGTATACATGTATGAAAACTATCCATGGCCAGGGAAAGAACCACGTGGAAGCATGATAGGATATGACACTCAGTGCCATGATAGGATATGATACTCAGTGCTCAGAATATTTCATGTTACCACCAGCTAGAGTCAAAAGTTTTATAATTTAAGGGGCAGTGAGTAAAGTGCTCAAAAGGGTTTTGCCTCAGGAAGGGTTCAAAAACAGTCTTACACTAAACACTCCTCTGGACCTGTCAAACAAAGCTTAAAAGTAAGATCTGAAAGGATTGAATGTTTCCAGTAACTTAGCTGAGACCCAAAACACAGCTCAAGAATATTTATAGGCATACAAAACCTTCCAGCACTCAATAAGATAAAAAGTTACAGTGATAACTACAAAAAATTGCTGAGAGAAAATAAAAAGACCTAAATAAATGAAGATACACTGTGTTCATGAATCAGAAGATTTAATAATGTTAGGATGTCAGTTCTCCCCAAATTGATCTATAAATCCAATGCAATTCCATTGAAACTACCATCAGGCTTTTGTGAAGCAATTTGCAACCTGACGCTAAAGTTCATTTGGAAATAGGAAGGATCTGCAATAGCCAGAATGACTTTTTAAAAGAAAAACAAAATTGGAGGTATACATTACAAGAAGTATAGTCAGGGAGCATTGAGTGCCCTGGAAATAAAGTCTTGTTTGCATTTATTGGGTATCCCCTTTCCCCCTACCTCCACCAAAATGGCACTCATATTACTCATGAGGCACAGGTTGACCATGCCTCCAACATGGCCTCCCAATCAACAATACACCTTAGGATTCCCAGTTCAGTTTGAATAATTGAGCATCCTTGTTTTTGTAGGTACCACATGATGGAAGTCAGTCCAATCTTTCCTATCCTGTTTCATCCACCACCACAAAATACCTAAGTGACAGCTATGGGACTATCTACAGGCAATACATACAAGCTGTTGACAAGTTTTTGCATGGAAAATGAAGAAGCTGAGACCATTCACTGCTGTTTCTAATAGACTTCTCAGAAAGAATAAGAGAATAGTAATCAAATTGTGGTCAAAGCCATCTAACAGAGGATAACAGACCCAGGAATCAGTTAAATTCAAGGACTTGAAACAGTTTGCAAAAGCTGCAGCAGGGCATTTTCCTTTGTGAGGGAAAGCTCCAGGATCAGTTCTAAAAGACAAAAGAATATTAATACTAATGTCCCTTTATCCCCCAGTGCCTTTCCAAGTGCTTAGGTCTCAGTCTCTCTCTCTCTGTCTCTCTCTCTCTAACACTGCCACAAAATTAATGTGTCCCATTCTAGTAACTATAACCTCTTTCCAATCATGCTTCTAATCTCACCTAAAATTTTCATCTGGAACAGTCAGTCAAGAGCAAGAGTGACAAGGGAATTTTTATAAAACATATAAAAACCCATTATGTCCCTCACTTGTGGCTTTTATGGGTCAGTGTCAGGGGACTAGGTGGAGAGTATCAACCCAAAGCAGGATAGTAAGGGCCTGAATACTAGACATTGCTTCATCTCTGGTTTCCCGTGGCAGGTTCTCTGTCTCAGGAATCTCTTACTGAGAGGGCCAGGTACACTTACAGCAGCCAGCGCCTACTCCAAGAAAACTCGTACTGTCATCTTCAAAAAGATCTAATATTGGCCTGATAGAATTCAGGAGGAGTTGAGCTATAAGAGGTTGCCATTGCTGTTGCCATTCCTCCTTAACAAACATTGTGCACCTCTCTCCCTCATCTCCCAAGCTAACAAGCCAAAGTTCTTAAGATTTGCAAAATTTCTGTCCATAGCAGTCCCAAATCCTCTCCTTTTGCATTTAGAGGTGCATATCTCCGTAACTATTTTCTGAAAAGGATCAGAACCTTACTCTAACCCAGAATGGATCTTAGTTCTCGTTGTTACAATGGGATGGGAGTGACACTGACCATCAGATCGACCCTCCTGCCCCCACCTCAATGAACCTATTTTCCAGTACTCAGCCTGCAGCCATCTCCCTAGTTCCTCCTTGGTAGCAGAGAATGAAAGAGGGGAGGATCACTTATTGCTTGATTGACTAGACAGTTTGAATAATATGGCTGCTACTAAATCCTACAGACTTCCCTCAAATTATCACTGAACTATTGGAAGGCTCTTGTCTTTCTTATTCCAGAAAGCCATGTCTTGTCAGTATTCCATCTTTATTACCAAAAATGGTAAGAATAGTAAGAGTCTGTAATTTTACCTTGCTAGAAAACAAGTTAGCATGGCACAAATTCATAGACACTGGCAGGAGATATGAGATTCCTGGGCCAGGGATAAAGAACAATTTATTAATCAGAGCAATAGCAGTAATCAGAGTAACAACATTTGTGCTAGTTCTTCAAGCCCTGATTCCCACAGAGCACACTCAGTGAGTTGCATTACCCAAGAGCAACCCTATTTAGGAAACCCCAATATTTTCTAAAACCCTTGCTAGAAAACCTTTTCAACCTTTTTCCAGTGGAAGACATTGTCTTTATTATCATGAACAGCCAACAAACCTGCCTTCTTCCCCAAAGGGAGACACTATATTTTCCAAAGCTGTTTGCTATACAGACATTCTTGAAAAGACAGTCTAGAAAAAAGCTACGAATACAATTGCTCAGAAGATATGCAAAAACAGAAGATCTATGGAGAATTATCTCCCAACACCTCCATAAATATATTCACACATAGACCCAAATGTAAAACCTAAATCTATAAAGGTTCTAGAACAAAATATAGGAGTAACTTGAGTTACCTTAACAACCAACAAGGTCAGGGGTGGTCCAGAAAGCTTGACCCACAGGGACAGAGACAGGACTTTGGTGAGGCAAGCAGGGCATCTCCTATGAAAAATCTAAGCACTCACTGTTAGGTGCTGAGCCTGCACTTGCAAAACCTGAGAGTGAGCACCTCCTTAAATTTTTTATTTTCCTAGTTGGGCTTGCCATAATCTCCACACTGCATCCTTTTCCTTCACTGACACAAAATCACAGAGAATGGCAGCTTGTTTTGCTCAAAGCAGCAGTACAGCTTACTTACATCACAACCTGGACCTGCTACATTTTCTGTCCTAAGCCCCATTCAAACCTGGCAGCATTCCATGTCACATTTTATCTGCTGGATTAGCATTTGGAGATACAGAATGTATTGCTTCCACAACCCAAAGAGACCCATGACATTATACTTCCTTCTTTGTAGTAGGACATGGATTCTTACTAGGAATAATATCACCCCCAAGGGGGCAAAAATTGGTATTTAATGGTTTATGTGGTCCTGTAGTCTTCCAAAGGTCACACTACCTAAACAAATATACAGTACATCTGTGCTATCAATATTTCATGATGGAGAGGTAATTAGGGGTAAAATGTCTAAAAAACTTCCTTACCAGGGCATTAACAACAAAAAGGTTGAGAAACACTGTAGCAGGAGAAGATGCAACAACAACCAAAAAAGACATTTTTTAAAGAGGATGTCTCTACATGCCTTTGATCGTCAGATCTCTGAAGTATTTACTGAAGAGGTGAGTCCCAGAATCTTAGAAGAGTTTATTTGCCACCCTTTAGAATGTATTTGTCAAAAAGTGCCCATTATGGGCCAGGTGCCATGGCTCACGCCTGTAATCCCAGCACTTTGGGAGGCCGAGGCAGGCAGATCACGAGGTCAGGAGATCGAGACCATCCTGGCTAACACGGTGAAACCCCATCTCTACTAAAAATACGAAAAAATTAGCCAGGCGTGGTGGCACACGCCTTTAGTCCCAGCTACTTGGGAGGCTGATGCAGGAGAATGGCGTGAACCTGGGAGGCGGAGCTTGCAGTGAGCCAAGACAGCACCACTGCACTCCAGCCTGGGCAACAGAGCAAGACTCTGTCTCAAAAAAAAAAAAAAAGTGCCCATTATGAACTTGGTTCTGTCAGATCTATCAAGTTATAAAGATGAGTGAACGAAGCATCAGTTCATCATAAGATGTAAAAAGTGCATCTGGGATTAAACCTGAACAGGAGTAGAAGGTAGGCATAATCTACATGAGGAGGTAGCCTGTACCTCCATGTCACCCACCACAGTTGCGCCAGGGCCCCTCCCCTCAGCTCACATCTATGGCTTTATGGGAGTCCTGTACTACTAGTTGAAGAAAGGGGAAAATTAAGAGGTTAGTTTCCAGATAGGCTGTCTAGGTATAACAGCGCAAGGCAAAAATAGATGGTGGCTGCATTATAGACACAATGGGGGACAGTCTTGAACAAGTGTTGAGGGAAATTGTTCCTGAGAAGCTGTGAGCAATGTCTCTGCTCACTCACTTTGTGTGAAAGAAGTGGCTCAAGGTGAGACATATATGGACTATATATGGACTCATGGGTGGTGGCAAGTGGCTTGTCCTGCTAATCAAGGGCTTAGAAGGAAATGGACTGAAAGGTCAGAGACAAGGAGATCTTAGGTAGAGGCATGTGGTGCCTATGGCTAAACATATGAAATTTTTCATATCATATGTAATTTCCTATCAGATGGCATCCACCACAGAAGAAGCACAGAACAACTTTATGGACAAAATAATTCAGCCTGCTAATGTTAGCCAACCTTTGTCTTCAGCCACCCCAGACCACATAGCCACATGAAAGAAGTGGTCATAGTAACAGAGATAGAGGCTACACCTGAGACCAAAAGCATGGACTCCCTCTCACCAAGGTCAGTCTAGCTACTGTTGCCTCTGAATGTCCTCCATGGCAGCAGCAGAAACCAGTATTCTTGTATGACACTATTCCTTCAAGAGACCACTTGTCCATTTGATGGCAGGTTGATTATGTTGAGTCCCTTCCATCCTGGAAGAGCCAGTGAAATACACGGATCTGGAAACCAAAGGATGAAAGCAGGAAATATTTAGCTAGCATCACTCCCAATAACCACTAAGGAGATTTGTACATCTCTTCCTGCAATCCTGGACCTCAAAAACTTAGACATTTTGGTTCCCAAAAGAGGCATAACAAGCCTCCTACTGAACTACAAGCTACAGCTGCCACATGGGCACTCTGAACTTTTCGTTTCCAGGAACCACAAGGCTGTGAGAAGGAGTCACAGTCTTGGTAGTCTAGATGACACTGACGAGCAGGATGAGGTAGAGATAATGTTAGACAATGGTGGTGGAGAGGAATATGTGTGAAATTCAGGTGATCCACTTGAGTGCCTCTTGGTACTTCCTTGCCCAATGTGACTGTGAATAAGCAAGTACAGCAAACCTGGCCTGAAGTCGACAAAAGCTATAGAGGAGCTGCACTCCAAATGTGTAAGGACAAATACATGTAAAGCAAAGAGGGGACTGTAGCAGACACGAAAACATGCCACTTACAACTCTCTTCAAGAAGGAACCTGCAGCAAAGAATGTAGACTAGTGAAAACCAGCTATGGATGTCTTCAGGATTTGTCTTATTAATAACTTTTGAGCTGAGGCCACTTGCCTCCTGGGCATCCTCCAGCTGATGACTGAGCATGCAATGATGTAAAGATTTGCTGTTTCTGGCCAGTGTGAGACTCCTCTGTGAACAATATTTGTTTTTGAGATCACTGGGCTTTCTAATACATTCCCAGAGCTACCCCCACAGTTTGATGCTCTTTTATATAGTCCTCTTTCTTTTCCCCACTCTTTTCACAGGTATCAGACTGGTATCACAGCCTGAAAGCTTTCTCTGCCACTCCTACTCTCTTTCCTTTAACTTTCACAATTATAAATCTCCTTCACTTATAACTCCATTTGGCATATGCATCCTGGAGGACCCAAATCAACACAGACCTAGCCATAAAAACAAAAAAACATAAAGCTATGAAAGCAAAAAGTGTAAAGAAAACATAGGTGAATATATTAATGACCTCGGCATAGGCAACTTTTTTTTGACAAGACAAAAATTACTAACCATCTGAAAATTGATAAACTGGACAGCTTTCAAATTTTTAAAAATGTGCATCAACAGATGAATAAGTAAACTATGGTATATTATTACAATGGAATACTGTGCAATAAAAAAAGGAATGAATTTTTGATATGCAGAACAATTTGGATGAAACTCAAAGGCATTACACTGAGTGAAAGGACCCAGTCTCAAAAGGTTACATACTATATGATTGCATTGACATGACGTTCTCAAAAATACAAAACTGTGGTAATGAAGAACTAATCAGTATCTTCCAGGGATTGGAGGTGGGAGAGAGTGTGACTATAAAAGGATAGAACGAGGAAGTTTGGGGGGGTTATGGCACTGTTCTGTATCCAGATTCATGTTGGTTATATTTCATGCATGTGTTAAAATTCATATAACTGTACAGCAAAAAGTCCATTTTACTGCACGTTAATTTTTTAATTAAAAATACAAAAAATCTCCACATGATCATACTCTGCTTAAAATTATTCAGTGGGTGAATGCTTGGGACTCATTTGCTCAGGTGTATAGTAGGTATATATTTGACTTTTTGTAAAAAGCTGCCAGGCCATTTTCTAGGGTGTTTGTTTTATACAGGCATAGCTCATTTATTGCACTTGCTTTATTGCACTTTGAAGATACTGCACTTTTTTACAAGTGGAGGGTTTGTGGCAAGCTTGCATCAAGCAAGTTAATCAGCACCATTTTCCCAACAGCATGTGCACACTTCATGTCTCTGTGTCACATTTTGGCAACTCTTACAATATTTCAGTCTTGTTCATTATTATTATATCTGTTATGGTGACCTGTGATCATTGGTCTTTGATGTTACTATTGTAATTGTTTTGGGGCACTGCAAACCACACCCATGTAAGACAGTGAAGTTAATTGATCGATGTTCTGTGTTCTGACTGCTTCACTAACTGGCCATTACTCCATTTCTCTTCTATCCTTCAGGTCTTCCTATTCCCTGAGACACAACAATATTGAAATAGGGCCAATTAATAACCCTACAATGGTCTGTAATTGTGCAAGTGGAAGAAAGAATCGTGTGCCTCTCGCTTTAAATCAAAAGCTAGAAATGATTAAGCTGACTGAGGAAGGCATGTTTGAAGCTGAAACAGACTGAAAGCAAGTCCTCTTGCACCAAAAGGCCAAGTTGTTAAAGCAAAGGAAAAATTATTGAAGTAAATTAAGTGCTACTCTAGTAAACACAATTGATAAGAAAGCAAAACAGCCTTATTGCTGGTACAGAGAAAGTTTGAGTCGTTTGGGTAGAAGATCAAACCAGCCACAACATTCCCTTAAGCAAAAGCCTAATCCAGAGGGCCCTAACTCTCTTCAATTCTATGAAGACTAAGAGAGGTGAGAAAGCTGCAGAAGAAAAGTTGGAAGCTAGTAGAGTTTGGTTCATGAGGTTTAAGGAAAAAAGCCATCGCTATAACGTAACAGGTCAAGAAGGAAGTGTTGATGTAGAAGCTACAGCAAGTTATCTGAAAGATCTAGGTAAGAACTGATGAAGGCAATTACATAAAACAGAGGCTTTTCTTTTCTTTTTCTTTTTTACTTTCTTTTTTTCTTTTGAGACAGGGTCTTGCTCTGTCACCCAGGTTGGAGTACAGTGGTGTGATTATAGTACAATTGCAGCCTTGAACTCCCAGACTCAAGTGACCCCACTGCCTCATCCTCACAAGTAGGTGGGACTACAGGTACATGCCACCATGACTGGTGAATTTTTCTTTTTTTTATTTTTAATAGAGACAAGATCTCACTATGTTGCCCAGGCTGGTCTCAAACTCCTAGGCTCATGCAATCCTCCAGCCTCAGCCTCCCAAAGTGCAACAAATACAGGTGTGAGCCACCATGGTCAGCCAACAATAGCTTTCCAGTATAAACTAAACAGTCTTCTATTGAAAGAAAATGCCATCTGGGACTTTCATAGCTAGAGAGTAGAAGTCAATGCCTGGCTTCAAAGACTCAAAGCACAGACTGACTTTTCCGTTAGGGGCTCATGCAGCTGGTACTTTAAGTTGAAGCCATTGCTCACGTACCATTCTGAAAATGTTACGACACTTAAGAATTATTCTAAATGTATTCTGCCTATGCTCCAAAAATAGAACAACAAATTCTAGATGACAGCATTTCTGTTTGTAATATACCTCACTGAATATTTTAAGCCCACTGTTGAGACCTACTGCTCAGAAAAAAAAAGATTTCTTTCAAAATATTACTGCTATTGACAATGTACCTGGTCACCCAAGAGCTCTGGTGAGATATACAAGGAGATTAATATTTTTATGCCTGCTAACGCAGCATCCATTCTTCAGCCCATGGAACAAATAGTCATTTTGACTTTTAAGTCCTATTATTTAAGAAACACATTTTGGGCCAGGCGCAGTGGCTCACGCCTATAATCCCACCACTTTTGGAGGCCAAGGCAGGCAGATCACCTGAGGTCGGGAGTTCAAGACCAGCCTGACCAACATGGAGAAACCCTGTCTCTACTAAAAATACAAAATTAGCCAGGCATGGTGGCACATGCCTGTAATCCCAGCTACTTGGGAGGCTGAGGCAGGAGAATTGCTTGAACCTGGGAGGTGAGGTTGCAGTGAGCCAAGATCACACCATTGCACTCCAGCCTGGGCAGCAAGAGTGAAACTGTGAAACTCCATCTCAAAAAAAAAAAAAAAAACACATTTTGTAAGACTATCGCCTATCGCTGCCATAGATGGTGATTCTTCTCATGGATCAGGGAGAGCTATATTGAGCTATATTGAAAACCTTCTGGAAAGGATTCACCATTCTAGATGCCAGTAAGAATATTTGTGATTCATAGGTGGAGGCAAAATACCAACCCTGACAGGAGTTTGGAAATTGTTGATTCCAACCCTCATAGATGACTTGCAAGGGTTCAAAACTTCAGTGGAGGAGTAACTGTAGATGTGGTGGAAATAGCAAAAGAACCAGAATTAGAAATGGAGCCTGTAGATGACAATGAATTGCTGCAATGATCAAATTGGAACAAATGAGGAGTTACTTCTTATGGATAAGCAAAGAAAGTGGTTTCTTAACATGAAATCTACTCCTGGTGGAGATCCTATGCACATTGTTGAAATCAAAACCAAGGATTTAGAATATCACACAAATTTAGCTGATAAAGCAGCAGCAGAGTTTGAGAGGATTGACTCCAAACTTAAAAGAAGTTCTAGTGTGTGTAAAATGCTATCAAACAGCATCATGTGCTGCAGAAAAATCTTTCATGAAAGAAAGAGTCAATTGATGTGGCAAACTTCATTGTTATGGTGTTATCATAAGAAATTTCCACAGCCACCCCAACCTTCAGCTGCCACCACACTGATCAGTCAGTTGTCATTAATATTGAGAAAAGATCCTCCACGAGCAAAAAGATTACAACTCACTGAAGGTCAAAATGATCATTTGCATTTGTAGCAATAAAGTATTTTCTTTTCTTTTTTTTTTTTTTTTTGAGATGGGGTCTTGCTGTGTCACCCAGGCTGGAGTGCAGTGGGGCAATCTCTGCTCACTGCAACCTCTGAGAGCCTCCTGGGTTCAGGCAAGTCTCCTGCCTCAGCCTCCTGAGTAGCTGGGATTACAGGTGCTCACCACCACACCCAGCTAATTTTTGTATTTTTAGTAGAGACAGGGTTTCACCATGTTGACCAGGCTGGTCTTGAACTCCTAGCCTCAAGTGATCCACCCACCTCAGCCTCCCAAAGTTCTGGAATTACAGGCATGAGCCACCACACCTGGCCAAGTATTTTCAGTTAAGGTATGTAAAATGGTTTTTTAGACATAATGTGATTGCACACTTAATGACTAAAATATAGTTCAAACATAACTTTTATATGCAATGGAAAATCAAAAAATCATTGCAATGTTCACTTCTTTGCAGTGGTCTGGAACTAAACCTATAACATCTCTGAGGTATATCTGTATTTTAGTAGGGATGGTGGTTACATGGGTATATACAAGAAAAGAAAACGACAGGCCAATATCACTGATGAACATAGATGCAAAAATCCTCAACAAAATACTAGCTAACCATATTCAGCAGGACATTCAAAGTATCATTCACAATAATTCAGTGGGATTGATCTCTGGGATGCAAGATTGGTTCAACAAACACAAATCAATCAACATGATTCACTATATTAGCAGAATAAAGGGCAAAAACTATATGATCAGGCCGGGCATGGTGGCTCACACCTGTAATGTAAGCACAGCACTTTGGGAGGCCAAGGCAGGAGGATCGTTTGAACTCAGGAGTTCGAGACCAGCCTGGGCAACATGGCGAAACTCCATCTCTACAAAAAAATACAAAAATTAGCCAGGTGTGGTGGCACATGCCTGTAGCCCCAGCCACTCAGGAGGCTGAGACAGGAGGATCAATTGAGCCCAGGAGGTAGAGGTTGCAGTGAGCAGAGATTGTGCCATTGCATTCCAGCCTGGGCAGCAGAGTGAGACCTTGTCAAAAAAAAAAAAAAAAAAAAAAAAAAAAAAAAAAAAAAACATGATCAATTACATAGTTGCAGAAAAAAAAATTTGAAAAAAATTCAACATCTTTTTATAATAAAAGCTGTTAATCAATTTCATATAGAAAGAATGTTTCTCAACACCATAAAGGCCATATATGACAAACCTATAGCTAACATACTCAATATGAAAAAATGGAAAGCTTTTTCTCTAAGAGCAGGAACAAAATAAGGATGCCTGCTCTCATCCCTTCTGTTCAACATAGTACTGAAAGTCCTAGCCAGAGCAGTTAGGCGAGAGAAAGAAATAAAAAGTATCCAAATAGGAAAGGAAAAAGTAAAATTATCTGTTTGCTGATGACTTGATCTTATATGCAAAAAACCTTAAACATTCCACCAAAAAGCTGTTAGAACTAGTAAACAAATTCAGTAAAGCTGCAGGACACAAAATCAACTTTCAAAAATCAGTAGTGCTTCTATACACTAACAATGAGCTATCTGAAAAAGAAATTAATTAAACAATCCCATTTACAGTAGCATTAAAAAATAAGATAATCAGGAGTAAATTGAAACAAGGAAGTGAATGATATGTATACTGAAAATTATAAAACATTGATGAATAAAATTGAAAACGACATAAATAAATGGAAATATATCCTGTGTTAATGGATTGGAAGAATAAACATTGATAAAAGTCATAATACCCAAAGCAATCTACAGAGTCAATGCAATTCCTATCAAAAGTCCAATGTCACTCTTCACAGAAATGGAAAAATTAATCCTAAAATGTGTATGGAAACACAAATGATCCTGAATGGCTAAAACAATCTGGATCAAAAAGATCAATGACAAAGACATCACACTACCAAATTTCAAAATATATTACAAAGCTCTAGTAACAAAACAGTATGATGCTGGCATAAAAACAGAAATATCGATCAATGGTATAGGATTGAGCCCAGAGATAAACCCACACATCTATGGTCAATTGATTTTTAACAAAGATACCAAGAATCCACAATGGTAAGAGGACAGTTTCTTTAATAAACGGTGTTGGGAAACCTAAATAGGCACATATGGAAGAAGAATAAAGATGGACTCTTATTTCACCTCTTACACAATAATCAACTCAAAATAGATTAAAGACCTAAATGTGAGAACTGAAACTATAAAACTACTAGAAGAAAACATAGGGAGAAAGCTTTATGACATTGATCTAGGCAGTGATTTCTTGAGTATGACCCCAAAAGTACAGGCAATAAAAGCAAAAATAAACAAATGGGATTGCATCGAAATAAAAAGCTTCTGCACAGCAAAGGAAAAAATAAAGTAAGAAAACAGCTCACAGATCAGGAAAGAACATTTGAAAATTGCACATTGTTAAGGGGCTAATACCCAAAATATATAAGGGACTCAAACTACTCAATAAACAAGAAAATGAATAATCCTATTTAAAAATGGGAAAAGGACTTAAATAGACATTTATCAAAAGAAGACATACAAATGGCCAAAAGATTTATGAAAAATGCTAACATCTCTAATAATCAGAAAAATACAAATTGAAATCACAATGAGATATCACTTCATACCCACTAGATTGGCTGTTATCAAAATGATAAAACATAACAAGTATTGGCAATGATGAGAAAGGGGAACCTTTGTACACTATTGGTGAGTACATATCTTTTTTAAGACTGTAATATCCTCTTGATAAATTGACACCTTTAACTTTGTATAGCTATCTTGGAAAATAGTAAGGAGGTTCTTCAAAAAGCTAAAAATAGAATTACCATATGATCCATCAGTCTCACTTCTGGATATTTACCCAAAGGAACTGAAATTAATATGTCAAAGAGATGTCTACACTCCCATGTTCACTGCAGCATTATTCACAATCGCCAAGATATGGAAACAACTTAAGTGACTATCAACAAATAAATGGATTTTTATGTAATTATATAAAACCTATATACAGCAGGATGCTATTCAGCTTTAAAAAAGAAAAAACAGGAAATTCTGTCATTTTCAAAAATATAGATAAATCTGAGGACATACGTTAAATGAAATAAGCCAGGCACAGAGAAACTAATACTGTATGATTTCATCTATACGTGGACTCTAAAAAAGTCAACCTCATAGAAGTAGATGGTAGAATGGTGATTACCAGAGTCGGGGTGGGGGTGAATGGGAAAAGGGAAGATATTGGGCAATGGGTACTAAGTTTCAGCTGGAGAGGAGAAATTAGTTCTGGTGTTCTATTGTAAAGCATGGTGATTAAAGTTAATAATTTGTGTATACTTCAAGTTAGATAATAGAGAGGATTTTAAATATTCTTACCACAAAGAAATGATAAATATTTGAGGTGATGGATATGTTAGTTAGCCTTATTTGATTATTCCACAGTGTATGTAGTATCAAAACATCACATTGCAGCTCATAAGTATATATAATTTTTATTTTTGTCAAATAAAACTAAAAACTGTTTTAAAAAACATGAAATTTGGAAAAGGCATTAACAAATAAATCAGAAAATGGAATATAAAGCCCAAAACAGACCCATGTATATATAAGACTTTTTAGTTATAAAAATATAGCATTTGGAATCACTGATGAAAGAATGTACAATTCAATAAATGGCTAGGGAATGTGCAACTACCATTTGGGGAATAAATTAAGTTGTATTTCTACCACATAGCACATAAAAAGTTCTAAATGGATTAAAACATAAAATGCTAATTAACCATAAATTATTAGAAGAAAAATTAATATAATATTTTTATAACATTACTTGGGATAAAGATGCCTTCTAAAAACACTGTGAGCTCAAAAACCATCAAGAAAAATGTGAAAAGATCAAATTACATGACACTTTAAAAATTCTATTTGTTGCATGATATCCTTTAAAACATTAAAAGACAAGTAGAAGACATATTTGCAACATATGTAACTGGCAAAGAATATATAAAGAGCTTCTAAAAAGACAACTCAGTAAAAAAAATGAGCAATCAACAATTCACAGAAGAAATTCAAATACAGAATAAACATAAGATGTTCAAGTTCTCTAAAAATTGTAAAAATGCAAACTAAAACAAGAGTGATATATCACTTTATACCTATCAAACTGGCAAATTTTTATTTTATTTTATTTATTTTGCAAGAGCTTCTTAAGGAACCATTAGCGAAAATGTAAAGTCTTGATAATATCCAGTGTTAGCAAGAATTTCGGGAAAGGAAGACTTATGCATACTTCATGAGAGAACCAATTAGTAAAGCCCTTTTGGAAAGCAATTTAACAGTATCTTTTTTTTTTTTTTTTTTTAGACAGTGTCTCACTCTGTAGACCAGGCTGGAGTGCAGTGGCGTGATCTTGACTCACTGCAACCTCTGCCTCCTGGGTTCAAACGATTCTCATGCCTCAGCCTACCAAGTAGCTGGAATTACAGTCATGTGCCACCATGCCCAGCTAATTTTTGTATTTTTAGTAGAGACGGGGTTTCACCATGTTGGCCAGGCTGGTCTCAAACTCCTGACCTCAGGTGATCCACCTGCCTGGGCCTCCCAAAGTGCTGGGATTACAGGTGTGAGTCACCACACTTGGTCGTAATTGTATTTTTAAGGATTATTTTTTTCTCTGTAGTTTTGTTATATAGGCAATATAGGAATAAATTATTTTTATAAAATATTCAAATATATGGAAATACATAGGGTAATACTACAAGTTTATCTTTACCTCACACATTATAAATACACACATATATTAATGTGTATAACTTGAGTCCTTTTTCTCTGCATTAACATATATCAAATGTAGATTTAAAAACAAGTAAATTTGTGTTTTTAGTAGAGACAGGATTTTGCCTTTCGCCATATTGGCCAAGCTGATCTCAAACTCCTGACCTCAAGTTATCCTCCCACCTCAGCCTCCCAGAGTATTGGGGTTACAGGTGTGAGCCACAGGGCCCAGCCAATAGTATCTTTTAAAGTTAAAATTTTATATATTCTTTTATGTGATAATTTTGTATCAATCCAACCTATAGATTTAAAATATGGGCACAAAGATATTTGAACAAAGATGTTTATTGTAACATCATTTGTAATAATGAAAAATTTTAAATAGTCCAAATATTTGTAAATACAGAGACTAGTTTAATAACTTGTGGCATATCAAAAATACTAGGTAATGATACGCAACTATTAAGAATAAGATAGAACTTTGTGTATCACCATGGGACAGTCACTAAGACATATTCATTGAGTTTCATACACGTGAAGTACTATTTTACTTGTTTTTAAATCTACATTTGATATATGTTAATGCAGAGAAAAAGGACTCAAGTTATACACATTAATATATGTGTGTATTTATAATGTGTGAGGTAAAGATAAACTTGTATTACCCTATGTATTTCCATATATTTGAATATTTTATAAAAATAATTTATTCCTATATTGCCTATATAACAAAACTACAGAGAAAAAAAATAATCCTTAAAAATACAATTACGACCGAGTGTGGTGACTCACACCTGTAATCCCAGCACTTTGGGAGGCCCAGGCAGGTGGATCACCTGAGGTCAGGAGTTTGAGACCAGCCTGGCCAACATGGTGAAACCCCGTCTCTACTAAAAATACAAAAATTAGCTGGGCGTGGTGGTGCATGCCTGTAATCTCAGCTACTCGGGAGGCTACGGCAGGAGAATCGCTTGAACCTGGGAGGCGGAGGTTGCAGTGAGCCGAGATCGAGCCACTGCACTCCAGCCTGGGCAACAGAGTGAGACTGTCTCAAAAAAAAAAAAAAAAAATTACATATACTAAATACAATTTACAAAAAAAAAAATGACTCTATGAATCATTAAACAGTTGGTAATGTTGCCAACCTTTCTTAAATTTTACAAAATGCCCATTTTTACAGTTTATTCAACAAATATTGATTTAGGGTCACTAAGCAATGGGAATTGTGTTAGGCACTTAGACAAGGTGGTCAGAGAAAACAGCCAACTACCCTCTTCGAGTTGATAGTCTATTTGGAAAAAGAGAAAACTAAGTAAGTGATTAAATAAAATATGATGAATGTTAAAACTCGGAAAAGGTGGGGTGCAAGAAAAAGGAAATAGCAAGAAAACCTAATGTAATCTAATCTAAAGCTGAGTCAAATAACAGGAAAACCTAATCTAAGAAAAGAGATTTGGCCTCCCAGAAAAGATGGTTAGGTTACAACCAAAATGTTGACATAGAGTTTGCCACCAAGGAACTCTTGCTGGGGAAGCAGGTGCTGGGGAAGAAAAGGAAAAGGACCAAAATGAGAATGTCCGAGGCAGAAGGAATATCATGTACAAAATCGGTATGGTTGGACTGTAGTGTATGAGGGGCTGCATGGTAATGGATTAGTTCGGAGAGGGACCTTGGGCCTTCTTTGTGAAGGGTCATGGTAAGAAAGGAAGGACTTATCCAAAGGCCAAATGCAATCATTAACAGTAACAGGCTCAGATTTAGGTCAGGTTTTTGAAAGATTATGTTGGATGATTATAGAGAAAGAAGTCCAATGGCACAAAAATGGAGGCAGGGCCAGGCTAGGTGGCTCACGCCTATAATCCCAGCACTTTGGGAGGCCGAGGCAGGTGGATCACGAGGTCAGGAGATCCAGACCATCCTGGCTAACACGGTGAAACTCCGTCTCTACTAAAAATATAAAAAATTAGCCGGGTGTTGTGGCAGGCCCCTGTAGTCCCAGCTACTCGGGAGGCTGAGGCAGGAGAATGGTGTGAACCCGGGAAGCAGGGCTTGCAGAGAGCCGAGATCGTGGCACTGCACTCCAGCCTGGGCCACAGAGCGAGACTCCAACTCATCTCTCTCTCCCCCCCACCCCCCTCTCTCTCTACTCTCCAATGTCCTACCTATTTCCTCCAGGGTGCTTTTTCTGAAATGCAAATCAGATCACATTACTTTCCCTGTTTTAAGCCATTCTTGTCTTTCTGTTGCCAAGGTGGTCAAACAAATGTGTTGCATGTCAAAAAGAGACATTTGCTATCTATCCGTAAATGCATTTCACCTTAACTTCTAAGGTCTCTGCCTCAAAGCTTATATTTTAACCATTCTAAACATATGCAGTTCTTAAACCATGTTGTTTCATATCTCTTTCATATGCATGCCAGTCTGTCTGGCCAGCTTCCATTTCTATGGTCCTATATACAGATTGTTTAAAACTCAACATGTGTCATCTCCTCCTTTCTCCCCTCATCAAGTAAAACTGATTACCTCTCCACATTGTGATCTGTTATTTTACTTTGTATATTTATCTGCTCTGCTACTAAACACACTGCATTGCGATTATTTATTAATGTGTCTATATCTTCTTGTAGTATGTGAGTACCTCAAGGTCAGGGATCATGCTTGAATTCCCAGTTCTTGACTTCATATCTGGAACATGGTAGGAATACATAAATATTGAATGAATTAATTAATCAATAATACAATAACTGAATACAAGAATTACCCAAAAAATGAAGATTTGTTAAGGAGTGATAGATTTTAAAAATAGTCTCAAAGGGCCAGGTGCAGTGGCTCATGCCTGTAATCCTGGCACTTTGGGAAGATGAGGCAGAAGGATCACTTGAGGCCAGGAGTTCAAGACCAGCCTGGACAACATAGGAAGACCCTGTCTTTACAAAAATAATACAAAAATTAGCTGGATGCGGTGGTGTGCACCTGTAGTCCCCCAGCTACACAGAAGGCTGAGATGGGAGAATTGCTTGAGCCCAGGAATTGGAAGCTGCAGTAAGCTATGATTGTGCCAGTGTCCTCCAGCCTGGGTAAAAGTGACGAACTGTTTCTAAAAAAAATAAAAATAAAATAAAATTTAAAAAACAGTCTCAACGATAAATCTTTTAGGCTTTTGGAGACTTCTAATTATGACCAAGATGGTTTAACAGAACCAGTTTTACCATCTTTTCTAAAAAAATTAAGATACTGGAGAAAATACTCAAACACCAGTTCTCAAGACATTGAACATCAGACAACAAAAGACAATGATCCCTGAGACAGGAAATAAATGAGAGAAGCCCTGTGAATTGCCCTAGCATACTTCTTGGGGAAAATTTTCAGGTTGCATGCAAGGAGGAGGACAGGACGTCTCTTAGTCTCCCAGAGATGAGAAGATGAACTAGGCATCCAAGAATGCCAAAGTGGCTAGAGTTTGCAGGCAGAGTACCAGAGATGAGACAGCTTCAGAGGAAATGATACCAGAGACCAGTCTCCCTTGAGCAACCAATGAATATATAAGTATATATGTGGGTGTCAGGAAACTACTTGAGGCCAAATACAGAGCTATACAAAATGATTTCAGCAAATAATCCCACAGTTCACACAGGACTAGGAATTACGCCAGAGTGGAAAGCCTCAGACTTCATGGAGCACTGAGTACTGTATTCAAAAAGGTTTGCCTCAGTGTAGGGGCATATTTAGTCCTAGAGGAATACTGCTGCTCTGGTCTACCCCAACTACACACACACAACAAGCTCAAAGTAAGACCCAAAAGATCCTACAGTTTTCAAGTAACTACATTTAAGAACAAAGCTCAATAATATTTATAGGAATACAAAATATCCAACACCCAACATGAAAAAATTCACAACTGTGTGGATTTCAATCAAAAAATTACCCAGGTAGGCAAAGAAATAGAAAAATATGACATAAATTAGGAGAAAACAAATCAATTGAAGTTATCAAAACAAATGCAGATGATAGAATTAGTAGATAGACATTAAATAGTTATAGCTGTATCCCACATGTCCAAGAAGCTAGAGGAAAGACTGAACATGTTACATAAAGACATGGAAGATATAAGAAGAACCACATTAAAATTTTAAAGATAAAATCTATAATATCTGTGATGAAAAACACACTGGATGAATTTATGATAGATTAGACATTGTAAAATAATAGATTAGTGAACCTGAAGACCTAGCAATGAAAACTATCCAAAATAAATAGAGAGAGAAAAAAAAAAGTCCGGGTACGGTGGCTCACCCCTGTAATCCCAACACTTTGGAAGGCCAAGGTGGGTGGATCACTTGAAGTCAGGAGTTCAAGACCAGCCTGGCCGACATGGTGAAACTGTCTCTACTAAAGACACCAAAATTTAGCCTGGCATGGTGGCACACACCTGTAATCCCAGTTACTTGGGAGGCTGAGGCGGGAGAATCACTTGAACATAAGAGGCAGAGACTGCAGGGAGGTGAGATCATGCCTCTGCCCTACAGCTTGGGCCACAGCGCAAGACTCCGTCTCAAAAAATAAAAAACAAAACAAACAAAACAAAACAAAAAACGCAGAGAAAAAAAGCTAGCAGAGCATCATTGAGCTGGGGAACATTTCAAAAGGCCTAACTAATATTTATGGTATTGGCATCCCCAATAGTGGTTGAGAGAAGGGGAGGAATCTGAAGAAATAATGGCCAAAAAACCTTTCAAATTTGGTAAAAGCTATCAAAACCAAAGATGCAAGAAGCACAAGAAATAGAAGGAAAACTATACCAATATAGGTCATAATCGAATTGGCTACAACCAGGAAAAAAAGAGAAAACTCTGAAAGCAATCAGAAATAATACATTACTGACAGTAATAAAAATAAGAATAATGGAAGACTTTTTGTCAAAAACAAGGCAAGCCAGGAAACAGGGAACCAATGTCTTTAAAGTACTGAAAGGAAAAACTACCAACCTAGGACTTTCACTCAGTAAGAAAGTACAACATCTTCTCAGTGAAATTATTTTTCAAAAAGAAACGAAATAATTATTTTGTTCTGAGAACTAAAATAATTTACCTTATCACACCAGCTCTGTAAGAAATAAAAGAAATCCTTGAAGCAAAAGGAAAACAATACCAGATGGAAATCTAAGTCTACACAAAGGAGTGAAGAGCACCAGAATGGTAACTACATAGGAACATTTGAAGACATTTTTATACTCTTCAAATCATTTCAAAGATAATCAACTGTTTAAAGCACAAATAATAATGTATAGTGGGGCTTGAAACATATGTAGAGTAAACTGCATGAAAATAGCACAAAGACCAAGAAGGAAAAAATGGACTGATATTGTTCTAGATTTTTACTATTTATGTAGTGGTATCATATTATGGGAAAGTAGACTATGTTAAGTTAAATAGATATTCTATAAATTCTAATGCAATTACTGAAATAATACAACAAAGAGTTATAGCAAATAAGTCAACAAGGAAGATAAAATGGGTCATTAAAAAACTCAATCTCAGCCAGGCACGGTGTCTCACACCTGTAATCCCAGCACTTTGGGAGGCCAAGACATGTGGATCACCTGAGGTTAGGAGTTTGAGACCAGCCTGGCCAACTTGGCAAACTCCATCTCTACTAAAAATACAAAATTAGCAGGGTGTGGTGGCAGGTGCCTTTAATCCGAGCTGTTCGTGAGGCTGAGGCAGGAGAATCATTTGAATCTAATAGGTGGAGGCTGCAGTGAGCCGAGATCATGCTACTGCATTCCAGCCTGGATGACAGAGTGAGGCTTCATCTCAAAAAGAAAAAAAAAACTTAATCTAAAAGATGGTACAAAAAGAGGAAGAAAAGACCAAACAAAAAGTGGACAAATAGAAAACAAATAACAAGATGGTAGATAATCACACTAAATATAAATGGTCTAAACATACCTGTTAAAAAGCGGAAATAGGCAGATTTGATAATGTTATGACCAGGATGTTTGTATCTCCCCATAATTTATATGCTGAAACCTAATCACCAATGTGAAGCTAATAGGAGGCAGAGCCCTTAAGAGGTGATTAGGTCATGAGGACAGTGCCCCAATGAGTAGAATTAGTGACCTTTAAAAGAGGACCCAGAGAGTTAGAGCTGCCTCACTCCTCCCACCATGTAAGGAAACAACTAGAAGCCACCA
This sequence comes from Homo sapiens, assembly GCF_000001405.40. NCBI lineage: Eukaryota > Metazoa > Chordata > Mammalia > Primates > Hominidae > Homo > Homo sapiens. Next base: position 32,422,627 of record NC_000010.11, on the reverse strand, counting down.
TCTATGAACCAGGAAGCAGGCCCTCACCAGACACTGAATTTGCCTTAATCTTGAGCTTCTCAGGCTCCAGAACTCTGAGAAATAAATTTCTTTTGTTTATAACCTATTTGAGTTTATTTTATTTTGTTATAGCAGCCCAAATGTACAAGACAGATGAGAAAGCAAAATCCAATACAATTCTGCCTAAAATAAACTCACTTTAAATAGAAAGGCACAAATAGAATAAAAGGATAGAAAGATAGACTGTACTAAAATAAAATCAAAAGAAAGATGCAGTGGTTATGTTAATATTAAATAAAGGAGACTTTAAAGAAAAGAATACTACCAGAGATAAAGAAGATTATTTTGTAATGATAAAGTTATCACTTCTTCAAGAGAACATAGTAATCTCAAATGTATATGAAGCTAATAACAGAGCTTCAAAATATATAATGCAAAAACTGATAGAATTGCAAATAATAGAGATTTCAACAACTCTCTCAATAATTGATAGAGGAAGTAGACAGAATACAAGTAAAGATACAGAAGACTTGGACAACACCATGAACCAATGTGACCTACATGACATTTGCAAAACACTGCATCCAACAATACAAGAATGCACATTTTTTTTTCGGTTCACATGGACTGTTTACCAGAATAGACCATATTTTGTGGCACATAACAAGTCTCAAAACATTTATAATGGTTCAAGTTACACAAAGTTGTTCTCAGACCTTAATGGAATTGTATTAGAAATCAAAAAGTAACAAAAAGATATCTAGAAAAGATCTAGAAATATCTGGAAATAAAATAATACAGATCTAGAAAAAATCAAAGGGAAAATGAATCAAAGGAGAAAGTATAAAGTATTTTGAGTTGAGTGAAAATACAACATACAAAAGCTTGTGAGATGCAAGTGAGGCAAGGAAATATAGCACTAAGTGCCTATATTAGAAAAAAAGAAGACTTCAAATCAATGTCCTCAGTTTCTACCTTTTAAAAAAGAATAGCAAATGAAAACCAAAATTAGACATTAATAGCAGAAGATAAAATTCAGACAGAAATCAATGAACTAACAAATCAACATGTAGAGAAAATTAATAAAACCAAAAGCTGGTTCTCTGATAGGATAATAAAAATTGACAAACGTTTAGCCATACTGATCAGGAAAGAGAGAAGGCACAAATCAATAATTCATGAATGAGAGAAGTGATATCACTACAGATTGTAGAGAAAATAAAAGAATCATAAGGGACTTATATATAATAGTTCTCTTTATGTCCATAAATTCAACAATTTAAATAAAATAGATAAGTTTCTTGGAAAAAAAACAAACTACCAAAGCTTATTTAAGGACATTTAGGCCAAGCATGGTGGCTCATGCCTGTAATCCCAGCACTTTGGGAGGCCAAGATGGATGAATCATTTGAGGTCAGGAGTTCCAGACCAGCCTGGCCAACATGGTGAAACTAAAAAAATACAAAAATTAGCCGGTCAGTAGTGGCACACACCTGTAATCCCAGCTACTCTGGAGGCTGAGGCAGGAGAATCACTTGAACCCGGGAGGCAGAGGTTGCAGTGAGCCGAGATTGTACCACTGCACTCCAGTCTGGGTGACAGAGTGAGACCCTGTCTCAAAAAAAAAAAAATTCATCTAATTAATTTTGAAAAAAATATATCCTAACTCATTCTTTCAGCCAGCATTGCTCTTTACTCTTTTACTAAAACCAGATAAAGACATTATAATAAAATAAATTCACAGAAGAATATCCCTCATGAATATATGTACAAAAAAACTAAATAAAACTTTAGCAAATAAAATCCAACAATATATCAAAAGGAAAATTCATCATGAACAAGTGGGGTTTATCCCAGGAATGCAAAGTTGATTTAACATTTAAAAATAAATGAATGTGATTTACTATATTTTTTAAAAGAGGGAAAAGAAAAGCCATATCACAATATCAATTAATGTACAAAAAGAATTTGACAAAATCCAACTTCCATTTCCAATCTTAAAAAAATCTCTTGGCAAGCTAGGAGTAGAATGGGACTTTCTTAACCTACTGAAAAACATTGATGAAAAGTCTGCACCTAATTTTTTAAATACCATTTACAATAACATCACAGATATGAAATATTTGATGATAAATCTGACAAGATGTATGCAAGACCTGTACACTAAAAGCTACAAACCATTGCTGAGATATATTAAAGATGATCTAAATAAATGGAGATATATACTATGCTCATGGATGAGACATTAAATATGGCTAAGATGTCCATAAGTAAGACTAAATTTTGCTAAAATCTTAGGCTAAGATTGACTAATAGGTCATCTGAAAATTTACTTATTAGTTCAAAGTAATCTCAATAAAAAATTCCAGCAGAATCTTTTGTAAAAATCAACAAGCCAATGCTAAAATTATATGAAAATATAAAAACTTGGAATAACCAGCAAAATTTTGAAAGAGAAGACCAATTTGAAAGAGAAAGAACTTTCATTACCTGACTTCAAGACTTATTATAAAGCTATAGTAATTATGACAGTGTGGTATTGATTTTTAAAATAGGCAAATAGATCAATAGAACAGAATGGGGTCTAAAATAAACCCACATATAAAGGGTCAATTGATTTTCAACAAAGTTGCAAAAGCAACTCAGTGGAGAAAGGGCAGTGTTTTAAACCAATTTTGCTGTAAAAATTGGATAGTCATAGGCAAAAAATGAACTTTGATTTATACCCCCACCGTATAAAAATAACTCTAAGTAGATCAAAGAACTAGATATAGGAACTAGAACTATAAACCTCTAGACCAAACATGAGAAAAAGTCTATATGTAAACTTGAGTTAGGCAAAGAATTTCATAGACACCACACCATAAACATGACTCATAAAATGAAAAAGATAAGTTGGACATCATCAGAATTTAGACTAAGAGAAAATATTTGCAAATTACATATCTGATAGGGAACTTACATACAGAATACATAAAAACTCTCAAAATTTAATAATAAAAAACAGGCAAGCCATAAAAAATGAGAAAAAGATTTTAACATACACCTTATTAAAGAAGGTATGTGGATGGCAAGTTGAGCACTTGCTTAACATCATCAGTCATTAAGAAAATGCAAATTAAAATCACAATGAGATACCACTATGTTTGTGATATCAAAAATTAAAAAGAGCAACTATACCGAGTGTTGATGTAGATGCAGAATAACAAACATTAACATATTTCCAGTGGAGAAGTAAAATGACATAATTGGTTTGGGGCAGTTTCCTAAAAGGTTACACATACATATCATATAATCCAGCCATTTTGCTTCTAGGTATATAGTTAAGAGAAATGAAATCATATGTCCATGCAAAGACTTGTGTATAAATATTCATAATTCATAAATATTTAATCAAACTATCTCTTGTGTGAATTAAAATTCACCTCCTTGTAAATAGGAAATCACTTTATAGAGTAGTACCTTTTAATCAGGGGAGGGTCCCTGAAGTTAAGTGAGTTATAGCTGACTTTTTTCTGCATCTAATCATCCACTAATAGGTGACTTTTAAAGAACATGAGGCTATGGGATGGTAGAAGGGGAACTTGGGGAAATTATTCCAGATGAGGAAAATATATCTTGTGGCTAGCCTAAAAGACAAATGAATTAAAAGTGAAAAAGTTGAAATACAGGAGACAGCCAGGCTTAAAAGTCATGCTATGGTGTGAATATGTCCCCCAATGTTCATGTGTTGAAAACTTAATCTCCAATGCAACAGTGCCGAGAAATGGGACCTTGAAGAGTGATTACATCATGAGGGATCTGCCCTCATGAATGCATTAACATCGTTATCACAGGACAGGGTTCATTATCACGAGACTGGATTTGTTATAAAAGTGAGTTCAGCCCTCTCTTGCTCTTTCCTTGTACTCTCTTCCCCTTCCACCTATTGCTATGGGATAAGGCAACATGAAGGCCCTCACAGGATGCTGGTCCCATGCACTTGGACTCCCCAGCTACCAGAATTGTGACCACATAAATTTCTGTTCATTATAAATAACCTGTTCTGTGGTTATAGCTGCACAAAACAGACTAAGATAGTCATTAATTTAAATTTTTAATAAATTAATTTTTAAAAACTATTGAACATTATTCAAGGAAACTGTGGTAACAGACATTGAGTGTATTTCTACAAGAAATGTTGACCCCATTTGACAACATTTGGGGATTTCTCCACAGCTGGATCACACTCCTCCCACCTTGTTATCCTCCCTCCTCCTAGAATCCTCTCCAACTCACCTCGCTCCATACTCCACCCTAACCACCAGGTCATTTCCCCATGAAGCAAAGGGAGAAAAGAAGTAGGTTCAACAGCCACAAAGAAGTGAAAAGTAGTTGCATATGTTGAATCTAAAAGAGTATTTTCTACTAACCACCAAGACTGCCTTCTGCCTGATTTCAAGGGGCCAGCTCTGGGAAAGTTAGCAGTGCATCTGAATTCAGTGAAGGTCTTGGAGGAGAACCAAATCACCACATTCGGAAGAGTTCCAGGAACTCTGGGAGGCTGTACATTCCAAACAGAGAGAAAGAACACAGAAAGCAAGACTTGAAGTGGAGCCCAGAAAGGAATCTAGTAACAGGAGGCATTGAGTGGGAAAATGAGCATTTTAAATTAAAGTTGCTCAGGAATTCTCAGAATCAATAGATAGTCTAAATAATGTTTGAAATATGCTTTTTACAGCATTCCTTTCTGTTCATTGGACTTCTTACTACAATTCTGAACTAGAGTGCTAACAGAGAATAGCCTATGGAGGAGAACACTGGCTGATTCAGAGTAATAAATATGACCCCATGTACATACACAAAACAAAGTGGGATATTCATAACAAGCATAGTGTTAGTGACTAGAGGCTGCTTCTAGGCACTATTTCACTTTTTACAGTTTCACAATAATAGTATATGGTATTGGGGGCATCATTATCTATCAATACGTGGAGAAATATAATATTAAAGGAAATCTGGAAATTTTAGCAAGCACATCATAGAAAGTTTATTTTTAAAATTAAGTTCACCAAGGATATTCTGACACATGCCGCAACATGGATGCACCTTGAGGACATTACACCAAGTGAAATAAGCCAGTCACAAAAAGACAAATACTATATGATTCTGCTTACATAAGGATCTAGAGTAATCAATTTCATAGAAAGAGAAAATAAAGCTGAGGGTAGGGAGGAATGGGGACTTATTTAATGGGTATAGAGCCTCGATTTTGCAAGATGAAAAAGTTCTGCAAATTGGTTGCACAACGATGTGAATATACTTAATAATATTGAACTGTACACTTACAAATAGTTAAGATAGTAAATTTCATGTTTGCATATTTTACCGTAATTTTAAAAAATATCTAAGGTAATGAAAAAAGTAAGTTCACCAGTAACCAGACTTTCCGAAAAGCATCTGCAGAAGCATTGACTAAACCTGAAAAATAAAAATATGTTGAATAGAATATATATATATATATATATATTTTTTTTTTTTTTTTTTTTTTTTTTTTGAGACGGAGTCTCGCTCTGTCGCCCAGGCTGGAGTGCAGTGGCGCGATCTCGGCTCACTGCAAGCTCCGCCTCCCGGGTTCACGCCATTCTCCTGCCTCAGCCTCCCGAGTAGCTGGGACTACAGGCGCCCGCTACCACGCCCGGCTAATTTTTTGTATTTTTTAGTAGAGACGGGGTTTCACCGTGTTAGCCAGGATGGTCTCGATCTCCTGACCTCGTGATCCGCCCGCCTCGGCCTCCCAAAGTGCTGGGATTACAGGCGTGAGCCACCGCGCCCGGCCGAATAGAATATTTTTAAGTACGTAGTTGGAAGAAAAAATAAAGTAAGTGGGCATTTAGTCCCAATATAGGCTCATCACTGTGTGAGGTCCTTTTACATAGATTATCGTAGTAAATTCTCATCATAAACCTGAAAGTAGATATTCTAATCCTGATTTTGAAAATCAAAAACTTTAGGTATAAAAAGGACAAATCCGTTGCTTAAGAGTTCACAGTTGATAAGTAGCAGAGGGCAATAATTGTCTAATACTGGAAAATAAGAGGTTTATTATAATGAAAGTTTGGCAAATTAAGGTAAGAAATACTCTTCTTACCCTTTCTACATTATTTTCACTTTTCTTTCTAACTATACTGAATCCTGAGAAGAAAATTAAAAACAAAGTTAATCTAGCATTTATGGAGAAAACTTTGGGAAAAAACTTTGAGAGTTTCTTAACTTAATTAGCATGAGATTTTGGAGCTGGAAGTAACTATCAAGGTACCTGACAGAAAACAGTGTCCTGACCAGGTGTAGTGGCTAACATCTGTAATCCCAGCACTTTGGGAGGCTGATGGGAGAGCATTGCTTGAGGCCAGGAGTTCAAGATCAGCCTGGGCAACATAGCAAGGCCCTGTCTCTACAAAAAAAAAAAAAAAAAAATTAAAAAGTAGCCAGGCAGGTTGGCCCACACCTATAGTCCCAGCTACTTGGGAGGCTGAAGCAGGAGGATCACTTGAGTGCAGGAGTTCCAAGCTGCAGTGAGCCATGATCATGCCACTGCACTCCAGCCTGGGTGACAGAGCAAGACCCTATCTCTAAAAAAAATAAAAAGGCCAAGCTCGGTGGCTCACGCCTGTAATCCCAGCACTTTGGGAAGCCAAGGCGGGTGGATCACAAGGTCAGGAGATCATCCTGGCTAACATGGTGACAGTATTTAATTAATTACATGAGGCATTCAACATTTTATTATAAAATAAGCTTTGTGTTAAATGAATTTTCCCAACTAGAGGCTAATTGAAGTGTTCTGAGCATGTTTCTGGTTGGCTAGGCTAAGCTATGATGTTTGATAGGTTAGTGTATTCAATGCAATTTTGACTCACGATATTTTCAACTTACAATGGGTTTATTGGGGCATAACCTCATTAAGAGGAGAAGCATCTGTATTTTTCTTATTTAATAATATCCTCTGGCTGTGATTATACATTTCTACCAATTACATTTACCATCCATGTTGCTAAAAGGAGCCATAAAGATAAACACCATTAACAGAAATGTCAGCCTGAGAACATATTATACTACTTCACATTCTGTCCTGTAGGTCTGTTTCAAAGCCTACGGAGTAGATTAGGATCTAGCACCTAAAAAGCACTAAATGTGCTTCTTATATACCATTCTCCAGTCACTTAATATCTCCAAACTATTGTACAGTTATTTCTAAATCATTAGCAAAACAGATCAATTTAAAAAATATATTAATTATAATTTTTCGAGATTTTTTATGTTCAACGTTTTCTGACCTCACAGCTAAAGTTACAATGTTTTTACCTTACTAATCGGTATACTGTGCATGAAAGAAGGAAAATCCCGAAAAACCTTAGAAAGGATTTGAGCAATTATGTTAGTAAACTTCTTTTTTTTTTCTTTGAGACGTTGTCTCACTCTGTAGCCCAGGCTGGAGTGCCGTGGCACGATCTCAGCTCACTGCAAGCTCCGCCTCCCGGGTTCACGCCATTCTTCTGCCTCAGCCTCCGGAGTAGCTGGGAATACAGGCGCCCGCCACCACGTGGCTAATTTTTTGTATTTTTAGTAAAGACGGGGTTTCACTGTGTTAGCCAGGATGGTCTCCTGACCTCGTGATCCACCCACCTCAGCCTCCCAAAGTGCTGGGATTAGAGGCGTGAGCCACCGCGCCCGGCCTGTGTTAGTAAACTTCTAATCCTGTTTAGGAATTTGTTCCCCAGTGTGCCTGACAGACTGTCATTCCACCTCTGTGGAATGACACCATCTAATGAGATCGTCTTTTAGATACTCTATTTGATGGAACGTTTTGGTTTGCTGTGTGTGTGTTTTTGTTTGTTTGTTTGTTTTTTATTGATCTAAAAGCTTCATCTCTTCAGCTCCCTCTAATTGTTCCTAGTTTTATCCTTGGGAGTAAAGCAAATGTAGTCTCTCTTCTGTATGACAGCCGCTCAGTATCTGGAAACCGCTATAACATGTGCTACCCCGCCTCCCTGATCCCATTTCCCACTCCGCCAGTACTTAAGTTTTCTCAAGACAAGGGATCTTTCGAGAAGTCCTCTCATGTCACCTCTCTAGAACTCTTTTCATCCTGGTTGCATTCTTTTGCACTCAGCTGAGAAAAAGAGATTCAAATGAGATGTAATTCTAAATTTTAAACGTAAGTTGATTCATGTTCACTATGCCTTCCTCAAACGTCCAGTCTAAAACAGAACCTTCTTTATAATTTTTCAAGGTACTGTGTTCTATGCCTTCATAGCACTCATCATGACGTCTACTTCTACTTTTAATTAACTTATACATTTAATTCAGATTACACTTAAAATTATTCACTGTGCCTTTAATAACTTAAGTAAATATACAGTATCTGTTTCCCCCACTGGTCTCTTAAGTTCTATGAGGGGCAGGAACTGTATCTATTTTCCTTACTACCTAATTCTTGCTGTCAGTGTAATAACTGGCACACAGTAGGTATTAATCAATACGAATTGACAGATTTAAAGATGTTGAATAAAATGAAATTTATATTATAGACATAATTTTAAAATGCAGAGAGGATTGTCTATTTAGAAAATGTATCCTAGAAGATATGAAGTGGATTTTAAAGAGAACAAGTGTCCTGGATAGAGAAAGAAGAGAAGGGAAAATTCTCATGCACGTAGTGCATCATCTAGTAAGGTGGAGACTAGTCTGCAGTGGTTCACCAAAAATTCATTCTCCCCTTCCTCCTGAGCATGTGGTTAAACTACATTTTCAGACCTCCCTTTCTGTTAGATGACCTACTTACTGGTGACTAAGTTCTTAGCAATGGGTAATGAACATAAGTGATGATGAACACTTCTGAGTTTCTGTCTTAGAAGTGGTTATGTTTTCTCCTTGCCCTTTTCTCTCTTCCCAGCTGACTAGAACCCAGACAGGACTCTGACTCAGCCTCCACGCAGACAACAGCAAGGCCATAGAGATGGTGGAGCCATACACCGAAGGAACCTGAGTCACTCTGTGACTGCCCAGAGAAAAGCTGTCCCATTCACCTGAACTGGACACCTTGGACTATTATGTGGAAGGGAAATAAACTTCTTTGCTCTTTAGGCTGCATCACTGGATCTCTTCCCATGACTTACCCTTTGCCCCAGCTAATGCATCTGGGATTTGGAAAATGCTCAATCTATACTTACTGGATTTTTTACATTTTAAAAAATAAAAATAGGCTCATGCCTGTAATCCCAGTGCTTTGGGAGGCCTAGGCAGGCAGATCACTTGAGGTCAGGACTTTGAGACCAGCCTGGCCAACATGGTGAAACCTCGTCTTTACTAAAAATACAAAACTTAGCCAGGTGTGGTGGCAGGTGCCTGTAATCCCAGCTACTCAGGAGGCTAAGGCCAGAAAATCGCTTAAACCCGGGAGGTGGAGGTTGCAGTGAGCTGAGATCGCACCACAGCACTCCAGCCTAAGCGACAGAATGAGACCCTGTAACAAAATAATAAAATAAAATAAAATAAAAATAAAACAAAAAGCAAATATAAATATTAATTGGATTCCTAATATAGAGAACGGCATATGTAGCATAGCCAAAAAGAACCTAGTCACTAAAAGAGGTAATGAGCATGCCCAAAACAAGAGGCTAATGACAAGATTAGTGAGAAATTATCAGTGGTGATTAAGTTGGGAAAGTATTTATGGCTACTATTATAAAGTATAAATTTTTTTTCCCAACTCTCATGTACCTACCCCTTACAATGAATAAATGTTAGCATTTTTAAAAATTTAATTCAGACTGTTTTTCTCTTAAAAAAAAAAAACTAGAACCTTTCAAGTGAAATTACAACCCAATCCCCTATAATTATCCTCCCTGGAGGAGGTTTTTCAGCATACCTCTCAAAACGAGGCACCTACCTCTGAACTCCAAATAAGGGCTGACCACAAAAGTATAAAGCGTCCATTACTCACTGGGATCTGAGCAGTACACTTCTATTAATAGAGTCCTAGATTGCACTGCTTACTTAATAACTGCTTAACACTATTTGCTCATGTTAAACTTGAAATTTGCTAAAACTGCCTAACCATCCTTCCCATCAACTTCTACCACCAGTTCTCCCTTTTCTATGCTAGTAAAATGTGTGAAATTGACTAACATAAGCGTACAACCTAACATTTACTACTTGTCGTTTTTATCCTGCTGATTTTAGTCTATTAATGGTGGGGCATCATTTTTCCTCTGGTGAAATTTTGGCATCAGATAGCAGGCATTGCCCACTTAAGAGCATTAAGAAACTTCTGGGTGGATCCCAGCACTCCCAATATTCTATATCAAGACTATCACTTGGGTTCTTTTCCAAAACCAGTTAACACATCAGGCTGCTACAGGGTGCCTGGTGAAAGTAGGGCTCTATTTTTATTTTTGTTTTGTTTTCTTTTGTTCTCAATCTGAAAAAGTTTTATTTAAAAGTTGCCAGACATTTTCTGCCACAAGCAGTAGTGACATCAATTATCCCTTGGAACAGATTTCCTTTGTTTTGGAAAAATTACATGAAGGAGCTCTTTAGTTATATTTCCCCCAATTGTTCTGTGGATTGTTCTTTGGCAACATGGAACAAGTATTTTGTTTTGTTTTGTTTGTTTTTGTTTGCTTATCAAGGGCACAATGGGTGAAATTAGTCAGTGCTGATAGATTTCCAGACAATATTATTGAATGACAAAAGTAACATTCACAGGAGTGTGTATAATTCCATATATGTAAGACAAGTGAAAAAGTATGTGTATGTATGAATATGTTTATAAATAAATATATACATATAGGAAAAGTAGCTTAAGCTGTACACCAGACTGTGAACATGGGCTGGTCTTATAGTATAAGGAGAAAAGTAAGAACAGATAACACAGATAAAAATAGAAAAAGATATTTTTATAAAGAAGTACACTAAAAATCAGCACTGCCCATGAGAGATGAGAGAAAGACTGGACTTTGCTAAACTAGTGTGGGGTCTCAAAGTTGTTACAGTTTAAATATTTTTTAGATGAGACCTTATTTTGTAGCCACAGGCTTGTGAGGTTTAGGGACATATGTATTATAAAATGAATATTTTTTAAAGCCTATCTGCAAACTAAGAGAAAGGTGATGATGGCTTTCATCTATGGCTATAGCAGGTGCAGATTATCTCAAGTGTTTCTGTTAATAGACTTTTTTAATGTTCTTTGAGAAGAAACTGTAACAGTGTCTCATCCTTAAGAACAAAGAAAAGAAATGTTAACCAACGCGGATTTGATTACAGATGGTGGAATAAAGTAGGTAGCCTAGAATAGCTTCTCATATTCTAACTCTACGATAGGTATTATACTCATTTAACATACAATGGTTATGTACATTTCACATATCTATTTTACAGACATTGAAGTTGAGTCTTGGAAAATTTTACCAGTTTTCCTAAAATCACTCTGCTTGAATTTGAGCTTGTTTATATAGTTACAAAGCCCATATACTTCTCACTAGAGCATAAAACATCTATGCTAGATTTAGAATCCACTTAAGAATGTGACACCTATATCATGCATTTGTCCCAGCAGCCTGTATTCGAGTTCATAGAATTGTCACCTACCTTCTCTCTCCTTTTGTATTAATCCAAATGTTCTTTGTGTTTCTAGCTCCAGTTTATAGATCCTTCGTTAAATGTTTTTAGGCTCTACGAACCTACGCAATCTGCACACACTTTATTTCTCTGATCTCGTTTCCTTTCTCACCCCACTCCAGCCACTCTGGCCTCCTTGTTGTTCCTTGCTGTGACGAACATGCTGCTGCCCCAGGGCCTTTGCACATGCTGTTACCCCTGCCTAGGACATTCTTCCATTAGACAGCCACTTGCCTTTGCTTTCTCTCTGTATTAGTTAAGGTGTATGTTTCACAACCTCAGATCAGGCATAGCAGCCTGCTGGACTTAAACATATTCGTCATCAGCGGAAAAGAAACTAACAAAAATTCTCTCTAATAATGGCGAGTGAATTGGGAAGAACCTAGTGCTGAATCCTTGCCCAGTGGTCAGGAGTGGAAAATGTGATGTATGGAAGACTCACTCCCTAGTGCAGCTCAGGCCCAAGTGCTGATGGAGAATGTGAACAGTGTGAGACTGGTAGCAGGCCTGGTTAACCAAGCCCAGATCTTCCTGGAGTTGGGTTGCTTGGGAATGCAGTTTACAGTGGGTGGTAAACTCCATCCAGGTCTAAATACCAACCCAAGACAGATAGTCAACAAGTACCATATGGAAAAGTTGGAAAAAGCTTTGTAGAGAGAGCAAAAGGGGGCCAAATTCGCCTTTATAACAAAGCCACTCTCCTAATAACTACATTAATCCGTTCATGAGGACAGAGCCCTCATGACCTAATTACCTCTTATTAGGCCCTGCCTCCCAACATTGTTGCATTGGAAATTAAGTTTCCAACACATCAACTTTGAGCAACACATTCAAACCATGGCATTTTGCCTCTGGCCCCCAAAATTCACGTCCTTCTCACAATGCAAAGCACATTCATTTTGTCCCAATAGCCCCAAAAGTCTTAACTCATTACAGCACCAACTCAAAAATCCAAAGTCCAGAGTCTCATCTGAATCAGATATGGATGAGACTCGAGGCATGAATCATCCAGAGGCAAATTCCTCTCCACTTATGAGCCTATGAAATTAATAAGATACCTGCCTCCAAAGTACAATGGTGAGACAGGCATAGGATAGACATTCTCATATCAGAAGGGAGAAATAGGCAAGAAGAAACAGATAACTGGTCCCGATCAAGTCCAAACCCAATGAGGAAAACAACATTGAGTCTTAAAGATGAAGAATAACCTTTTTTGACTCCATGTCCCACATCCTGGGCACATTGGAGTGGAGGTTGGGTGTCCAGGGCCTCAGGCAGCCCCACCCCTATGGCTTTGCTGGGCTTAGTCCACCCAGCAGTTCTCAGGGGTTGGAATCTCATTCCTGCAACTTTCCCAGTCTGGAGCTGCACACTGGTGGCCCTAGAGTTCTGGGGTTTTGGAGGCTACCCAACTCCCACTGCTCCATTAGGCATTGCCCTAGTCAGGGTGCTCTGCAGGGGCTCTGCCCCTAAGATAAGTATCTGCCTGGGCCTCTAGATTGTCTGCAATGTCCTTTGAAATCTAGATGGAGGGCCGGACATGGTGGCTCATGGCTGTGATCCCAGCCCTTTGGGAGGCCAAGGCAGGCAGATCACTTGAGGTCAGGAATTCGAGACCAGCCTGGCCAACATTGGTGAAACTCCGTCTCTACTAAAAATACAAAAATCAGCTGGATGTGATGGCATGTGCCTGTAATCCCAGCTACTTGGGAGGCTGAGGCAGGAGAATTGCTTGAACCTGGGAGGTGGAGGTTGCAGTGAGCCAAGATCACGCCACTGCATTCCAACCTGGGCGACGGAGGGAAATTCCATCTCAAAAAAAAAAAAAATGAAATCTAGTTGGAGGCTGTCATGGCCCCACAGCTCGTGCACTCTACATATCTACAGAGTCAGCACCGCGTGGACACTGCCAAAGCTTGCTACTTGCACCTTCCAAAGCAGCAGCACAAACCACACCTGGGCCTACTAAAGCTATGGCTGGCATGGCCAAGAAGCATTATGCTGAGATGCAGGAAGCGGAGTTCTGAGGCAGCTCTGGGCTGTGAATGCTAAAGTACTGTAAGTGCCTCTCTTGAAAGCTTGTCCTGAAAGTTTTGGCTTGCCTCAAAGATCTCTGAACCGCCTGTGAGGTCATTCTCTCGTTGTCTTCATAAATAGCACCTAGTTCCCTTCTAGACATATTATTCACTTGGCCACACCATTAGTATTCTCTCCCTAATACACTTTTTTATTCTTGACATGACCAGGCTGAGGGTTTTCCAAATCTTCTCATTTTATTCCCTTTTAAATTGTAAATTCCATCCTGAAATAATTTTTCACCTCTCTCATTTTACTGCAAGTTGACCAAAAGGAGGTGGTATGGTTTGGCTATGTCTCCCCCCAGATCTCATCTTGAATTATAACTCCCATATTTCCCACATGCTGTTGGAAGGACCTGGTGGGAGGTAATTGAATCACGGGGGCAGTTTCTCCCATACTGTTCTTGTGGTATCGAGAAGGTCTCATGAGATCTAACGGTTTTATAAGGGGAAACTCCTTTTGCTTGGCTCTCATTCTGTCTTGCCTGCTGCTGTGTAAGAAGTGCCTTTTGGTCAGGTGTGGTGGCTTAAGCCTGTAAAACTACCATTTTGGGAAGCCAAGGTGGGCAGATCACCTGAGGTCAGGAGTTCATGACCAGCATGGCCAACATGGTGAAACCCCATCTCTACTAAAATTACAAAAATTAGCCAGGCATGGTGGTGCTCACCTGTAATCCCAGCTATTTGGGAGGCTGAGGCACGAGAATTGCTTGAACCCAGGAGGCAGAGGTTGCAGTGAGCCAAGATCACGCCACTGCATTCCAGCCTGGGCAACAGAGGGAGATCCCATCTCAAAAAAAGAAAAAATAAAACAAAAAAGTACCTTTTGCCTTCTGCCATGATTGTGAAGGCCTCCCCATCCATGTGGAACTGTGAGTCCATTAAACTTCTTTTTCCTTATAAATCACCGAGTCTCAGGTATGTCTTTATCAGCAGCATGAAAACAGACTAATACAGGAGGCTTGCCACACCTTGAATGCTTTGCTGCTTAGATATTTCTTCTGCCAGATATCCTAGTATGTTGCTCTTCAATTCTACTTTCCACAAAGACCTAGGACATGGACACAATTCTCCCAAGGTCTTACCAATCATATAACAAGGGTGGTCTTTATTTTCCAATATCTTGTTTCTAATGTCCATCTAAGACCTCATCAGAATGGTCTTCCCTGTCCATATTTCTATCAACATTCTGATGATGACCACTTAAGTAATCTCTAAGAAGATTCAGACTTTCTCTACAGCTCTCCTCTTCTTCTGAGCCCTCACCAGAATTGTCCTTCATTTTTCATTCATAACAAACTAGGCTTTTTCTAGCAATTCCTCCAATTTCTTTCAGCCTCTACCCACCATCTACTTCCAAATTTGCTTCTACATTTTCAGGTATTTGTTATAGCAAAAGCTCTACTTCTCAATGCCAATTTTTTTGACTTAGTCCATTTTGCGCTGCTATAACAGAATACCAGAGACTGGCTAATCTATAATTAATAGAAATTTGTTTGGCTCATGGTTCTAGAGGATGGGAAGCCCAAGAGTATGGTACTGGCATCTGGCAAGGGCCTTTGTGCTGTGTCATTCCGTGGCAGAAGGTGTAAGGGCAAGAGAGTATAAGAGAGGAGCAAGAGAGGGCTGGCCTCACTTATATAACAAATCCACACTCAGGATAATTAACCTATTCATGCAATGATGACATTAATCTATTCATGAAGGAATAGCACTCATGACTTAATCATCTTTTTTTTGACCCCCCAACACTGTTGCACTGGGGATTAAGTTCCCAACACATGAACTTGGTGGGGATGGGCCTCAAACCATAGCACTGGCCTCCTTCACAGTGAACCCTTTCCAGAACAATTCACTTAAAATTGTAGTCTCCACAGGCAATTGGATTCTTCTTAACCCTCTGTCCTGTTTTATCTTTTTTTCTCACTGATCATCATTTAATAAGTTTTATTTTTATTTATTTAATTTATTTAAGCTTCCTCAAATACACAAAAATTTTATAAATTTTATAGGACAAGGATTTTCTCATTGTTCGCTGGTGTGTCCCAAGCACCTAAAATACACCTGTCAGCCAGACACAGGGCACACCTATAGCCCTAGCTACTTGAGAGGCTGAGGTGGGAGGATCATTTGAGCTCAAGAGTTCAAGTGCAGCCTGTGTAACATAGTAAGTACTCAATATATGAGTGTAGAAAAAGTGGACTAATACACTGCCATTCTGCCTTCTAATATCTAATATCAACATACTATCTAATTCAGATTTGATAGTATGTTGTTCATAAAGTATCTCTTTTAATTACCACATTCTAGTTGTTAATCTCATCTTACCATTTCTATGAGTTCTGGAGCTAAAAACAAAGGAGAGGGGGTACAGATGAGAAAAGTGATTCAATACCATTGTTGAAGAAATAATAATTGTATAGTCTGAAAATCTAAATTTGGCCTATGCTCATACTTCACACAAAAATGAATAAGCTATATACATAACATATTTTTAAATGGTATAAAGCCACAGAAAATAGAATTTTATTTTATCACCAGAGAAGTAGCATATAATGCCTATATTGTAAAAAGGAATCAAATAAGTTTGTAAAATATAGTTAGGATTTTAATACACAAATGGCCAAGTATGAATAGACAATTTATGTATGGATACTGATATGGTTTGGCTCTGTGTCCCCACCCAAATCTCATGTGGAATTGCAATTCCTACCTGTCAGGGGAGGGGCCTGGTAGGAGTTGATTGGATCATGGGGGCGGATTTCTCCCTTGCTGTTCTCATGATAGTGAGTGAGTTCTCATGAGACCTAATGGTTTAAAAGTGTGTGGCACTTCCCCCTTCGTGCTCTCTCTCTCTCCTGCCGCCATGCGAAAATGGTGCTTGCTTCCCCTTTGCCTACTACCGTGATTTTAAGTTTCCTAAGGCCTCCCAGCCATGCTTCCTGTTAAGCCTGCAGAACTGTGAGTCAATTAAACCTCTTTTCTTTATAAATTACCCAGTCTCGGGTAGTTCTTTATAGCAGTGTGAGATCAGACAAATACAGATACACAATTTGTAAACAAACACAGAAAAAATCTTCAATGAGTTAACAAAAATGTAAATGAAGATAATATGGTGTCATAGTCTTGATAACTAGTAATATAGTAAAATGGTTATGATGACATTACATTAAAAAGACAAAATTGAAAATTGTATCTGTCAGCTGGGCACAGTGGTGCACTTCTACAGGCCCAGCTACTTGAGAGGCTGACGTGGGAAGATCGCTTGAGGCCAGGAGTTCAAGGGCAGCCTTGGTAACATAGTAAGACCTGTCTCTAAGAAACATTTTTAAAAATTTTATTTTTAAAAAATTGTGTCTGTCATGTTTATAGGTATCCACATGGACATGGACAGGAAGGGAACCTAAAAGTTGGATATAATTTTGTCTGCTGGGTATATGAGCATATTAAAATTTAACATTCACTTGATTGTTGTCTCTACACTATATTTTGGTATTTTTACATCTGAGGTCAATCCTCATTTGACCAGATTTAGTTTTGTTGTTGTTGTTGTTATTTTAAACTGAGAAGTATTCATTTTTCTGTCCCTTTCACACAATGCCTTTTCTGAGCATTAAGCTTTAGAGGTATTTTTTTGTTTGTTTGTTTTCTTTTGAGATGGAGTCTCACTCTGTTGCCCAGGCTGGAGGGCAGTGGCTCCATCTCAGCTCACGGCAACTTCTGCCTCCCGGGTTCAAGCGATCCTCCTGCCTCAGGCTCATGGGTAGCTGGGATTATAGGTGCATGCCATCACGCCCGGCTAATTTTTGCATTTTTAGTAGAGACGAGGTTTCACCATATTGGCCAGGCTGGTCTCAAACTCCTGACCTCATGATCTGCCAGCCTTGGCCTCCCAAAGTGCTGGGATTACAGGCGTGAGCCACCACACCCAGCAAGCTTTGGAGTTTTGAAAGACAGAAGAGCACAGATGTTGTGGGCACAGACTCTGAAGCCAGGCCACCCCAGTTTGAAACCCAGCTCAGCATCTGACTAGCTGGGTGACCTTGGACAAATGGCTCTGTTTTTTATCTTTAAATAGTCATAGTAATAATAATTTCTAACTTATGTGGTTACTGCAAGGACTAAATGCATATAAAGGACTTAGAACAGTACCTGGCATTGGATACTAATTAGATATTACTAATTATTTATTTTTCCCTCTCTTCCTTAATATTCATTTAAAAATCCTCTTGATCAAGTTGAGTCTCTTGCCAAACATCCTTTCCAACCTTAAGGAGAATCCCAGGGTCACTTGGTCAGGAGTCCATGATTTTAAAATTATAAGCAATGGTGCAGGTCATCAAAATCTGACCTCCATTGCCATCTTTGTAGCTATCCAACCACAGAACACAGCCAGGCAAGTCTCAGTTTCTCCAGGTGACAGGGCATGGTAGAAGAGGTTGAGATCTGGAGCTAAACCACTCAACTGTGGGGACATATAATGGAAAAACAGACCCCACTCTAGGTCCAAGGAAATTCCATCAAAACATGTACTGAATACTTGTCACATTCCAGGTATTGTGCTATGACTAAAACTAGAGTAGTAAACAAGACAGACAGTCATTGCCTTCACAAGCTCAAAGGCAAAGACAAACATTCAATACTTACAAGTGCTGGCTGGGTATGGTGACTCACACCTGTAATCCCAGCACTTTGGGAGGCCAAGGTGGGAGGATCACCTGAGGTCAGGAGTTTGCGACTAGCCTGGCCAACATGGTGAAATCCTGTCTCCACTAAAAATAAAATTAGCCGGGCATGGTGATGGGTGCCTGTAATCCCAGTTAGTTGGGAGGCTGAGGCAGGAGAATCGCTTGAACCTGGGAGGCAGAGGTTGCAGTGAGTGGAAATCGTGCCACTGCACTCCAGCCTGGGTGACAGAGCGAGATTCTGTCTCAAAAAAAAAAAAAATTACAAGTGCAATGAGTGCTACTAAGAGGTTCAGGGTTCCATGGAAGCTCATAGTCTGACAAGCAGGTTTTGTGATTACATGGTCTCAGTCAACAGATCACAGGTTTGATGGGTGTACACTGGCACCTGGCAATAAGGAATCCAGAGCAGGT
Source organism: Homo sapiens (assembly GCF_000001405.40). NCBI lineage: Eukaryota > Metazoa > Chordata > Mammalia > Primates > Hominidae > Homo > Homo sapiens. The sequence continues at coordinate 32,403,792 of NC_000010.11, read as the reverse complement.
ATTACTCAAAAACACACTCAGGCATGCAGGGAGTCTTCATTCAGGAAGTCCCTGCTACCTGGCTAGGGTTCAGGTAGAGGATTTCAGATACTGAGAAGAGTTCGACAGGATGTCACATCCTGACAGGAGGTGAAAGGGATATATACCATTCTAGCACTGCAAGTAATTCAGTATGGCTAGAACCTAGAGTGGAGGGAGTGCCGAGAAATGAGGCTGGGGCAGTAAACAGGGACTAAATCTTGAAAGCATTTATTAATACTGTGTGGTGGGTATCTGCCAGGTAATGCCACAGCCTATGCTGGCCATGAGCACTGTAAGACTCAGCTCTTCTCTTGCCCCTTTCTACCTATTCATAGCACAAAACTGAGCCTCAACTGATGGGGAGAGGAGTTTTCTGACTATCATGTTGCTCCAAGTGGCTCAAACCTATACTTGTAACCAATATGACCTGTGTATTTGCCCTCAGGGTACACACAAGAAATAAGTTTCTTTTTTCCCCTCTCTCTCTCCCTCTCTGTCCTCTCTCTCCTACTTTTTAAGTTCAAAGTCCAATTACCCCTTTTTGTTTGTTTGTTTTTTGAGACAGAGCCTCACTCTGTTGCCCAGGCTGGAGTGCAGTGACATCTTCTCGGCTCACTGCAACGTCCACCTCCTGGGTTCAAGCCATTCTCCCACCTTGGCTTCCTGAGTAGCTGGGACTACAGGCATGTGCCACCCACCCCCCCCCCCCAGCTAATTTTCTGTTGTTGTTGTTGTTGTTGTTGTTGTTGTTGTTGTTGTTGTTGTTTGTTTGGTACAGATGGAGTTTCACCAAGTTGGCCAGGCTGGTCTCAAACTCTTGAACTCAAGTGATCTGCCCACATTGGCCTCCCAAAGTACTGGGATTACAGGCTTGAGCCACCATGCCAGGCCCAAACTCCAACAACTTATTTTCTAATGAATAAGTATCCCAGTGTTTATTTTACCTTCTCCTCCCGTGTGTTGAAAAGGAATAATAATGTAGCCCTCAATTTCTCTCGCTATGAATGGTGTTTGCCGAAGCTGGGTACTAGTGCTAGCAGATGGCAGCATAGAAGGAATCTCTGCTGAGAACTCTTGGTCCAAAGGGCAGAAAGACTCATTTTATTGAAAAAGTGTGTGGATTTTTTTTTTTTTTTTTTTTTGTGACAGGGTTTCACTGTTTGCCAGGCTGGAGTGCAGTGCTGTGATCATAGCTCACTGCAGCCTTCCAGGCTCGAGCAATCCTGCCATCTTAGCCTCCTGAGTAGTTGGGACTACAGATGTGCACCACCACATCCCACTAATTTGTTTTTTGTTTTCTGTTTTCTGTTTTTTTTTTTTTTTTTTGTGGAGACAAGATCTCACGATGTTGCCCAGGCTGGTCTCAAACTCCTGAGCTCAAGTGATCCTCCTGCCTCAGCCTCCCAAAGTGCTGGAATTACAGGCATGAGCCACCACACCTAGCTCATGCATTGTGAGTTGTTGCTTAGAATCATGCCAACATTCACATTGTTGTCTTTTCAAAACTATACAGTTTTGGATCTACATTTATGTTATGAACACTATCTGCTTGTACTGCATAGATGAAATTTTTTGAAATACTTTCAAATTTATAACAAATTTGACATTCTACTGCTAGGAAGAACTTTCCCCTCTCTCTGCTTATTTATTTACATCTGTATGGGCTTGTGGATTCCTACTTTATTCAAGGAGTTGTAATCTGTGACTATCATTACTTTGGTCTAGATTTGACAGGTTGGATCCCTTCAAGCTGGCTCCTCTGTCCTTGGACAAGTCTTCATTCTTTAAGCATTTCGTTACTCTCATGAGCAAAAGTAGTCCAAAATCATCTCGTGGCCGGGCACAGTGGCTCAAGCCTCTAATCCCAGCACTTTGGGAGGCCGAGACGGGCGGATCACAAGGTCAGGAGATCGAGACCATCCTGGCTAACACGGTGAAACCCCGTCTCTACTAAAAATACAAAAAATTAGTCAGAAGTGGTGACGGGCACCTGTAGTCCCAGCTGCTCAGGAGGCTGAGGCAGGAGAATGGCGTGAACCCGGAAGGCGGAGCTTGCAGTGAGCCGAGATGGTGCCACTGCACTCCAGCCTGGGCGACAGAGTGAGACTCCATCTCAAAAAAAAAAAAAAAAAGAAAAAGAAAAATCTCGTACTTTCTCTGCCTCGATCCTGGAACCAATCATTTCCACCACTTTCAGCAGATATGGATATTTGGAAATCAAGATCTAGGCACTTCATAAGATTATTTCTCCTGGGTTGCCATTGTTTCTATACTGTCTCAGACAACAGAGCTAGGAGATAGATGTGTGTGTGTGTACACATAGACACATACACATACTTCTATGTCTATTTCTATATCTATATCTCTCAGTGCATATATACTAAACACATCCATCTACATATCAATACTTTCCATTTCAGCCCAGCACCTCAGGCTTCTCTCCAGCCTTCCTCCTTCCATATTTATAAATCCCTTTTTCAATAGTGAGAAACTTGACTCTCATTATCCTCTCAATGTGTCTATTTATTTGCTCAAACTCTCTGTATGTAACTTATCTGTCTACCATGCCAGTTGCCTCCTCAGTCCCCAGAGACTGCACCTTCACAGCTTCTCCTTTTCCAAAAGAGGAGAATCAATGGGAAAAGTGGTCTAATGGGAAGGAAGGAAGGAAGGAAGGAAGGAAGGAAGGAAGGAAGGAAGGAAGGAAGGAAGGAAGGAAGGAGAGAGGGAGGGGAGGAGGAAAGGAAGGAAGGAAAGGGCCAATAATCCCATTTTAGGGTTTCTCACTTACAGATTGTTCAATAATCTAAGGGCTTAATAAAAAGAAGAGTTTAATCCTGCTTACAAGTGCCAAATATGGAAAGAAAGGGAGAGACTAATCAGTATTCAACTGCCTGTGCTTCTTGCAGAAACTCAGTTTCTGTTCAATAATATTCTCAGAGTCCTACAGAGCTCTTCTATTGTGATTATGGTTGAGGACATTACTGCCAGTGTCACAGTGATATACCCATTTAGGTTCTACAGTTATAGCTCTCCTAACCCACACTCACATGCTCCACCATGATCAACCACTGTGCCACAACAGCTGCATTAAAAGGAGCTTTTACACAGTGCTGAAACTAACCCTCCCCATGCAAGCTTTTATATTGAAAGCTCATGCTCTTGGGAACTAACTATAATGACAAAAATATATTATAAGGAGTTGTTAGGCCTTTATCTTCTCTAGAAAAGATCTTGGTATTCTTTTTAGGAAAAAAAAATAGTGATAATCTCTGACTTTTTCAGGGAAGTGGTGATGTTTAACAGGCCCTACAATTTACAAAATTCCAGGGCACATATAATCTCATTTAAGAAAAGACACTTCTCAAAAGAAGACATTTATGCAGGCAAGAGACACATGAAAAAATATTCATCATCACTGGCCATCAGAGAAATGCAAATCAAAACCACAATGAGATACCATCTCACACCAGTTAGAATGGCAATTATTAAAAAGTCAGGAAACAACAGGTGCTGGAGAGGATGTGGAGAAATAGGAACACTTTTACACTGTTGGTGGAACTGTAAACTAGTTCAACCATTGTGGAAGACAGTGCGGTGATTCCTCAGGGATCTAGAACTAGAAATACCATTTGACCCAGCCATCCCATTACTGGGTATACACCCAAAGGACTATAAATCATGCTGCTATAAAGACACATGCACATGTATGTTTATTGTGGCACTATTCCCGATAGCAAAGACTTGGAACCAACCCAAATGTCCATCAGTGATAGACTGGATTAAGAAAATGTTGCACATATACACCATGGAATACTACGAGACTGGATTAAGAAAATGTGGCACATATACACCATGGAATACTATGCAGCCATAAAAAATGATGAGTTCATGTCCTTTGTAGGGACATGGATGAAATTGGAAATCATCATTCTCAGTGAACTATCGCAAGGACAAAAAACCAAACACCATATGTTCTCACTCATAGATGGGAATTGAACAATGAGAACACATGGACACAGGAAGGGGAACATCACACTCTGGGGACTGTTGTGGGGTGGGGGGAGGGGGGAGGGATAGCATTAGGAGATATACCTAATGCTAAATGACGAGTTAATGGGTGCAGCACACCAGCATGGCACATGTATACATATGTAACTAACCTGCACATTGTGCACATGTACCCTAAAACTTAAAGTATAATAATAATAATAATAAAATAAAGTAAAAAAAAGAAAAAGAAAAAGAAAAGATAGAGGCCAGGCATGGTGGCTCGCAAGTGTAATCCCAGCACTTTGGGAGGCCAAATCAGGAGGATCATTTGAGCCAAGGAGTTTGAGACCAGCCTGGGCAAGATGGCGGGACCCTATCTCTAAAAAACATTTTTTAAAAAATTTGCTAGATGTGATGGCATGTACATGTAGTCCCAACTACTCAGGAGGCTCAGGTGGGAGGATCCCTTGAGCCCAGGAGTTCCATGTGGCAATGAACGATGATCGCACCACTGCATTCCAGCCTGGGGAACAAAGCCAGACCCCATCTTTAAAAAAGGGAAAAAAAAGATAGAAATACCTTTAGACTTGTGTGGAATGTTGAATATTTGATTATGCTTGGAAGACTTCAATAGAATTCAATATATGAATGATTTTCTTCACTGTCTCTTAGACAAAGAAGTCTTAGCAAATTCTCTTTTTTTTTTTTTTTTTGGACAGGGTCTCACTCTGTCACCCAGGCTGGAATACAGTGGCACATTCATGACTCACTGCAGCTTTGACCTACTGGGCTCAGGCAATCCTCCCACCTCAGCCTCCTGAGTAGCTGAAACTAAAGGCACATGCCATCAGGAGCAAATTCTAATACTAATCTGAATTCCTTCTTAGATAACAATGTACCCTTCATGTAAGTCCCTTGATTAGGTGGTATTATCCTTCCTCAACAACATCACATCAAAGCCAACTTTTAGAAATTTTCCTTTAAAGTCCAGAAGCCAGTTGTCTGGGTCAAGTCTGTCCAGCAAAAGATCAAAATGATGTTCAACTGTCTGCCAACAGTAGAATGAATAAATAATATTATAGAGCAATGAGTGAGCTACAACTATGCAACAATATGAATGAATCTCACCAACATAATGCTAAGTAAAAGAAACTAGACAAAGCCAAGGTATGGTACTAGAAGTCAGGATAGTAGTTACTTTTGTGAAGGAGTAACTGGATGAGAGCACAAATGGGGTTTCTATGAATCTAATACTCTTCTGTTTCTTGACCTACATCCTATTTGTTTTGTAAAATTTCATCAAACTATACACTTGCAATTTGCATAGTTTTTAGTATGTATGTTAAATTTGATAAAATAAATATGCCTCAGCTGGGCCTGGTGGCTCATACCTGTAATCTCAGCACTTTGAGAGGCCAAGACAGGTGGATCACTTGAGGTCAGGAGTTCAAGACCAGCCTGCTCAATATAGTAAAACCCTGTCTCTACTAAAAATACAAAAATTACCCGGGAGTGGTGGCATGCGCCTGTAATCCCAGATACTCAGAAGGCTGAGACAAGAGAATTGTTTGAACCCGGGAGGTAGAGATTGCAGTAGGTTGAGATCGCACCACTGCACTCCAGCCTGGGCAACAAGAGTGACACTCTGTCTCATAAATAAATAAGTCTCAAAAGACTCCTTAAACAAAAGTATAGTTGATCCTTAAGGATATCCAGAAATTTTCAGGGACAAAAAAAACATTCATAGCTCACTTTCTAACATACTCAGGAAAGAGCAGAATTGTGTATGTCCCTAGCAAGATGGCAATGATCTTCTCTCTCCTAATCCCAGTTTTTTCTGACTAGTTTAACTCTTTATCTTTGAATCAGATACCTCTAAGACCATGTGGGTACCGTTGAATGGCTGGAGAACTTTCGGAGATGAGGAGCCTCCCTGTTTACCCCAATATTTTTGAGAAAGCTGACTCTCACCAAGTCAAATTTACTGTAATAACATGTGACTGGGAGCCTACTCAACATCAATGCACTTTCAAGGTCTGAGACTGCGCCTCCAGGTGGAAGTGGTAAAGTCCAATCATGACAAATGAATACTGCCAGGAAGATGCAACCATCTTTTACATTTTTAAATTTAAGATTAAACTCAATCAGCCAGAATTGCTAAACGCTTATCCCATCTTTTAGTCTTAAGAAGCAGATATTTTTGAAAGTCCCATGCCCCAGAGATTCTTTGCCCCTTCAAAATAAGGTGAGCCTACAAGTACATTTAAAGCTATGAGAACTAAATTGGTGGGGGGAAATCTGCTTTCTGTTGCTTTGGAGAAGAAAAAGAAAAGAAAAGAAATGAAATGAATTTATTTATTTATTTATTTAGAGACAGGGTTTTGCTCTGTCACCCAGGCTGGAGTGCAGTGATGCAATCATAGCTCACTGCAGCATCTAACTCCTAGGCTCAAGTGATCCTCCTGCCTCACAGCCTCCTGAGTAGCTGGGACTTACAGTCACACACCACCACACCTGGCTAATTTTTTTCTTTTTCTTTTTCCTTTTTTTTTTTTTTTTTTGAGACAGAGTCTCTGTCGCCCAGGTTGGAGTGCAGTGGCACGATCTCGGCTCACTGCAAGCTCCGCCTCCCGGGTTCACGCCATTCTCCTGCCTCAGCCTCCCGAGTAGCTGGGACTACAGGTGCCTGCCACCACGCCCAGCTAATTTTTTGTGTTCTTCGTAAAGATGGGGTTTCACCGTGTTAGCCAGGATGGTTTCCATCTCCTGACCTCGTGATCCGCCCACCTCAGCCTCCCAAAGTGCTGGGATTACAGGCGTGAGCCACTGCTCCCAGCCTTCTTTTTCTTTTTGTAGAGACAGGGTCTCGCCATCTTGTACAGGCTGGTCTCTAACTTCTGGGCTCAAGCAATCCTCCGACCTTGGCCTCCCAAAGTGTTGGGATTACAGGCATGAGCCACTATGCCTAGCCAAAATTTATTTTGTTTTTTACTCTTCCTTTTCTATAGAATTTTTTTTTTTAAATGTTAACCTCACAAAAGTTTTTGAACTCCCATTTGGCACTTTAGGAAGTTATTTAATCCTAAGGTAAAAAATATTTAACTGTTCCCTAGATCCACACTTAATGGATGTATGCAACTACTGAATATATTTACAGCAGCATTTTTCTGTAATAAAGAGTTCAAGGTTGATGAAGAGTTCATTTTTCTGTGATAAAGAGTTCAAGAATAGGCATAACAGACTATTCTTGCCACATTATTATTGTCACAACTATTCACACCCCAAATCTTGCTCAACTTATTTAAAGACCCTTTCTATCTTTTTTCTGTTACTACTCGGTCATCTTTACAGGCTTTTTTTCTCATTATTTGTAAACATTCCTTATTCTCAGCCCAGTTAATAGAATTACTATAATATCTAACCATAAATTTTTATTTTTGCTCCATATATTTCTTCCAAAATAAATTGCAACTTGCCTCATCCCTAAGTCAAGCTATACTCTTCACTCTTGGCAGCTGAAAAACTGAAAGAATGTCTCTGATCATCATTCTCAGTGGATCAGGGCTCTCATCACATAATCCCTATATTTGGGCAATAGATGATTTATCTGAATTTTCTTGAATAATAAAATTATTGTTACAATGGTTCCATCATTTGTATACTTTTCCTAAGAGACTGCTGTGCCCTTCTTTGCTCATTCAGTAACCAATAATACCCATAAGTATTGCTACCACCTAAGTAACCCATGCAGTATTTTTTATTTTATTTATTTATTTATTTATTTATTGAGACATGATCTTGCTCTGTCACCCAGGCTGGCATGCAGTGGCAAGATCTTGGCCCACTGCAACCTCTGACTCCTGGATTCAAACGATTCTCCTGCCTCAGCCTCCAGAGTAGCTGGGATTACAGGTGCCTGCCACCACGCCTGGTTAATTTTTGTATTTTTTCAGTAGAGACAGGGTTTCACCATGTTGGCCAGGCTGTTCTCAAACTCCTGACCTTAAGTGACCCACCTGCCTCAGCCTCCCAAAGTGCTGGGATTACAGGTGTGAGCCACCGTGCCTAGACCTATAAAAAAGTAAAGGAATCTTTCAGGATGGCACGTATGTTTCCAAAGTCAATGAGTTAATCTGGAATGACCATCAGAAGTAGAATTTAGCTTAGGAATCGCGTCTAGCTTAGGAATCGGGTCTTAAAATTCTTACCACTAGGAACATTTATCATTCTTTTTTCTTCCATTCTTAATCTCCCTACTATTGTGATCATTTTTCCCCCTCGCTTATAAGTTTCTAAGCCCCTTATTTTAAGATCTTACCATGTTTTTTGTTTTTCTTCACCCATCTTAAGACTAAAAATCTGCAAGTAGGGCTCACCAAACTTTCTAGTCATATCCAAGAGGAGAAATTTTGTCAAACTTGATACATTCTGCTCTCAGCTCTGTATCATACCACTCATTTTCTTTATTGGTAGTTTCTAACCTCTATTACCTCCTTCATGCCACAATCTAATGCCCTATACTTTCCAGTTACTTCCTGCAATTGGCATGGAAATCTCTCTTTTCCTCGCAGATAATGGACCGTAATGAACATAGTAAACAGTTTAAAACCATTTTAAGGGCGGGGCATAGTGACTCATGCCTGTAATCCCAGCACATTGGGAGGCCAAGGTTGGTGGGTCACTTGAGATCGGGAGTTCGAGACCAGCTTGGCCAATATGGTGAAACCCCGTCTCTAGTAAAAATAGAAAAATCATCCAGGCATGGTGGTGGCACCTGTAGGCCCAAGCTACTCAGGAGGCTGAGGCACAAGAATCCCTGGAACCAGGGAGGCAGAGGTTGCAGTGAGCTGAGATCATGGACTGCACTCCAGCCTGGGAGACAGAAAAAAAAAAAATTAAAAATAAAACCATTTTAAAATGGGGGAAATTATGGCACAGAAAATTATATTGCTTTCATACTATTCTACAGTTTATGCAATAGTTTATGTAATTGTTAGAAGTAAACTACAGGCTTCCTAATTTCCAATACCTGTTTTTGGAAAATAATTTAATAGTTATTGTTTTGCCACTATATTTCATTTTAAGATTATCTTCCATTAATAGTGATACTGTCGTGCTCACTTTGGCAACAGAAATACTAAAATTGGAATGCTACAGAGAAGATTAGCATGGCCCCTGCACAAGGATGACACACAAATAGTGATATTGTCCTCCCATTAATGGTAGTAATATAAAGTAACCCTTGAAAGTAATATATTTAAGCTAGGATGTCACTAATTTAAAGAAGATTTAAGTAAATACAAGTAAGAGTGATAGGATATGGCAAAAATTGCGATGATCAAATGATTAAGTCTGGGAAGCATCACTAATTGGGAAACACTGTAAAGTCTGGTGTAAAATGATGGCAGAGGAATGGAGACTCAAGAATCCATTATTCTAGTCGCTGGGTGGTACTTAATGGTACATCCTTTGCCACCTTATGACATAGGAGATCATAAGGGCAAGAGCCAAAGCCTGATTTCCTGCTCTGCTTTAATCCAGCCTATAACTGGGGTCACTGCCTTCTCTGCTGGCTAGCAATTGGAGAAGGACTCCTTTCACAGGCCTGGAACGGCCAGGGAATGTGTGGACAGAAGCAAATCTGAGTAACAGTGTTCACATCCTGTAAAAACCATAACACTGGCTCAAAAAAAGAAACAGACAAGCTTGCCAGGATCGAGGAGAATAGTAATTTTTGCTCTTGGCAAAGCCGTAAGAGGAAAGGCCCACTTGATGGGCTGGGAACGAGGGATGGAGTCTTTTACAAAGATCTGGCCTTAAAGCCTTAACAACAGGGCTGAATTTAGAGAATAAAGCTCATGCTTTTAAGAATTTTTTTTTTTTTGAAACAGGGTCTCGCTCTGTTGCCCAGGCTCAAGTGCTGGGCAGTTGAGATTACTCCATCTTGGCTTACTCCAACCTCGACTTCCCAAGTTGAAGCAATCCTCCTGCCTCAGCCTCCCAAGTAGCTGGTACTATAGGCGCATGACCACACCTGGCTAACTTTTGTAATTTTAATAGAGATGGGGAATCCCTATGCTGTCAAGGCTGGTCTTGAACTCCTAAGCTCAACGGCCTCAGCCTCCCAAAGTACTGGGATAACAGATGTAAGCTACCATGCCCGACAGATACTTTTAAGAATAAATTAGAGGGCCAAAAATTAAGATAACATTTATTAACCCTAGGAAAAAATCTTATAACTTTTATAAGCTTTAATTTCTTCATCTGAATATGAGGAAGATAGTAATAACCAACCTACCTCAGTCCAGCTAATGTGTGTATTGCATGATACAATGCATATAAAATACCAAGTCATGCTAAATGCTCGGTAAATGTGACTTCCCTATAAAGCCAAAAGACTTCAGGTCAATATCTGGACCTTACTAGTTAAGTAACTATGGGTCAGTCTACTTATTTATGGCTCACAATTTTCCAAAATGTACATGAAGCAGATTATTAAAATTCCAAACAATAAAATAGTATGCAGAAAATTTCAGAATCAGGGAAAATATAAATTAGAATAGAAAATTAAGACCAGGAGAGAAAATATAATGTAGATATTCAGACCAATAAGTCCTACAACAGTACTAATGTGTGTTATAGTACAAAATTAGTTGTGGGGTTCCTGTCAACCCAAAAGAAATTTGAAAATGTTCAGTTACAAAATATTCATTCATTCTCCATGAGGAGAAAAAAAAAACACCAAATGCTGGTGGTAAACCTGTGTTGTTTCAGGGCATGTCACTTCAATTATCCAAGCTTTTAAACAAGAAAAGTATTATCTACCTTTCAGGGTAGATGTAGAGAATTACATGAATGACATATATGAAAAAGTATTTCATAAAATTGTTGTACTATGTAAGTGTTACTGATTATTTCATATACCTTAATTTACCCAATAGAGCAGGCTTACCATATGTGTGGACCTTCATTTAAATTACTGGGCTAAAAAAAGAACGTTTATACACTGTTGAAGGGAATGTAAACTAGTACAGCCATTATGGAGAACAGTTTGGAGGTTTCTCAAAAAACTAAAAATAGAGGTACCATACAATCCAGCAATCCCATTGCTGGGTATATACCCAAAAGAAAGGAAATCAATCTATCAAAGAGTTACCTGCACTCCTATGTTTGTTGCAGCACTGTTCACAATAGCCAAGATTTGGAAGCAACCTAAGTGTCCAGCAACAGATGAATGGATAAAGAAAATGTGGTACATATACACAATGGAGTACTATTCAGCCATAAAAAAGCATGAGATCCTGTCATTTACAATAACATGGATGGAATTTGAGGTCATTATGTTAAGTGAAATAAGCCAGGAACAGAAATACAAACATTGTATATTTTCATTTATTTGTGGCATCTAAAAATCAAAACAATGGAACTCATGGAGATGGAGAATACAAGGATAGTTACCAGAGGCTGGGAAGGATAGTGGAGGTTGGGGATAGATGGGGATGGTTAATGGGTACAAAAAATATATATATAAATGGATAAGACCTAGTATTTGATAGCACAATAGGGTGACTATAATCAATAATAATTTAATTATACATTTTAAAATAACTAGAATAGTATAATTGGATTGTTGTAGTACAAAGGATAAATGCTTGAGGGGATGGATATCTCATTTTCCATGATGTGATAATTATGCATTGCATGCCTGTATCAAAATAGCTCATGTGCCCCATAAATATACACACCTACTGTGTATCCACAAATATTAAAAAGTAAAAAACCAGATAAGTAAATAAAATAAATTACTGAGCTAAATCGTTTTTACTATAGGAATACTCAGCATTCCCAGGCACTGTTCTAATAATTTACATATATTCAATTACTACCCTCAATAATAGTAGGTACTATAAATATTTTCATTGCAATGAAGAAATCTGGGTACAAGGAGGTTAAGTAGCATTCCCAAGTTTACTCAGCTAGTAGGTGGTGGTGCTAAGTTTGATATCCAGGAAATCTGGCCCCTGAGACCATCCTGGTGTACAAATACAATGAGGTATAAATGACATATGCTTATAGCCCTCTGTAACTATAAAAGCTGCCAACCTATAAATTAAATATAAGCCTAGCAAGAAAACTAATAAGTGAAAGGTATTAATTTTATGTGACATGCCATATTGTTTTCTCATCACCAGTTGTAGCATGAATTTGATAGCATTATGGTCAGGTTATTAACAGGTCCTGTGAGATGACAATTTCCCATCACTTTTTTTCATTCAAATTACTGGAAACCATTTGTTTATACAGCTTGTTGTGATATGCAGCCTTCCCTTGGTATAAATGTATCATTTACATATTAAGTCAGCTTTCGTTCTTTTCTCAGTAGCTCTCTGATTAAAATAGAATGGCTCACTTCTAACTCAATTACAAACACAAACACAAGAGTAAAATTGCAGGATAACACTTGGCTACAGAGAGGCTATCTAGATGATCCAGGGTCTGCTCATATTGTTTTTTAAGTTACGTTGAAATGAAAATGTAAAATTCTCACAGAGAAGGCCAGGTTCAGTAGCTCATGCCTATAATCCCAGCACTTTGAAAGGCCGAGGCAGGAGGATTTCTGGAAGCCAGGAGTTTAAGACCAGTCTAGGCAACATAGGGAAACCCTGTCTCTACAAAAACATAATAAAATTAGGTTGATGTGCTGGCACATAGTAGTCCCAGCTACTCGGAAGCCTGAAGTGGGAGGATCGCTTGAGCCCAGAAGTTTGAAACTGCAGTGAGCTATAATTCTGCCACTGTACTCCAGCCTGGGCAATAGAGCAAGACCCGGTCAAAAAAAAAAAAAAACTACTCACAGAGAGTTCATAAACATCAGTGTCTCTAGTTTGAGAACTCCCATCACAGAGTACTCTCAAGAAGGCAGACAACCCAACTGCATCTCTGTAATTTGATGGGCAACCCTATTCCAGACTCTGCCAAAGAGGAACCACTGGAGCATCCCCTCTTTCCAGTAAGAGCAAAAAGTCTGTAGGCACCATCTGTATTCTCCTGAGATTCCATCCCTTCCTACCATGTACCTAGGGCTCTTCCAGGCATCCTGAAGCAGGGAGCTCAGCTGGTCTGCGTCCTATTTTGATACTGACTACTGGGGAGAGGAATGGTAAGGAGAGATTTGGCTACAATAAATCTGTTCTGATGATACCGGGTGCCACATGCTGGCTTGGGAAGCCTCAGAAGGGTAGAAGCCTTTTTTGTAAGGGTTCTTTTGCCAACAGCAAATTCCCAGCATCATGTTCAGCTCAGAGTCCCAAACCGTAAAGAGTTGCAGCTCTGACCAAACAGCTCAGCTCCTACATGGACTTCCCAGCGTGAAAGCTGGCCCAGAAGCACTGCTTCAGGATTGGTTCAAACAAGAAAATAATTCTGCCTGTCTCCTTGTAAATACCCCCTCAAATTATGGTTTGCAAATTGAGGTTTGATGCATTGGTTTTCCAAATATGTACAACAGACACAGCAAAATTGAGTTGACAGTGCACACAGTTTAAGACATCTGTTAGTGAAAGTTACATTTTAAGACTTCTGTGATGACACCGAATATATTGCAACAGAGAGGCCAAGACAGAGTCCAGTGTGTCAACTTCTAGCTTAAAATTCCCTCAAAATAAAGCACCCTTAACATAGATCTTTACAAGCAGTGCTGAGAGTGAAGCCTAGACCCTAAAATAGAGTGAGGCTAACTCACTCTCAGGATGTTGGAAACTGATCATGGTCTCATGGACATCTTATACCAACTCCTGGATAAGTAATCTCTTTAAGAAACTCCCAGTGAAGATAAATAGTGTTCAACTAGAATTTCCTTTTGCTAGTGAGAAACAATGAGGCCAATGATGGCAAGTCAAAAATCAAGGGTGGTCACGTCAAGAGGTGATCGTGTACATGGTAAAGGTAGCAAACGGATGGCTGCCACTGGGGCAATAGGTTTGTTTTTTGTTATTTTTTTTTTAAGTGTATCTAAAGTGACCACATTTCCTGATTTTCCCTGTATTTAAAGCAATCATATGTATGTCAAGTGAGCGTGTTTTCCGGATTTTCTAACCTGTTATCTCAGTACAATTATTATTAATTTATTTTCTTGAGACAGAGTCTCGTTCTTGTTGCCCAGGCTGGAGTGCAGTGGTGTGATCTCAGCTCACTGTAACCTCTGCCTCCCAGGTTCAAGCGATTCTCCTGCCTCAGCCTCCCGAGTAGCTGGGACTGTAGGCACACACCACCATGCCTGGCTAATTTTTGTATTTTTAGTAGAGACGAGGTTTCACCATGTTGGCCGGGCTAGCCTCAATCTCCTTACCTTAAGTGATCTGCCTGCCTCGGCCTCCCAGGGTGCTGGGATTACAGGTGTGAGCCATCGTGCCCAGCCAGTACAATGATTAATCGTGCCATTTTCACTCTTGAAAATGTCATAGATTTTACTATAAGTTGTATGATCACACTATCTATAGCACAATCCCATATTATTTTATGCTCCACCTCTCCTCTTTCAATACCTCTTCTCCCTCATTCCCTGGGATTCCCACATCTTTGTTTTTGCCCATTGGCTATCTTTCTCTGTTTTCCAAGTGTTTCATGCTCCAGCATTACCCCCAATTCAATATTCACCCCCCATAACACTATTCATTCAACTCAGATTATCTTGGTGTATTCGTTCACTTTCACACTGCTGATAGACATACCCACAACTGGGTAATTTATAAAGAAAAAGAGGTTTAATGGATTCACAATTCCACGTGGCTGGGGAGGTCTCACAATCATGGCTGAAGGCGAAAGGCACGTCTTACATGGCAGCAGACAAGAGAAAGCTTTTGTGGGGAAACTCCCCCTTATAAAACCATCAGATCTCATGAGACTTATTCACTATCACAGAACAGCACAGGAAAGACCCGCCCCCACAATTCAATTACCTCCCACCAGGTCCCTCCCACAACACGTGGAAATTGTGGGAGCTACAATTCAAGATGAGATTTGGGTGGAGACACAGACAAACCATATCACTTGGTAAATGATCCAAAGCAAAAAAGCAATCTTACCATCTCATTTTAAGTAGCCTATACTTGTGCTATGATTTTATAAAACATTTAGAATTATAGAGGGGAGACAGTTTTCTAATGCTTCTTGCAAAATCTCTGCCCTTTATCAAAGTAAGGTGCAATCATGTTAATTATGTAATCACTCCTGTCTGAGTTATTTTTGTGAGTGCTATTATATATACTTGTTCAGTTATATAATAGGGATTGCTGACTTGGCACCCTTTATTCTGAAAGTTTGCCAACACAAAAAGAAGTACAGGAAAAGGCACTGTAAAGAGATCCAGAGAAACAGGACTACAAGTGGTTGGGATACTCTTTGCTACACATTTTCCGAATGGCCAGTAATGAGTGTATATTACTTTTATATTACTTTTACCATCTGGTTAAAAAAATGAATACAATAGAAGAGAATCATACACAAGAAATTAATAAAGGTCATTTGGACTGTAGTTATTTTTATCCATATGAAAAAGCTGAAAGCTTGATTTGATGTTAGATAATGGTTGACTAGTTATAAATCTATGTATTTATATCACAGATACGTTAAATACTGCTTTTTTCAATGGTCACAGATACATTAAATACTGCTTTTTTCAATGGTTAAAGAGTTGAAGTGGCCAGGCATGGTGGCTCTAGCCTGTAACCCCAACACTTTGGGAGGCCAGGGCAGGAGGATCATTTGAGGTCAGGAGTTCAAGACCAGCTTGGCCAACATGGTGAAACTAGAAAATGCAAAAACTAGCCAGGCATGGTGGTGCATGCCAATAATCCCACCTACTCAGGAGGCCGAGGCAGGAGAATCACTTGAACCCAGGAGGCAGAGTTTGCAGTGAGCTGTGATTGCGCCATTGCACTCCAGCCTGGGCAACACAGGGAGACTCCATCTCAAATTAAAGAAAAGAGTTGAAGTGAATCTTCACACTGGCAATCCAGCTTTGGAAGAACTGCCTCTCTTTTACTAGTTAGCCTTACTGACAACGTAAAGGCCCCATGCTCCTAGTGTGAGGTCCCGTATGGTGTTAACCCAGCCAGTCAGAAAACAGGTGCTGCTTCTCTGCACCAGCTACTCTAAGCACCTGAATTTCTATTGCAATTGTCAGTTTAGGGCTATTCAGTCTCAAAATATAGCTGAAAACAATGCCCAAAGTGTTATTTTAATGCACTACTGTACAAAGACAATAGGATTCGTTAATAATAACTGGCTAAATATTAAGAATACAATAAACCACCTGCATGGATTCTGTTATTAATGTCAACCCCCTCTCCCCACTCCCTCTAGTAAGGAATTATAAGAACCTTTAGCTAGACATAGCTAGGAAAGTTATTTATGATTTGATTCGATTAAACTCCTCTTCCTTTGTCATCCTGGGCCTGAATTATTTGCTGACTCTCTTTTTGCTCCAATAATGATTCATATTCCGTAAGAGTAAATGGCCTTTCTTGTATCACAGCTTTAATGATCTCTTACAGAAAATTCTGTCTCCCTTTCTGTAATTGCTCAAGGTTTATACTTTAAGTGAAAGGCTTTACCAACTGTGTTTCTATTGCTACAGCTATTCCAGTTTTTCTTTCACCTCATAACTCCGTGCAATGCTGAAATTTTAAACAGTATGGTTTCTGTCAATGTATGAGTTTTCTCATCTCTACCCTGCATTGGGACATAGGAATGGGGTAGGAACAGCCAGGAGAAGGAGTTCAATATGGTGTTTTTTTTTTTTAAAGAGCAAAATGCATAACTTTCATTGAATACTAGACGAAAAATTCTCCCTGGTGCTTTTACTTAATACTTCCTTAATACTTCCTGTATCATATTACAAGAAAACCTCAACCTAGAGTTTTGCCGTTTAACCACTTCATGTCCACTAGGTCTACTATAGTTCAGTTACCACAGAGCCTAGAATTCTGATAAGCCATGTACAAATGAGAAACTTGAGTAATGGCTGAGGTCACTCAACATGTAGGGCTCATAAATGCAGTCAGATGGCTGCTGCTGGTGAAGGCATAGATATCGCCGTAAAATAAGAACGTGGAGCCGGGCATAGTAGTCCTACCTACTTGGGAGGCTGAGGTGGGAGGATTACTTGAGGCCAGGAGTTTGAGGCCAGCTTGCACAACATAGCAAGACTCTGTCTCAAAAAAAATTTATATATATATAAGAATATTGAGAGAGTGAACACTGATGGAATATGCAATTTGATATCATTGAGTGTCTGCAACATGATTACAGGGAAACATATAAACATAAGAGCACCATTTTTTTGTGGTAGAAATGGGCGGCTGTCTTAGGTATTCCGCATAATCGGGGCACTTAGAATAAAAAGATTATTCAGGCCCAGGTGCCGTGGCTCACGACTATAATCCCAGCACTTTGGGAGGCCAGGGTGGGCGGATCACTTGAGGTCAGGAGTTTGAGACCAGCCTGGCCAACATGGTGAAATACCATCTCTACTAAAAATACAAACTTAGCTGGGTGTGGTGGTACATATAATCCCAGCTACTCAGGGGGCCGAGGCAAAAGAATCGCTTGAACCCAAGAGGCGAAGGTTGCAGTGAGCCAAGATTACACCACTGCACTCCAGCCTGGGCAACAGAGGGATACTCTGTCTCAACAACAACAACAAAAAAAGATCATTGAATATTTTTTTAAATGAATGATATCTGTCCAGCTTTTCAAACAATGTCTATATTCAAATTATCAGATGCCATCACTGTCCATAATATATTAAAATAGTTTTCTTTAGCTAGGCATGGTGGCTCACACATGTAATCTTAGTGCTCTAGGAGGCCAATGCCAGAATATCACTTGAGCCCAGGAGTTTGAAACCAGCCTGGGCAACATGGTGAATCCCCATCTCTACCAAAAATACAAAAATTAGCGGGGTGTGGTGGCACGTGCCTGTGGTCCCAGTTACCCGGGGAGGCTGAAACAAGGGGATCTCTTGAGCCCAGGAGGCAGAGGTTGCAGTGAGCCAAGATCATGCCACTGCACTCCAGCCTGGGTGACAGAGCAAGAACCTGCCTCAAAAATAAATAAAAAATAAATAAATAAAATAATAAAAAATAGCTTTAATTAAGGGATAACATACATATAATAAAATATATTTGGTGTACTAATCTTGATGTACAGTTCAATCTTTTTATATATGTGATATGTGTACATATGTGATACATACATACATATTTCATGTATATGTAACTGCAACCCAGATAAAGACAGAAGATTTCTTGCAACCCAAAAAGGCCCCTTGTCCTTGCTTTCAGTCTGATACTACACAGCAGCTTAAAAGTAGCTGATTTTTACAAATAAAATACTTTGAAGATTACTCACACTAATTTTATTAGAAATTGCATTTAGTTGTGAATAGGCCCGTAAAAGAAAGATTTACATGGAGTACTATGCAGCCATAAAAAAGACAAAATCATGTCCTTTGCAGCAACATGGATGGAGCTGGAGGCCATTATCCTAAGTGAACGAACTCAGAAAATCAAATACTGCGTATTCTCACTTACAAGTGGAGCTAAACAATGGATATGTATGGACTTTAAAAGATAGGCATAATAGACACTGGGAACTCCAAAAGACTGGAGGCTGGGATATGGGTGAGGGTTGAAAAACTACCTACTGGGTACAATGTTCACTGTTTGGGCGATGGGTACACTAGAAGCCCAATCTCCATTATTATGCAATATGGCCATGTAACAAACATGGACACGTGCCCCCTGAATCAATAGGCTGGGTGCAGTGACTCATGCCTGTAATCCTAGCACTTTGGGAGGCCAAGGCGGGTGGATCACTTGAGGCCAGGAGTTTGAGACCAGCCTGACCAACATGATGAAACCCTGTCTCTACTAAAAATACAAGAAAAAAATTAGCTGGGCCTGGTGGAGTGCACCTGTAATCCCAGCTACTCGGGAGACTGAAGTACGAGAACTACTTAAACCAGGGAGGTGGAGGTTGAAGGGAGCCAAGATCGCACCATTGCACTCCAGCCTAGGTGATAGAGGGAGACTCTGTCTCAAAAATAAAATAAAATAGAATAGAATAAAATAAAATAAAATAAATAACAAAGGTTTAAACGAAGTAGCTGTTTTCTTTTTCTCTCGTGTAAAAAGCAGGTCTAGAGGCAGGACCTCAGTGGCTGGTGTGAAAGCTCCACAGAACCCAGCTTTCTTCTTTCTGTTCAGCTACCCTTAGCACTAAAGAGCTCCCTTTGGTTGACACAATGGAACACCGGACTCCACCCAGGTGTGGTGACCATCCTCCAAGCCTGAAGAAGGGCAAAGGTAAGAAGCACAAGGCAGCAGCCACTGAGTCAGCCCCCTATAAATGCTTTCTTGGAAGCCCAACCAATGGCTTCTGCTTACATCTCACTGGTTAAAACAGTGTCATGCAAAACAGTTTTGGGTGGCACACCCAAAATGAAATGGGATTTTATGAATAAGAAAGGGAGGAGGGATGTTGGTTAGTTAATGAGTAGTCTCCGCCACACCAGCGGCCACAAACTACTCACGTGAATGACCTTTCTTGAAAATGCCATGTTGCATGATTTTAGATTGCAATGGATCAAAGCAATCTAAAATCGTGCCACAACAGGTAATGAGTTCTGAAATAAAGACTCTTAAGATCTTGGCTAAAGACATTCAAACATTTGGAAATAAAAAGTCTGATGAAGTACTGCTTTAAAATTTGATTGCAAAAAAATGTAAAACTTTTCACTATTCTTAAGAGGAAAAATATAGGGAAATCATAAAGAGTAAAATTTATAGCATTTGCACAAGGCTGCACAAAATTTAATAATATTGTATGCGTTCATTTATTAGGGCCCACAAATGGAAATCTGACTATTTCCAAATGGTAACTGTTTCTAATCATTAGGATTGTGAGTTCTGATTTAAACAAAGAATAAAATTTTAACTATCTGAATGACACAAAATCTATAGCTCCACAATTTCATATCCACAGTTATGAATTCCCAAAACTTTTGAAAACTGAAAGCTTTTTTTGCGAATTGCAGCATCCTCTTAGGTGGCAAAAGCTGACCTGATGCCAGGTGCGGTGACTCACGCCTGTAATCCTAGCACTTTCTGAGGCCAAGGTGGGCAGATCGCTTAAGCCCAAGAGTTCAAGACCAGCCCAGGCAACAGGCGGAAACCTCATCTTTACAAAAAATACAAAAATTAACAAGGCGTGCTGGCACACCTGTAGTCCAAGCTACTCGGGAGGCTGAGGTGAGAGGATCACCTGAGCCTGGGAGGTCGAGCCTACTGTGAGTGGTGATCGTGCCACTGTACTCCAGCTTGGGTGACAGAGTGAGACTCTGTCTTAAAAAATAATAATAAAAAAAGCTGACCCAAACTGATGTGGGGATTCTTATAGTCTTTACTCCATTTAATGTGATTGTAATATTTAGCACAAAAATATTACGGCCTTTGATTATAGCGTGCTGCATGATGTTATTTTTTTTAACTCAGAAAATTAATCTGAATTCCAAAACAGATCTATCTCCACCTCCAGTTCTGTGAGGTAAAGATTTTACAAACTACACTACCTAATTAGTTCACGATTTGATTTGTTTGGAGATTCCTATTAATATCAAAGCTCATTCAAGGGATTATACATCATTGATTTGACCTAACTGCTTTTGTAATTTTTTTAAGTTTTAGATCTAAGAAACTGAACATGTTATTTCTGCCCATGTGCCTGTAGGATTTTGGTTTGCTAACAACCAGTTACTAAATTGAAAAAGGATAACTTTTTAATTCCAATCATGTTAAATTCTCACTTTAATAATGTTTTGCCTCATTTGTTTTGTTTTTTGTTTTTCTTTTTCTTTTTTCTTTTTTTTTCTTTTTTCTTTTCTTTTTTTTTTTTTTTTTTTGAGACGGAGTCTCATTCTGTCACCCAGGCTGGAGTGCAGTGGTGCAATCTTGGCTCACTGCAACCCCTGCTTCCTGGTTTCAAGTGTTTCTCCTACCTCAGCCTCCTAAGTAACTGGGATTACAGGTGCCCACCACCACACCCAGCTAATTTTTGTATTTTTAGTAGAGATGGGGTTTCACCATGTTGACCAGGCTGGTCTCAAAATCCTGACCTCAGGTGATCCGCCCACCTCAGCCTCCCAAAGTGCTGGGATTACAGGTGTGAGCCACTGCTCCTGGCCTCATTTGTTTTAAAAAAAAAAAAAAAAAAAAAAAAGGTGAGCACTGTTCAACTGATATAAAATGTAGTATTTTTTTAATCAAAAATATCAAAATCAGCACCATTAGAGAAAACTGAGGCAAATTGTTGCCTGAATTCCTCCTTTTCATTTTGTTTGTACTATGAATGATCTCAGATATTTGTGTCTTATTCATATTTATTTATGAACTGAGTCATAATCAATGGCTGTAACTATGTGAGTGAAATATGGATTTTTAAAAATATAATACCAAAACCCTGTAATGTAGCTATGTAAATTCAAAATTAGCATTGAGGGGTTTTTTTTCCCCTCTACCTTCTCTGGACCTTATCATTATCAAAACCTCTAAAATCTGGAAGTTCAACGTTCTCTGTCTTAAACACGGAATTCCTTTCTGTGGCCTACAAACCTCTGCAGGATCTCTCTCCAGTCTACATTTCTGATTTCATCTGATGCACTTCTTGATGTGCTGAAACCACACTGGCCTCATTTCCCTTCCTAGAATGTGCCAAGCTTCATTCTGCCTCAGGGCCTTCGCACATGCTGTAGCCTCTTCCTAGACTGTGACTTCTCCGATATTTTTCAAATGTGTCTCCTTGTCATCCTTCAAGCCTAGGTTAAGCCCCACTCCTCTAGAGACAACTTCCTTACCACCTTGTTTATTTATTTCCCTCCCTGTTATTCTCTAACACTGTACTGTTTGTTTTTTGAGACGGAGTCTCACTCTGTCGCCCAGGCTGGAGTGAAGTGGTATGCTCTTGGCTTACTGGAACTTCCACTTCCTGGGTTCAGGTGATTCTCCTGCCTCACCTCCTGAGTAGCTGGGATTACAGGCACCTACCACCATGCCCAGCTAATTTTTGTATTTTTAGTAGAGACAGGGTTTCACCATGTTGGCCAGACTGGTCTCAAACTCCTGACCTCAAGTGATCCACCCACCTCGGCCTCCCAAAGTGCTGGGATTATAGGCGTGAGCCACTGCGCCCAGCCCTGTTTGGTTTTTTAATAGCACTTAGAATAATGTGCAATAATATACACTTGACCCTTGAACAACACAGGTTTGAGCTGTACAGGTCCACTTATACACAGATTTTGTTTCAGTAAAAGTTACACAGAGTATTCCTGCCTCTCCTGCTTCCCCTTCCACCTCCTCCACCTCTGCCGCCCCTGCCACTCCTGAGACAGGAAGACCAAACCCTCCTCTTCTTTCTCCTCCTCAGATACTCAATGTGAGGACAATGAGGAATAAAGACCTTTATGATGATCCACTTCTGCTTAATGAATAGTAAGTATATTTTCTCTTCCTTATACTTTCTTAATAACATTTTCTTTTCTCTAGTTTACTTTATTGTACAAATTCAATATAGAATACATACAACACACAAAATGTGTGTTAATTGACTGTTTATGTTATTGGTAAGGTCAATAGTAGGTTATTAGTAGTTCAGTTTTGGGAGAGTTAAAAGTTACACAGAATATTTGACAGCATGGGGGATTGGCACCCCTAACCCCCACATACTTCAAGGATCAACTGTATTTGTTCACCTGCTATTTATCTGTCTCTCCACTAGATTATGAACTCCATGAAGGAGGAAATAAACTATCTACTTGTTCACTAATATATATATAGCACCAAGCATCATACCTGGCACATTCTAAGTTCTTAAGAACTGTTTGAATAAACAGCAAAAGAATTATTTATCTTATGTATTTCTGTGATAATCTCCACCAAAACATTTCATTCTACATATTATCTTTCCCAAAACAAAAACCAAAAATCCCTCAAATTGTGTATATCATGAATATGGTCTCAAAAACTCCAAAGAAAATTATCCCATAGGAAAGCATGTAATCAGAAGTATGTGTATCTTACGAAGTGCACAGAACATCCTAATCTACAGATAATAAAGTATATGAAGGTATATACACATATGGATGTGCATATCTAGGTATTTTCTTTACCATGGCTGTTCATTAAATATATCTGACCCCAAGTCCACTCAGATTGTCTACTTCACTTGGCAGTAGAACAAACGCAGGAGACGCGGCCCAGAGAGGGGTCTAGCTCAAATGCTATCTAAATTGGCCCAGGCCCCATGGCGGTAGGCAACCTGTCTAGTGAAAGTTCAAGGAGGTCTCACTAAAAACACAGTGAGTTCTACCTCCTGGCTTATCATGGACAGGCTCTGTTTATTCCAGCTGTCCTATAATTAGCCCTTTTCACTCTCAAAGTATCCTGTGTTAGATGATAAATTCATAGTCACCCTAGCTATATCTTTCTAAGAATGTTACCTATTAAGTGCCAGGCAGGGATACCAGACCAACGTGTGTGTGTGTGTGTGCGTGTGTGCGTGTGTGTGTGTATATGTATGTGTATGTGTGTGTATATGTGCATGTGTGTGTATGTGTGTGGTGTGTGTGGGGAGGGGAAGAGGTTGTGAAGAATGTAGATAATTCCCCACCCCTTTCTTAATCCAGTTCCTTTAAACCCTGTTCTCTTCTTGGCTTGTTAGAAAATTTAGTGGGCAAAGAATTTTTACTGAATATGTTGACACATGTATGCAGTATTTGACACATTACGATCTTTGTCGACTTTTCTGACTTTACATTAGCAAACATAGTCTTGCGTCTGTTTAACGTTCATTTTTTTAAAGTCTTAGATTTTGTCTTTATTTAAAAGCCCAGTTGCAACCACCAAATACCTGACTCAGCTCACAACTAGAGACCGAGCATCAAATTTCCCAGCCCACTTAATTTGAAAGCCTGCCAAGATAGGTGAAAGACCTTATAAATATGTAAAGCAGGAAGTTCGAATTACAGTCAAGTAAATCTCTAGTGATTGATGTTCTTTTCAAAACAATTTTAAAAAACTAATAATGACCAGCACATTTCTAAGACCCTCTTACCAAAGGTTTCCCCCGAATTCAGACTCAATGGTGTACTTTCAGTACTGTATTTATTTTGGATTTTTATCACTTCCTGGAGGCCAGGAGGAGGCACAGTGGGAGGATCCTAAAAAACTCAGTACCACAGCCATTTTGTTTGTAAGGCAGAGTGGTAGAATTCTGTCAGCCAGTAAAGGTTTTTGAAACAGTTTTTAAGGGGGGCGGGGGAGGGGGAGGGAATATGCCTATTGTTTTCATTTAACCGCTAAATTCATTATTTTATTTTACTTTTTGCACACATCGTAGTTACTGTGAGTAAGAAATTATATTTTTTTTCCCAAGGAATTAAAGATCTCGGAGCTAAAGGAGTCATGAATTTTGTTCCAGGATGACTGGCTTCTCTAGGTACCTTCATGAGATCAAATCGAAAAAATATTTTGATGGACATCGTTTTTACATGGCCAGGTTTGCATGCAGAGGATCTATCGAGTGGTTGAAAAGGATCAACAATCTGCTCAAGAAAAACATGATAATGCTGTTTTAAAAAAAAAAAAACAAAAACAAAAAACAAACAAAAAAACCCCACATCCAAGAAGCCAGAGTGTTCCTTCAGATGTTAAAAGGGGCATTCCCCCGAGCTCACAGGCAGCCGTGGGTGCTATTGTCTTGCAGTGTCACTTCATAGCGAGCTTAGACTTTTGTCATTTTGGTGGCTGTGCTTTTAAAAGCCCAGTGTAAAATGGCACACACACTGCATTTTTTTCCGAGCTGCAGGAGGCGGGGGCAGCGGGGGATAGTGCAGACTGTAGGGACACTGCCCTCCCAGCCAATCAGCGCTCGCCTGCTTGCCATCGCAAAGTTGTTAACCCCAGAGTCTTCTGGCTGTGCTGCCTCCTCTGCTTTTAATCTTCTGTGGATATTTCTCCGATTTCCCCCAAAAGCCCACAGATCCTGGGGGAAGCCACCCCATTCGGCCACCGATCATGGAAGAAAGTATTACTTTTTATTTACCAAACATTTTAAAGATGTTGGAAGATCCATATGCTGCCTGGAGGCTGTTGTTTCTAGGGACACAAGTATCCAGCCTATATTGTTACAATTTTTTTTCAAGAACTGCCGTCTTCTTTGCCTGCACTAATGGTAAGTTTGTAATTTTCACCATTTATGTCAGTCTTTGAAAGAGCCACCGGCTAAAAAGGATTTTCATTGTGTTTCTTCTAACAAAACCAATCTTTGTATTTTTCTTTAGCTTTGATCTCTGCACGTTCTACCTAATCTTGCCTGGTTAATTTTTACCAAAAGAAAAAAAAATAGTTTTTTTTTTCATTGTTAAAGCTAAATGTTTATAATATAAATTATACTTTAATTACTGTGAACTACAGAGGAACTCAGATATTTCAAGATGGACTTGTTTTGTGCCAGTAATGTTGGCAATGCCAAATATGTGCATATCCTCTTTATAAAAATTATGTCTTACCTAATTTGTCCAGGACTCAATTATCAGCAGGCAAACTATGGATATAGTTTTTTTTTAAATGGACCTATTGTGGTTCTCTTGATAGATTACTTGGATACAAACTACAGAAAAGCTGCCCTTGGTATAATGAAGGTGGAGGTTGACATAACCGGGTTTATATTAAGTTATGGCTGTTACTAAATAGTGGATCTTTTATTTGCTGATCAGATCTCAACTTGTAGTCTATGATATTATTTCTTTGAAGCTCTTCATTAGATAATCTTTGCAGGTCTATCTTGTTTTTCTCCTATACGGTACATTTGGGAGACATTTTGTAATTTTTGGCATTTTTCTAATTTTTTTTCTTTTTGCACACGGTGGGAGATCTTTTTTGTTTTGCATTGATCTGTGTTGGTGGCGCTGTAGTGCTCCTCAACAATTTATGTCAGTTTCACTAAAAGAAAAAAGGAAGAAAAAAAAAGAGGTGGGGCAAGATTTGATCTATTCTCTTCTCCCTTTATTTTCTTAAAGAAAGTTCATTTTAGTCAGTGGAAGTATTCAGTTGTGTTATTTAAATGTTTTCTGTGAACTGTGAACTATGGTGAGAGCAGACATGTCGTCACAACCAGCCGAGGGAACATCAGGGACAGGCATGCAGTTTGCAGTTGTTTTATCTGATCTGATTTATCATCTCTATATCAGAATTATTCAGTAATAAGCTGTCGATTTATCCTTTTAGTAACATTTTGCATTTTCCTTATATTACAAAATTATATGTGTTAGTGTATTTTCAATTTAACCAAATGTCTGAGTTTTAGTTCCTTCAACATTGTAAAAGTTGAATTTCATTTTGAACCTAGGGATTTCTTAAATAACTATTCTAAGTTTCTCCTGAGGTTTTTCTAATAAGTAGTCATATAATAATTCCCACATTATTGTTTGTTTCATTTTGAAATGATACTTCAACTGAATTACAGATAGTCTTGTTTTAAAAATAACAAATATTTTGGAATAAGATAATTTTTTAAGAATATGTGCACAATTGCTTTTGGCTTTAAAAATTTTGATGTTCACATATCTAAATGCAGGATTATATCTTTTCCATCTTTGTTCTTATTGAGTTATCTGATTAGAGAATGTGGGATTTAGGCCCAAAGCCTCCCAAGAACAAAAATGTGTTACGATCTGACATAGGTTTTACTGGTCTCTGTAAACATTTTAGCTGTTTATGGAGATAGTAAGTGTGCCCTTAGTTCAAAAAGAAAGTGGGACGAATCAGTAATTGAACCCTAAAGCGTATTTTTTTTGGTCACATAAAATAAAAACAACTGAAATAGTACACTAGACCACTTTTCCATAAGATTGAAGAGATTATTTTTTGAAAGAGTGAACATTTCAAGAATTATTATTTAGCGTGTTTACCCACTTTGAAATACGTAAATGCTCATTTCACTTTTTAATCATTTAACAGGTTGAAGTAAAAGGATGTGTGAAAATGGCTAAAAATAGTATTTCTGATTTTTGTGTCTCTATACTCTATCTATATATCCCTTTCCTTGAACTTCAAAAATAATTATGTATTAGCCCATATTTTGTTTATACTATGCCATAAAAATGTGAAAATGTTCACTGTAACATTTTAGCTATTCATAAAATGTAAATGCCCCATCAAGGCTAGTTTTTGACATTATAGATTATTTATAGAATGAAATACTGCAGGTGTAAATATATTATCTAACCCTCTGGTTATGCTGGAGAGTTTAGTTCTCTGAAGTTGATCTACCAAATAAAATATACTTTCCAACACATGTATTGCTAAAATAGTCTGCTATTCAGAATGGCGATAATTTTTATTTTATTTAATCTCTGAAAACTAAACATGTGTATATAAGGTAGCCCCCTTTTAAAAACAAACTGATGCTCTGAAGTCCATATGGAGCTATGCAATGCTCTTTGTTCTCCTACATCATTGACTATTACATCATTGATTATGAAGTAACTATTATAGTTAAATCTTCACTTTTAAAAATCCTTCATATATATTTATATGACTGATAACATTTTATATATGACTCTTACATCACTAAGTATTTAAGGAGGTTGAAATCTATGAGGCAAAAACAGTTCACTATTTTATATTATTCTCCATTTTAAAATCCACCTTGAGCTTCATTTTAGCTCTTGATTCCTTGAACATTATTTTTTTTAATTGATAACATTTTTATAGAAATGTAGTTCATGAGCTTGGTGTGATTGTGATTAGAATTATAACAAATTTTTGGATTAAAAACCTTTATTTATTAAATTTAGCAGATAGAGAACTAACTCAGTCTTTCATGGTAACAGTTGCTAGATCATGGACAATAAAAAATTATTTTAAAAAATTCCCAAAATGTCATTTTAGTCAACAGTTACACACTTATTTCTTTCTTGAACACCATTTTATCAGATAATAGCAAGTAGCAAAATTTACTATATTGTCATATCATTTTTCTCATCCTGCCCATCCCTCTGATGGAGGGAGGGGCTAATGAGTAGTGAAATTACCAAAAAACAGGTTGCAGAAAGCAGAAAGAAATAATGCCAAAGACATGGAGAATCTGTAAATCAAATTAGAAACAATAAACCTCAGAAAAATGAACTTGAAATTAAGGAGCTCAATCAATAACAAATAAACTGAAAATTATATTAAGACAATGTAATGAACCAACACAATTTCCTAATTTATTAACTTGCATTCATTAGTATTGTTAAAGACTGAGGAAGTTTCAGGTTAGCCAAACTCATTAGATGATAGGTAATGGTAGGGTAAGGTAACAAAGGGAAGAAAGATTTAGAGATGTTAAGGTGACCAAACATAAAATGCTAAAAATATTAGCCAGGGCTAATCTAATCTACCTTGGAATGAACTTTTTTAAAAGAAGAAAATATAAAATAAAATTCTATCCTGTGAAATCACGCACAATATAGACCTGAAATTGTCTGTTTCCAATTCTACCCACTTCTCATGCATATTTACCTCTGTTATTTGCTAGATGTGTTACTACTTTCCATAAGACGATACAGATACACCACTGTCCTCCTCAGCATGGTTTTGCAAAAGAAAACAAGAGGAAAATGATACACAAAATGTGTGTTTGTGTTATGACTTTGTTTTTGATCTTTCCAAAATGATTATCAAATGGAGAATCTAAAGGGAAAGTAAAGCAGATGTATAATTTTATAAATATTTTTATGAAAAAGATAAAAGCAGATTTTATAATTGATTTGTTCAACATTTGTTTCTATTTTTATTCGGGGGTTTGTTTATTCTAGATCTTCCCCCATCTATTATGTATCATTCTGATAAGATGCTATGATGCAATATTAAGCAAAAGAGGCAAGGATTCCTGCTGTAATGGAGTCTACACTCCAATGTGGTTAGAGTTCTAAAGATACTTTAAATCTAAGGTCTTAGATGTGTGAGATTCCCAAATGAAGGCCAAATAATATTTTTAGAAAAAAAATATTTTTTTAATTTAGATCTGTTTAAATAGGATTTGACAAGTGTTCTTCCATTGAAGGACCATGATTCGGGCATCAAGTACTCACATATTGGGGTTGGGAGAGGATGTAGCCCTTAAGCTTTAGATATAACCCAAATAGATGCTACAGATGGTTGCCTAATACAAATTCCTATTGCAAAATGAGAAATGAAACTTTGATTTATTGGCTAGAGAAAAGAGATGAAGAGAGGATCACTCTGGTAGCAGGAGTTTTGGGCATGTCCCTCTGAGATCCATTTGATGAAAACATTTTTTAAAACATGGTAGGGCCTCATTTTGCACATTTTGTTCACGGTGTCATCAAATAAACATCATGGTAAATATAAACTGTGAAGATGAAGCAGGGAAATAAAATTAGTATTGAAGTATTATATTAGAACTAAAATTTTTATTTTAGAACCTTCTGTAATAATTTCTAATGGTATATATAACAGAAATTTTAAAAATAAAAACATATTTTAATTTATGAGAATAATATAATTCAACACTTAGCTAATGGTTAATTAGTTAAACATATCAGGTATGGAGCAGGAAAGTAAGACTGATGTTATTTCTATACAGATGAATTGGAGGAGAAGGAACTATTTATTAAGGAATCTCTATGTGGGTTAAGATGATCTCAGGAATAAAGTTACCAGATTATTGTGTCATACAGCCAATTAATCTATAGTAGCTAGGTGTGTTATATTATTTAGTTTGCTTTCATACTAACATAGAACCCTACTGATAGTGGCATAAAAAATAAGGACATTAGTTTTTCAACTAAATATGTAATCAGGTGGCAAGTGAGTTCTAGGTTTGGTTCAATAGTGAGTTTTAGATTTGGTTCAACAATGTTATTAAGATACTTTAACCTTTTACGTTGCCATAACATCAGCAATGTCTTTCCTCATAGTCACAAAGTGGCTGCTGCAGACCCAGGCATCATATCCTAATATTAAAATATCCAAAGTGAGGAGAGTTACTCTTATTCATCTTGTTGTAAAGGAAGAAATCCTTTCTCAGAAGCCCCATAGCACAGTGTTTCTTAGAGCTCATTGGCCAGGTTTGTAGGACGTGCTTATACCTAAACCAGTCACTGACAAGGGGACTGAAATTACCAGGATTGGTTTAACTAGGCAAGATGTTTAGAAGGGTGAACATCTGCTGAATATTTAGAGCTCAATAAGGTTAGCACTTAATTGCTTTATGTAAACTTGAACTGTTTTGTATAAACATTCTTGAGTGATTAAAACATTAGTATCTGTTTTCTCAGTGGCCAGATATGTCACTTGTGGGCTAATTTTAAAAATAACAAAAACAACATTTGATTAGAGCTTACTATGTTCCAGCCTGCAGCCTAAATGCTACCTCTATCTCCTTAAATCTTCACACAAAATTAGGAAATAGGGCAATCATTATACCCATTTTGCAGCCAAGGAAACTGAGGCATAGAGAGGTTTATACCCCAGACACTTGGCCCATGTTACACAGAAATGAAAAAGCTAGAGTTTGAACTTGGGAAGTCTGAAATCAGAGGCTGTGTACTTACCTCCTTTTCTTTACTATCACATGAGATATTTGTAAAATTGGTGTTCTCTAACTTTTATTTTATTCTATTTTATTTAAACCGAGTTTCGCTCTTGTCACCCAGGCTAAAGTGCAATGGCACAATCTCAGCTCATTGCAACCTCCGCCTCCCGGGTTCAAGCAATTCTCCTGCCTCAGCCTCCCAAGTAGCTGGGATTACAGGCGCCCGCCACCACACCCAGCTAATTTTTTTTGTATTTTTAGTAGAGATGGGATTTTGCCATGTTGGCCAGGCTAGTCTCGAACTCCTGATCTCAGGTGATCCACCCGCCTCGGCTGCCAAAGTGCTGGGATTACAGGCATGGGCCACCGCGCCCGGCCTGACTTATCTTTTAAATGTGCTCTATGATATTGCTGTTGAATCTTCTGGTTAATTTATTACTTTGTAAATCTAACAGTGTTTTCCTAGAATGAGTAATCGGCCTTCTGATTTATCAGTCATATACAGATGAAATTTTGTATGTCGAATTTGCTTCTGATACATTTGTACTTGTACTTTACCTCCTCTCTTCAGGAACATCTCATGAAATTCTTTCAGACAAATTTTTACAGGGAAAAGAAGATCAAAGCCTAGAGATTCAGTGAGGCCTTATTGAAGGGGGTAAATTCATGATTCATAACATTAGGTCCAGATGGAATATTGGCATCCATTTCGCAATATGTAAGGCCAATGGTATGTACTGAAATGTTTCAGTCTTTATAACTTTGGCATATATGGAAGCTTTCACCTGTGGGACATTTTGCGGGGTTTTGTTGTACTCTAGATCAGTGGATTGCAAACTTTGGTGTGCCCTAGAATCACCTGGAGGGCTTATTGAAACACAGATTCCCAGGCCCCCACCACAAGAGTTACAGGTTCAGCTGGCCTGTGGTGGGGCATGAGAATTTTCATTTCTTAGTTCCCAGATGATGAGATGCTGTTGGTCCAGGCAGCAACATTTGAGAACACTGCTCTAGAGTATCAGAGGCTGTCTGCCATGATAAGTATTTTGGCTTTGAAATATGGATTGCAAACTTTGAAAGGGTGTCATTTAATTTTTGGCAAAAGGAATTAATATATACATATTTCAATATTAAATAGGATGTTCAGGGTAGGCTGATTGAAAAGGTGAGAGTTGAGCAAAGACTTGAAGGAGGAATCTTTTTGTTTTATTTTTTGAGATGGAGTCTCCCTCTGCTGCCCAGTCTGAAGTGCAGTGGCTCGATCTTGGCTCACTGCAAACTCCGCCTCCTGGTTTCAAGCAATTCTCCTGCCTCAGCCTCCCCGAGTAGCTGGGACTACTGCACCACCCCACCCAGCTAATTTTTGTGTGTGTGTATTTTTAGTAGAGATGAGGTTTCACCATGTTGGCCAGGCTGGTCTCGAACTCTTGACCTCAGGTGATCCACCCGCCTCGGCCTCCCAAAGTGCTGGGATTACAGGGGTGAGCCACCGCGCCTGGCCATGGAGGATTCTCCTTATGCTTTAGCATTAATATCACGTTTAAAATTTATTTGCCAACGAGTCATTAATGTGTGTATTTTTACCTTTTTAAAATAGCACGCATACTTTACAAGTGATTTTTTTAAAGTAGGTAAAAGTAGAGTTTAGTTTTGCTCAATATCAAGGTCCATCTGTGAAAGACCTGAATCTGTGTCATTTTGCTGTTTTTCTCAAGATTTTATTCCACCAACCACCAATGCCACATATTCACTAGTAGGACATAGTATCCATGAGACTGAGAAAGGGAAGCTGCCATGCCAATGACCTATATTTAGCTCTGAAACTCAGGCCACTGCTCCAATCCACTGGAAACTCTCCATCCTCCAAGATAGAGGTCACAATCCCCAGTTGAAAAACACTGCAACATGCCAAAGAATGAAGAGGACCATTTCCAAGAGTTTAATTGCTTTGCGGTTCCATTATTAAGTTATGAGACTTCAGAAATTTTTAGTTCTGAAGGTGTTCATTCATTTGTCAAGAAACAAATTGCCAACCTAAATGAGGGAGGAAAAAACCAGCAAATTCCATGTCCTTTCTATCCTCAGAAGCCATTATAAGCTTCAAGCCATCCTTCCATACCATTGGAGGTCTTCTCAAGAAGCTGGTATGAAGTATCCTGAAGAGGCATAAGCAATGAGTTTGGGCTAGTGTGGTCTAGAATCAAAAAGAGTCATTCAGCATCTATTTAATAGTAGACTCAGATCATTTAAAATTGCCTAAAACTCCAGAACTGTGCTGTCCAATACGGTACTCACTAGTAACATGTGGCTATTTGAATTAACTTAAATTTGAATTAGCTTAAATTTTAAAGTTCATTTTCCCAGTCACACTATCCACATTTCAAGTGGTCCATAGCTACACCCAGCTAGTAGCTACCATATCGGACAGCACAGATTTATGGCACATTTCCATGACTGCCCAAAGCTCTATTGAACAGCCCTGGTCTAGAATGATTCTGGGTCCTTCAGATCATGAGAGGCTCACACTCGTGCACCACTGGTTCTCAACTCTGCCTGTATGGAGAATCACCCAGAAACTTAAAAGCAAAATGTCTATGCCCTACCCTAAAAAGTTTTGGTTTAGTTGGACTGGATGGGATCTGGAAATAAATATTTCCCAAAAGTTGTCCATGGGATCCTAGCAGTCAGGGTTGAGAATTGCTAAGTTATAGAGACAGGCTTACGGCTATTGAAGCAACCCACTAAACCAAAAATTTGGGGGAGGTTTTTGTAGACTAGCCAGGCTACTTCTCATCTCCATCTTTCAAAACCTACTATCCATCTCCTAGGAGGTGAGGGAGGCCCAGACCTACATAAAGATTAATGACAGTGAAACCAGTTCTGTGGAGTGAAGCAAAAAATTGACTGCCTAATGAACACAAACTTTTGCTGGAAGAAAACCAGCCCTGTAACTCCTCTTCAGTTATGAGTTATTTGATGCCCTTCAGAGTGGGTCTTATATATTGAAAGGCTATTCAGAAGTTAATTCCAGTTTTTAAAATATATATAAAAAGTTTTTAGCTTATATATTCAAAGTAGTAGTTCTCCATTATGCTTTAAAATTTAGTATACAAATCTTATCATATTCATAAATCTTGCAAATTTTAGAAATCATGATCCTTTAAATAATATCTGGTCTTATCTGTAGCATGACTTAATTAAACACCTCCCAACTTTTTACACTGAATTTATAAATTTAGTACATATAATTGCCTTCTTTAGTACTTTGTAACATTTTCAAGAAGCTAAAATCTTACAGATCTAATAATTTAACTTCTAAACATGGTAACTCTTAAGTTTGCTCTAATGTTTCAATAATACACATAAACTTAGTAAGAATTCTGCTTAAAAGTCTAATAGGCTGACCTCTTACTCCATTAGGTCAAGTGTTCTTAAATAGTGCAATTACTTACACTACAAAAAAATGCAGTACTTTCGACAGCACATTCTAAATCTTTCTGGAGTTAAAATATGCTTACCTGTTAAAAGAACCGTTATGACCTACCCAAACAATTTGGGGTGTTGTCTTCCCAAGTAAATTTTTTGGTCTGCCTTCTTAGCTTGTTCAAATTTTTTGACGAACAGTGGTTTTGGTTGGAACACAACTAGATCCTTGTTTGAGACACTGATGGGGTGTACTGAGCCTTATTTATATTTACTGTATTTTTTATTTTAAAAAAAGGTATTCTGAAGGCCTACTTGTCTTAGATATTGAGTCGTATCATTTCTTATTTTCAAGTCATGTTAGAATCTATGGCTACATCAATTGAAAAATACCTGGATTTTGCACTTCCTAACCTTTTAGAATATGTAGCTGTCTTTTATATCTAAATCTAAATACCTTTGAATTTGGCAGAATGTCATATTCTTTCACATTGTCTCGTAGAACAATCAACTCTTCCAGATATTTCTGATCCTTGACTGACTGAATTTCTCTCATGGCTTTGTCTGGCTATGTGGTCACAATTTCCAATGTTATTCTATTGACAAGGTTTTTTAGCTTCCAGAATAGCTGACCAGAAGCCTCTCCATCCACATTTCTATTGCAGACATTAGGAGAACACTTGAAGTACACGGCTTTGTCTGATCTGTTCAGAGTTCCTAACTTTGCCCTTTACTACCAATTGTCCAGACCCTCAGTTTCTTCTTCTATCAAACAAAGTAATATTACTTAATCTCACATGGCTGTTGAGAGAACACAATGAGTTTGTGCATCTAAAGTGCCTTGAATAGCGCTAGACTTGCCATAAGTACTCAAGATGTACTCTAAGTTCTGTATTTCTTAGACAAACCTGATTTCAGAGATCAAAATAGGCCTTACACAGTGCGACGCGAATTTAAAAGATTACCGCATTCAGGTGTATGGATTTTGCAGTATTAAAGATGCTGCCTGGAATAGGTCATTATCTTCTCCAAGTACTCTGTTAAGTCAATGAGTCACATAGAGTATAAGGTTTATTATCTGCTTTTCTTTCATTAAATAAATCTTTATTGAATTTCTACTACATTAAAAAACCAAACCAAAACAAAACAAACAAAAAAAACACTTCCCTGAGCCATAAAGGAAAAGGTAGTTTTGACTGGAACCTTGAAGGATGGGTAAACTTTCAGCAGATAAAGATTGAGAGAAGACCTTCCAGGTAGAGAAAGCAGTGTGGGCACAGGCAAAGATGGAAGAACACACGTGGCTGTGGGAAACACAGCTAGAAGCCAGTGCGGATAGAGAGTAGGCTATGATGTGCAGAGGTTAGACACTGGGAGAGACAGGTCCATGAGAGTAGCTTGGACTAACACAGGGAGGGTTTGGAATCCCAAGCTGGGGAACCTAGAAATCAGGCATTGCCCACAGAGCACCAGTTCAAATGCTTGCGTCAATTGCCAGAAAATGATGAAGGGATAAATAAAGAGAGAACTACTTCTTTCTTTTATTTGTCTGTTAACCCATTGGCATTGTGGAGGGAAACTCCAACAGTCTGGGTCTCTTGCCAGGTAAGTTTTGATGGCGGAGTAAAGAGAAGTAGAAAAGGTTGGAAGTTTGGGACAATTTTCAGTAAGTGTGGACACTGGACAGCAGGGGGCAGCATAAGGGCACCAAAAAGTTGAAAGACGCAGAAGACATTCGCTTATGTAACATTTCCTGACAATTATGAGTTTACATTTATAAGGCTACTTATATTAGTAACTTAGCATTCTTCTCCCAAAAATGAACAGAAAATGACAGAGAAAAGACGAAAGAAAAATAACAATTGCACTGTGTTAGGCTGGCTAACAGCAGAATGGCACTGCTGTTTATTTGAGAGGATAGAAACAGGCAGTTGTCTGCTTATTATTTCCTTTCAAATAAATACAAACTCAGAATTCAATACAAATGTGTACATTTCAATTGGAAAACACACCTTTATATGACTTTACGATTTTGCATTTTTAAAAATACATTTGTTCAGCTATACTGTATTCACAAGTTTCCCTAGTGAAAAAGTGGGGAAACTTGAAAAAATATATCATTTAAAAAGAATTGAAAGTTTAATATACATGTTATTTTATATGCCAATATATGGAATTTTAAATTTTGAGTTGTTATGATTATGAAATTTTCTGGACTTTTAAATTAAAATTTTTTCTTTATGTCTAAAATTCAAAATTATCTACATTACATTTAATCAGATTTTTCTAGTGAAATTCATCTCTTACTAGCCTTTTTAAAAGTTTCTTCAGCTATTGTTTTAAAAAAGTTTGGGGCCGGGGACGGTGGCTCATGCCAGTCTTTACATTAATAAGAATAGCGAAAGGCTGGGTGTGGTGGCTTATGCCAGTAATCCCAGCACTTTGGGAGGCCGAGGTGGGCAGATCACTTGAGGTCAGGAGTTCGAGACCAGCCTGGCCAACATGGCAATACCTCTACTAAAAATACAAAAATTAGCCAGGTGTGGTGGCTGGCGCCTGTAATCCCAGCTATTCAGGAGGCTGAGGCAGGAGAATCGCTTGAACCCAGCAGCTGGAGGTTGCAGTGAGCCAAGATTGTGCCACTGCACTCAAGCCTGGACAACAGAGCAAGACTCTTTCTCAAAAAATTAAAAATACATACATACATACATACATACGTACATAGTTTGGATGGTTAGTGATGTTAAGAGTGGAAAACTGGAAATTTCCACGTAGATTTTTTTTTAGCTCTGGAATTTGCCATGGCAAAGGCTACATTATACTCACCTGCAATCTCTCCATCCAACTTGTGAGGAAGATGGTAGCACACTGCTTCATACCCTCACACTTAAGGAGAAACCTCTCTGTCTGTGTTCCTTCATGATTCTTTCAATGCCTGTCACACGTTTTGAAGGCTGTGATCACTGTGTGGGTTGCACTCTGTGTGCTGCTTTTTGTTCTGTCATTTTGCTTTTTTATATATACCTCTTTACATGTATTGATATAATACCTCATATTTATCACTATAAATGGCCAAAAAAAATTGATGGCAGACTATTCTTATGATTATTGAATACTGATTTCCAATTTTAATAAGGAAAATCTGAAACAATGAATAAATTTGGGGCTTAAGCTGGTTAGCATTAAACTTCATTCTTCAATATCATAATTGAAAATAAAGTACTCTGTAAGGTAACTTCATGAAAAATTACCTATTTTTTTATTTTAATCATTTGTAAATCTGGGCATATAAAGATATCAAGTTATTTAAAATGTTACCTTTCAAACTAGAGTTTACAAGCAGGGTGTGCCTGCTTGTGTTTATAGGAAGTAAGTTCACTAACGGCAAGAGCAACATTTTCTTTTATATTTCCCCTGGCTTATAGTACAATGCTTTTGCACAGAGGTGGGGCCCAATAAACAAAACAAGGTTAGGAAAACTTATTAAAGCATCATATGAAACATAAACATGTTTTGTAATGTAGATTTAAAAGTACTCGTGGTCGTTGTTGTTGTTGTTTTTAGCCTGAGTTTCGCTTTTGTTGCCCAGGCTGGAGTGCTGTGGCATGGTCTCGGCTCACTGCAACCTCCTCTTCCCGGGTTCAAGCGATTCTCCTGCCTCAGCCTCCCAAGTAGCTGGGATTACAGGCACGCGCCACCATGCCATGTTAATTGTGTATTTTTAGTAGAGACGGGGTTTCACCATGTTGGCCAGGCTGGTCTCGAACTCCTGACCTCAGGTGATCCACCCATCTCGGCCCCCCAAAGCGCTGGGATTACATGTTTGAGCCATTGCACCTGTCCTTTTTTTTTTTTTTTTTTTTTTTTTTTTTTTTGTGAGACGGAGCTCTCTCTGTTGCCCAGGTTGGAGTGCAGTGGCGTGATCTCGGCTCAGTGCAACCTCTGCCTCCCGGGTTCAAGCGATTCTCCTGCCTCGGCCCCCCAAATAGCAGAGATTACAGGTGCACCACTATGCCCAGCCAGTTTTTTCTTTTTTGAATTTTAGTAGAGACAGGGGTTTCACCATGTTGGCCAGGCTGGTCTGGAACTCCTGACCTCAAATGATTCACCTGCCTCAGCCTCCCAAAGTGCTAGGATTACATGCATGAACCACGTCCCCGGCCTAAATGTACTCTTCATATTTCCATCATATGTTTCAAATTGTGAAAGTGGTTAGAGTGCGACTGTTATTGTTCTTGTTGTTGTTGTTGGTATTTTTCTCAGTGCCTAAATAAGACTGTGCTAATTATTTTCTTACATAGAAATTCTCCTCACTTTCTAGTGAAACTATCAGACTAATTGCAGATCTTTTATTACTAGATGGTTATTTTGATCTGCTTTAGCCTTTATGCTAAAGTTTGCATCTTTTCATATTAATTCTGAGTCCTTGTTATCTAGTTTTAGTGACATTTATAAACAACACTGATTCCTCAAATCACATTTGAGCACACTTAAGGCAGAGTTACTTCTACTAACCATCCTGTAAGACCATTTTGTTTAAGCGTCAAGTGTCACCAATTACTAACTAATAGGCCATAACCTCTCTGACTCAGGGATTGAAGTTACGTTCCCTAGGGCATGTCTTCCAGAACTTTTTCTCTTATACTTCTCTTAGTGCTTTCTTTACTATGTAAACCAGGGGTATCCAATCTTTTGGCTTCCCTGGGCCACATTGGAAGAAGCAGAATCCTCTTGGGCCAAAAAATATACAAACGATAGCCGATGAGCTAAAAAAAAAAAAAAAAAAATCATGAAAAAATTCTCGTAATATTTTAAGAAAGCTTATGAATTTGTGCTGGGCTGCATTCAAAGCTGTCCTGGGCTGCGTGTGTCCCACAGGCCACAGGTTGGAAGGTTGCAGGTTGGACGAGCTTGATAAATATATAGTTAGAAAATACCAAAGGCATAGTTTCTTTAGAAATCACATGTCTCAAAGTAAATTATCTTTTCTTGGCTTTTTACATTTAAAAAATTTCATGTATTCCCTATTTTCTATAAACTACAAAAAATAAAAATAAAAACAATAATAAAATTTGAGAGTTGAAAGAGTTGGGAAGGGTCGAGTCTCACTCCTTCTTTTCAAAGTTGAGGAGATGGAAGCCCAGGGATATTAACATCAAGACCATTCAACTAGGTGGTGGCAGAGCCAGGATTGAAACTTACATTCTTTAAAATAAAAGCTTGCAAATAACTTTGTAATACAGTTAAGGTAACCTAGCATGGGTTAATTTTTAATTCATTGATGACTCTAATTATAAAAATGTCACATGGCTTAAAAAAATTTTTGCTTTTTAAAAATACCCTGAGTAACCAACATGATGGGGCTGGGCACAATAGCTCATGCCTGTAAGCCCAGCACTTTGGGAGGCTGAGGCGGGCAGATCACCTGAGGACAAGAGTTCGAGACCGGCCTGGCCAACATGGTCTCTACTAAAATACAAAATCTACTAAAAGTCTCTACTAAAAATACAAAAATTAGCCGGTGTGGTGGTGGGCACCTGTAATCCTATCTACTTGGGAGGCTAAGACAGGAGAATCACTTGAACCCGGGACACAGAGGTTGCAGTGAGCCGAGATCACGCCATTGCACTCCAGCCTGGGTGACAAGAGTGAAACTCCATCTAAAAAAAAAAAAAAAAAAAAAAAAAAAAAATGCCAACATGATGGACACGATACTATTATAAAATTAGACTTTTTCTCTGTACATAAAATTGTTTTGTTTTTTATTCCCACTGAGAATTAAGAAAAGAGAATATTTTAAGAAAGACCATTATACAGAGGATAGTTCAAAATTCATGCTGAAGAGCTATTGCTTTTCAAGTAGATTGAGCAAGTTTAGCTATTTGGAAAAGCACAGTTATCGGAACAACTCAAGAAAACAAAGGCAAAAAGAGTTCTGTTAAGACAGAAGAAAGGAAACTATATATTGGAAATACACACAATAGTGTCCCCTACAAGCCTGGTGTAAAGAAGCGTATATATACATGTGTGTGCACACTAGTATTTTTGTGAATTGAAAGAGAAAGGATAGAGTTTGAGAATTTATTTAAGAAGGAACACTTTTTTAAAAATTCAGAATAGCATTTCTTTCTTTTAAAGGTCTAGGTTTTTAGTATTTTTGTTCAAGGGAAAGAATGACTGACAGCTAGCATAAACCCAGCTTAGCATTTATGTTAAAATGAAGGTAATTAGAACCTGGCTCAGGATACTCAGGGGCAACTGACTTTCCACCCTACAGTGAAAATTATTCCTTACTCTTTCTTCAAGAAAAAATGGGCTGAGCACGGTAGCTCAAGCTTGCGGTCCCAGTACTTTGGGAGGCCAAGGCAGGCAGATCCTTTGAGCACGGGAGTTCGAGACCAGCCTGGGCAACATGGTGAAAATACAAAATTTTCTCTGCAAAAAAATATAAAGATTAGCCAGGTGTGGTGGCACATGCCTGTAGTCCCAGGTGCTCAGGAGGCTGAGGTGGGATGATTGCCTGAGCCTCAGAGGTCAAGGTTGCAGTGAGCTGAGATTGTGCCACTGCACTCTAGCCCAGGTGACAGAGTGAAACCCTGTCTCTCAGGTAATAAAGAGTTGTCTCCCTCTTCCTGTTACAGATACTTTTACTAATATAGATTTCCTTTATGGATGTAAATTTCTTTTACAAAAGTGTAGCAGAAATACAGGTTCAGTAGCTGGCTACTTGCAGAGTTCGCTTACCAAGGAGGTATGGTGTAAAGAAGGTGAATTTTTGTTCCTAAAGCTAGCTTAGGAGAAGAAGTACAGGCTTCCTGCCTTAAGGGTACTGCTTCACTTCTGCAGCAGAAAGCAGGCACTTTTAAAAGGGGGCCTAACATGAATGGCACATGGGAGGAAGCAAGCAGATGGGGTATCCATGTGTTAGTTTGGTGCCTTATCTACCAGGCAGTTGAGTTGGCATCTTCGTGGGCCAAAAACTATCCAGGTGGGAGAGAGTTTTGTAGCAGGCATACTGTATTAGTTTGTTCTTGCATTGCCGTAAATACCTGAGACTGCGTAATTTATAAAGAAAAGAGATTTAATTGGCTCATGCTTCAGCACGCTTTATGGGAGGCACGATGCTGGCATCTGCTCGGCTTCCGGGGAGGCCTTAGGAAACATAGTCATGGTGGAAGGTAAAGTGGGAATGAGAACTCTTATTGCCAGAGCAGGAGCAAGAGAGAGACAGGGAGCGGGGAGGTGCTACTATGCTTTCAAACAACCAGATCTCATGAAAACTCACTCACTATCATGAGAACAACACCAAGAGGATGGTGCTAAATCATTCATGAGAAATCCACCCCCTGATCCAAGCAGCTCCCACCGGACCCCACCTCCAACATTAGGGATTACAGTTCAACATGAGATTTTGGCAGGGACACATATCTAAACTATATCACATGCTTTTGTTACCAGAAAGGGGTCCCCATCCAGGCCCCAAGAGAGGGCTCTTGGATCTCATGCAAGAAAAAATTCAGGGCAAGACCATAAAGTGAAAGTGAGTTTAGAAAGTAAAGGAATAAAAGAATGGCTACTCCACACACAGAGCAGCCCCGAGGGCTGCTGATTGCCCATTTTTATGGTTATTTCTTAAGTATCTGCTAAAAATCTCCTTATTTTAGAGCATATAGGGTAACTTCCTGATGTTGCCATGGCATTTGTAAACTGTCCTGATGCTGGTGGGAGTGTAGCAGAGGTCACTCTCATCACTATCTTGGTTTTGATGGTTTTAGCCAACTTCTTTACTGCAGCCTGTTTTATTGGTAAGGTCTTTATGACCTGTATCTTGTGCTGACCTCCTATCTCATCCTGTGACTTAGAATGCCTTAACTGTCTGGGAATGCAGCCCAGTAGGTCTCAGCCTCATTTTACCCAGCCCCTATTCAAGATGGAGTTGCTCTGGTTCAAACACCTCTGACATTTGGGGCTGTAAATTGACTATTATCTCTCAAAGCAGTCTCCCGATGGGTGAGAGTTTCGCTCTGAAGCTTGGAAGCACATAGATGAACTTGCCCCATAGGGGGTGTCTGGTGATTGGGGGTGGGTAAAAGGTTATAATTGCATTTCTAAATGACTAAGCAGGAAGTGGGGAACAGGGAAAATGCAGAAAAGAGAAAAGAAGAGAAAACAGTAAACTATAATCGTAACTTATTCTATTTTTCTTAGAAAAATGGGGGTATTCTGTAACAAAGGATAGCTTTTCGGCGCTACTACTATACCTGCAACTTCTCAGAATAACCAGCTCAAATATGCCAAAGAAATAAATTTTGGGGGTGGCATATTCTGGTCTCCCACTGTCATATTTTGGGGTGGTATGTCCTGATCCCCAACACAATGCCTGCACATAGGCGTTACAGAGGAGGAAGCTGACGCTCATAGAAGTTATAAATCTCATTCATGTTTACAGAGCTAGAAAAAAGCAGAGCTGAGATTCAAACCCACATCATGTTTGACTCCAGAGCCAGACCTTTTAACCACTACACAACACTATATCTCTTAGCAATTTGTTTTCCTAAAGCTGTTGACCTAAAGGAAGAAGCTCAGGCACAAATACAATTTTAAGAGTTTACTTAAGCCAAAGTGAGGATGGCTGCCCAGAGCACACTTTTAAGTTGCCTTGGAGAGTGCTCCCTTGGCCTTTGTTACAAGCATGTTTTTAAAGGCAAAAGAGAATAAGGAACGGGCTGTTTGACAGGAATTCTCATTGGGTTAGAGAGACCACATTGATTACTGATTGTCTATACTTTTTTTTTTTTTTGGAGATGGAGTTTCACTCTGTCGCCCAGGCTGGAATGCAGTGGCGCGATCTCGGCTCACTGCAACCTTCGCCTCCTGGGTTCAAGCAATTCTCCTGCCTCAACCTCCCAAGTAGCTGGGACTACAGGCGCAGGCCACTGCGCCTGGCTAAGTTTCGTATTTTTAGTAGAGACGGGGTTTCACCATGTTAGCCAAGCTGGTCTCGAACTTCCGGCCTCAGGTGATCCACCCACCTTGGCCTCCCAAAGTGCAGGGATTACAGGCATGAACCACCTGATACATGTGAGATCAAATCCTTTCTATAGAGTCCTACTGCTGGTAAATGGTAAATACTAGATTCAGATCCAGATCAGCAAATATGGAAACCCGTGTTCCTTCTGGTACATCCTGCTGTGTCTCACTACACTATGTGGCTGCCTTGAATGCAAACTGTTACTTATCACTGGACTGTTTTCACACACAGCACTCACCCTGAGGCAAACAGTAGCAACCTGTGCAAAGAGGCCTTGACCCCCTGGGAGCTAGCTTGACCAGATTTGGAGATTGGGCAGCCACTGTGCAACTACCAGATGAAATCACTTGGCAATGAGGAAAAGAGGCAACAGGGCTCCTTGTAGACATATACATGATACAAAACTACTAAATATACATAGAAATGATACAAAACTACTGATACAACATATGAATGATACAAACCTACTAAATATACCTAGGAATGATACAAAATTACTAATGATACAAACATAAATGATACAAAACTACTAATGATACAAACATATGAATGATACAAAACTACTAATGATACAAACATATGAATGATACAAAAACTACTAATGATACAGACCTGCTACTGATACAAACATGAATGATACAAAACTACTAATGATACAAACATACGAATGATACAAAAGTATGAAATATACCTACGAATGATACAAAATTACTGATACAAACATAAATGATACAAAACTACTAATGATACCAACATAAATGATACAAAACTACTAATGATACAAACATATGAATGATACAAAACTACTAAATGGAAACAAAACAAAAAGACCTCAGAAGGTGAATGTCCTCTTTTAAATAAATTAATTTTATATAGTATCTTTCAGGTATTTGGCTTCGTGTGAGAATTTCTTTTCTCTTTCCTTAGCTAAGAGTTTTGAAGCCTTTACAACACAATATTATGTT
Source organism: Homo sapiens (assembly GCF_000001405.40). Classification (NCBI taxonomy): domain Eukaryota; kingdom Metazoa; phylum Chordata; class Mammalia; order Primates; family Hominidae; genus Homo; species Homo sapiens. The sequence continues at coordinate 32,359,698 of NC_000010.11, read as the reverse complement.
GTATACTGTACATATGAAAAATAAATCTCAGAAGAGTAAAATGATCTATTCAAAAAAATAGGGTAAAACTATCATTCAAAAAATAGCTTATGTTTATTAAGCATGACGTTTGTGGCAAGCCCATGCTATGCTGTTTTCACTGAATGCTTGCAACAACCTAGGTAATAGATTCTGTTACAATTCCTATTTTATGGATGGGGAAACTACAGCTTTCAATAGCTTAAATTAGTGTCAAAATCTTTTAATTAAAATTCAGTGTATTCATTTTACTAGAGAAATTTTTGGAAAGAAATGTAGCTAAACATTTCTCGTTAATTTGTTATTAAACCATATATACTATCAAAGTGTAGCAATCTGCTCAATTCTAGTACCTGCCAGAATTTCATCCAATTTTATATTTAAATGTCTTATATTACACAATTTTTAGCAGGATGAAACATTTTAAGACAGTGATAAGGATAATATTTTAAATTTATAAGATCTTTATGCCTTTTCAAAGTTTATTTGGCAGACTTGAGTAATTAGATGGATAACTTGATTGGAAAAACTTCTATTTCCTTGAATTGCCTAGAATGAAATTTCCTAAAGTGTGCGCTTATAGAGCTAAAGGTAATAATTAACAGTGTACAGAAAGGGGTTCTATGGTCAGAGAACTTTGGAAAATACTGTGCTAAGCATCAGTAAATGGGTTTCTTTTCTGCAGGACTTCCCTGAGCCTATACATGGTGAGCCTCTACCTATCTTAAAGAGGAAGATTTAATAAGCAGTATTTCCCTAACTTACCAGTTTTATACAGAATTCTTTACATAACTCTCATTTCAGAACATCAGTATTTTATGGAGCCTAGTTTTTGAAAATGCTAAACTAATATCTGGAAAGAAATACTGATATTTAAATCCTAGGTGCTTGTCATCTACTCAGACAGATGATGAAGCAGCTAACCTTCATTTGTGTAGACTTGGCACTATCATTATTCAAAGAACAGCAGACATTGGTTCTGTGCCTTAAACCGTGAAAATTTAAACCCACTTTCTTCCCCCCCCGCCCCCGCTTTTTTTTTTTTTTTTACTCCGTTCCCCAGGCTGGAGTGCAGTGACGCGATCACAGTCCACTACAGCCTCAACCTCCTAGGCTCAAGTGATCCTCCCACCTCAGCCTCCCAAGTAGCTAGGACTACAGGTGTGCACCACCACACCCTGGCTAATTTTTGTATTTTTTGTAGAGATGGGGTCTCATTATGTTGCCCAGGCTTGTCTCAAACTCCTGGGTGCAAGTGATCCTCCTGCTTCAGCCTTGAAAAGTGCTGGGTTTAAAGGTGTGAGACACCACACCCATCCTAAACCCACTTTTTATTTTTATTTTAAAAGTACTATTCAGATTATACGTGTTCTTTATAACAATGAAAAGTCAGTGCATTCTATACTTTAAGAGGGTAATTCTTAAGTAAATTGTTTTACAGATGCTAGATAAGTATCTTTGTCAAATAATAGTCTCAGAAGAGTATTTAATGAGATGGGAGCATTCTCAAATTATACTGAGAAGTAGCCTGGGCGTGATGGCTCATGCCTGTAATCCCACCACTTTGGGAGGCTGAGGCGGGTGGATCACTTGAGGTCAGGAGTTCGAGACTAGCCTGGCCAACATGGTGAAACCTTGTCTCCACTAAAAATACAAAAATTAGCTGGGTAAGGTGGCAGGCACCTGTAATCCCAGCTACTCGGGAGGCTGAGGCAGGAGAATCTCATGAATCCGGGAGGTGGAGGTTGCAGTGAGTGGAGATCATGCCATTACATTCCAGCCTGGCAACAGAGTGAGACTCTGTCTAAAAAAAAAAAAAAAAAAAAAAATTTATTGAGAAGGCCACAAAACAGAATAAACTGTATTATCTCTATATTGTAAAACCAGCCAATGAAAAGCAAAAACAAAAACTAACAAATGGGGCCAGGCATGGTGAATCACACCTATGATCCCAGCACTTTAGAAGGCTGAGGCAGGAGGACTGCTTGAGGTCAGGAGTGCAAGATCAGCCTAGCCAACGTAGCAAGACCCTGTCTCTAGAAAACAATTAAAAAATTATCCAGACATGGTGGCACGCACCTGTAGTCCCAGCTACTGAAGGCTGAGGCAGAAGGATCACTTGAATCCAGAAGTTTGAGGCTGCAGTGAGCCGTGATAGCACAACTGCACTGCAGCCTGGGCCACAAAGCAAGATCCTGTGTCAAAACCACAACAAAACTAACAAACAAAACCAGAAAAGACCAGAAGAAACAGAAACACAAAGTGTTAACCTTATTATAAATAAATCAATTGAAACAAAAAATATTATCTCGTTCCAATATACATGCTGCTGCAGTGCAACTGTCTTATTTTTTGTCTTATGCGTCTCGTGTTTGGGAAACCAAATTCAGAAGAAATCTTAAGATCTGGATGTGGCTTTTACCTGTGTCAGTAATTCATGTAGAGAAGTCATGTAGGTCTTTGGTTTCCAAGCTTCTACAGCTTTAACTCTGGAAGATACGTCATGTACTCTGTTCTAACATGGGAGGCGCTGAGGATGATAGCTACTCTGTGTCCCTGGCTATGTCCTGAAGCTTAACTGATTTTTGACTTCAAAGTGGTCTCATTCTTGTGAACAAGTACTTAAACAATGATTATAGGAGGGTACTGGGAAATCACTTTTTTGGGGGCTTTGGTAAATTTTTTTATTTTTATTTTTTTGATGCGGAGTCTCGCTCCCTCGCCCAGGCTGGAGTGCAGTGGTGCGATCTCAGCTCACTGCAAGCTCCGCCTCCCGGGTTCACGCCATTCTCCTGCCTCAGCCTCCCGAGTTGGGACTACAGGTGCCCACCACCACGCCCAGCTAATTTTTTGTATTTTTAGTAGAGATGGGGTTTCACCGTGTTAGGCAGGATGGTCTCGATCTCCTGACCCCGTGATCCGCCCGCCTCGGCCTCCCAAAGTGCTGGGATTACAGGCGTGAGCCACCGCGCCTGGCGGTAAATGTTTAATCAACGTGCGCAGGCACCACTAGGCCTATAACTTCCAATTCACGGCTCAGCTCACAGAGTCTATTTTCCTCCCACGGTGTCCTAAAGAAAATGGGTTTACTGTGACCTCCTCATTCTTTTTGATTCTCCTCGTTGATCTCCTCCTTGAAATGCTGACCTCATTTGGCTTGTCTCCAGGCTTGTCCCAGCCTCTCCCTCTGTTCTTGTCCTGGGTATCTTCTAGATGTTGGTATTCCCCAGGGCTCCATTCTCTATGCTCCTCTCTCACTCCCTGAGTGAGTCTTCACACCAAGAATCCCACTCCATGGGCTTCCAGTCATTCACTTTCCCTTCCCTGCTCTGAAAGGGAAGGGGAACTAGATTCACAGTGCTTACCTAAGCAATTGGCACAATGTTACTCAAGGTGTCATGGAGAAGAATAAATATAGTGAAAGATAAAACATTTTATTTCACTAATCTTAATTTATTAGATGATAATTCTGTACCCCAAGTTTCAGTAAGAAAACAGAATTTCCTTCCTCGTGTTATAAAAGCAAAAGCAATTCATGATATTTTCTCTCTCGAAGCCCTTCCTCCCTGACAGTCTTTGTCTACCACCCACTAATAAATTGTACTTAAATGTTCCAACATATGTTTCTACTTCATTAACAATTTTTCTCTAAATTTTGTTCCTTTGTTCCTTCACCCATCATGTACCATCTGTACCATACTGATTTGTATGTGCATTACTTAGTAAAACTAATGCTTAAGTAGTCTATCTACTCAAAAGTGTAAGGCACTGGCCAGGTGCAGTGGCTTACACCTGTAATCCCAGCACTTTGGGAGGCCAAAGCAGGCAGATCACCTGCGGTCTGGAGTTCAAGACCAGCCTGGCCAACATGGTGAAACCTTGTCTCTACTAAAAATACAAAAATTAGCTGGGTGTGGTGGCGCACGCCTGTAGTCCCAGCTACTCGGGAGGCTGAGGCAGGAGAATGGCTTGAACTCAGGAGGCGGAGGTTGCAGCCAAGATCATGCCACTGCACTCTAGCCTGGTCAACTCTGTCCCAAAAAAAAAAAAAAAAAAAAAAAAAAAAAAAAAAAGGGTAAGGCACTAAAGGTAGTGTGTTCTTTGTTTTTGTCTTTCTACCATTTATAACCTTGCACCAATGCCTGGCCTACACATAGTAATCTGTCAGTATGTGCCAGTCAATGGATTTAATGGGTTGACAGTAATTTAACGTAATCCAGTTTAGATAAATACCACCAAATATTTCTAAAATGTATACAGTTTAATTTGTACATTTTTCTAAGATAGACTTTTATTCTGAGAAATTAATTGTTGGGATGAGACATGGAAGAGACTACCGAATAGTTCCTCTGCTAAGGAGTAAATTATTATTTTTCAAGTTCAGTTTCTCAACAGTTTCCTGTTCACGCATCCCACCACTTCTCCAACTGCAACTAGTAGTATCCTCCTTAAAATGCTGTCATAGAGGTATCAACTGCTTGCCAGCACAGTGAGGAAAAGATCAGATGATTTACAGCAGTGGTCCCCAGTCTTTTTGGCACCAGGGACTAGTTTCATGGGAGACAACTTTTCTATGGATCCAGGGGAGGGAGTGCTCCCCCTATGAGGATGATTCAAGTGCATTACATTTATTGTGCACTTTCTTTCTATTATTATTACATTGTAATATATAATGAAACAGTTCTACAACTCACCATAATGTAGAATCAGTGGGAGCCCTGAGCTTGTTTTCCTGCAACTAGACAGTCCTATGTGGGGACAGTGATGGGAGGCAGTGACAGATCATCAGGCATTAGATTCTCATAAGGAACATGCAACCCAGATCCCTCAATGTGCAGCTCAGAATAAGGCTTGAGGTCCTATGAGAATCTAATGCCGGGTGAAGCTTGGGTGGTAATGTGGGCACTAGGGATTGGCTGTAAATACAGATGAAGCTTTGCTGGCTTGCCTGCCACCCACTTCTGTGCTGTGTGGCCAGTTACACATTACACATTTACAATAAATGTGTAAATCCCAATACATTTACACATTTATTGTGTAAATCCTAAGGTTATAGAAAACCTAAACCTTAGGATTTACACAATAAATGTGTAAAGACATTCTATTTAGATTACATAGAAAATCTAAAATGTATTGTGTGACATCTTTTTTAAATCCCAATACTGCTGCAACTACAATTCTCAGATAGTCCCATTTGTTTAAATCACGCATTTTCTTTCTTTTTTTTGAGGCAGAGTCTCACTCTGTCGCCCAGGCTGGAGTGCAGTGGCACAATCTTGGCTCACTTCAAGCTCCGCCTCCCGGGTCCACACCATTCTCCTACCTCAGCCTCCCAAGTAGCTGGGATTACAGGCGCCCACCACCATGCCCAGCTAATTTTTTGTATTGAATCATGCATTTTTCATTTCTTTTTTGTTGTTGTTGTTAAACTTCATATTGAAGATAAAGTTAAACTGAAATAACTTTGAGTCCATCCTGCTACTGTTTGCTAAGATTGATAATTTGCCCTTTATTCTCTTAAGGTACAGATATATTGTTTCTAAATATATTCTGAATGATTTTATTTTATGTGAAAAATAGTTCTTAAAGATTATGTACAGACCTCCATGCACAAATTACTCAGTAAGGAAATCAGTACTTCAGATATTGTTTCTGTGACACCTTAGTAAATATATTGAAAGGCAACTGTAATATTTTCTTTCCAACATTTCCTAGATGAAAAAAACAACATACTATAAAGGGCTTCCAGTGTTTGTTTACCTAAATGTTATGGTGGAAGAATTGTTTGCAGTCATTTCTTTATGTAGCTTATTATGAAAGTAAAAAGCAGGAAGTTAAGAGAAATGATTAGAAATGATTACTTCAAGTGATAATGTATTCAGTATTCATACTTTTGCAGAATGCTTTAAATTATTGCACTACATCACTTTTTAATGTAGAGATCATTGTGCATTTACATGGTTTAAAGATATTAATTTCACATTTTCCCAATTAAATACAAATACAGTACCTCACTTTATTATTAGTCCCGTGAGGATGTAGAGACCATATCTTGTTTATTATTGTTTCTCCAACACAAACTGTCTTGCCTTAGCTCTTAGTAAACATTTGATAAATATTTGTTGAATGCTTGAAGAAATGAGGAATCCGGACTCCTGCTACCAAAACCAGTATTATGATTTTTAATCTTGTTGTCCCATCAAAGAGAGTTTAACTCTTTGCATCACTGTCCATTCTGGCTGTCATTCTTTCCTGCCTGGCTCAGAAAAAGACAGCCCTAAAATTAACCCATTTAAATGATTCTTTGCTTTTAGTATACAAACATGCCCACATCTCTCCTACTTTCAAAAACAATGAAACCCTTGACTTCAAATAGCTACCCCTTTCTCTCTCTCTTTGCCCTTCATTACCAACCCTCTTAAACATCTCTTTCTTCGATTCTAGTTCGCACTTCACTTCAATCTGGGACTGCACTCTGGAATCAGATACCAGGGATTTCTTTTTTTGCTTTTTTTTTTTTTTTTTGAAATGGAGTTGTGCTCTTGTTGCCCAGGTTGGAGTGCAATGGCGCGATCTTGGCTCATTGCAACCTCCGCCTCCTTGGTTCAAGGTATTTTTCTGCCTCAGCCTCCTGAGTAGCTGGGATTACAGGCATGTGCCACCACGCCCAGCTAATTTTATATTTTTAGTAGAGACAGGGTTTCTCCGTGTTGGTCAGGCTAGTCTTGTACTCCCCACCTCAGGTAATCTGTCCGCTTCAGCCTCCCAAAGTGCTGGGATTACAGGTGTGAGCCACTGTGTCTGGCCAGATAGATACTAGGGATACTAAGCACTGCCTCTTATCAGCTTCCTGGCCATAAGCCAGTCACACAACCTCTCTAAACCCAACAGGAAATACCTAACAGGGCTGTCACGAAAATTGAGATAATGCATTTAAAGTATTTCTGCATCACCTAGTACATACTAGGTGTTCCATAAATGGTAGCTATTCTTCCTGTTGACTGAAAGCATAATAGGAGCTCAGAGATGAGAAAGACTGGGGGAGGCTTATTTTGCATTTACCTAACTGCTCACCGATGCTTCAGATTAGGAAATTAGGGCCCAGAGAGTTTAAGTAGTCAATGTTTCATGGGGGAGGTGATATTTGAGCTGGATTTTGAAGAATAATAACAATATCTTACATCTATTGAGGGTTCACTGTGGGCCAGGGATGATTCTAAGTGCTTTACATGGTTTGTTTTACTTAGTGTCCAAAACATTCCTGTGAAATAGGATTTCGGTAGACAGTCTGAGGCAGGACAGGGAGGACAGACTGAAAAGAATCAATACAGCTGGGCGGGGCGCAGTGGCTCACTCCTGTAATCCCAGCACTTTGGGAGGCTGAGGCGGGTGGATCACGAGGTCAGGAGATCGAGACCATCCTGGCTAACACAGTGAAACCCCATCTCTACTAAAAATTAAAAAAAAAATTAGCCGGGCGTGGTGGCAGGTGCCTGTAGTCCCAGCTACTCAGGAGGCTGAGGCAGAAGAATGGCGTGAACCTGGGAGGCGGAGGTTGCAGTGAGCCGAGATTGCGCCACTGCACTCCAGCCTGGGCGACAGAGCGAGACTCTGTTTCAAAAAAAAAAAAAAAAAAAATCAATATGGCTGGGCACGATGGTTCATGCCTGTCATCCCAGCACTTTGGGAGGACGAGGTGGGTGGATCACCTGAGATCAGGAGTTTGAGACCAGCCTGGCCAACATATGGTGAAACCCTGTCCTTACTAAAAAAAATACAAAAATTAGCCGGGCGTGATGGCGCACACTTGTAATCCCAGCTACTTGTGAAGCTGAGGTAGGAGAATCACTTGAACCCGGGAGGTGGAGGTTGCAGTGAGCCGAGATCACGCCACTGCACTCCAGCCTGGGCAACAGAGCAAGACTCCATCTCTCAAAATAAAATAAATAAATAAATAAATAATCAAAAGAATGAATAAAAACCTGGAGGCAGGAAAGACACGCTGATTTTTTTTCTTTTTTTAAGATGGAGTTTCGCTCTTATTGCCCAGCCCGGAGTGCAATGGTGCAATCTCGGCTCACTGCAACCTCCACCTCCCGGGTTAAAGCGATTCTCCTGCCTCAGCCTCCTGAGTAGCTGGGATTACAGGCGTGCACCACCATGCCTGGCTAATTTTTTGTATTTTTAGTAGAGATAGGGTTTCATCATGTTGGCCAGGCTGGTCGTGAACTCCTGACCTCAGGTGATCCACTCTCCTCGGCCTCCCAAAGTACTGGGATTACAGGCATGAGCCACCGCACCCAGCCGACATGCTGATTTCTGAAGATGGTGATGAGACTGCTAGCTAGAGTGAAAAGCTTGTCTTAAGCAATAATGACAAACGATGTTGGACAGAGTGGGGCAAAATTACAGGAGGTCTTGACAACCAAACACTCGAAAATTTGGCTTTATCTAATGGGCAAAACAAGAGCAGTTATAAAGATATGACTTGGGGAAGGGAAGATACAGAATGAAGTACAGTTTTTGGCACACTGACTTGGTGACATGCATTGTGAGGCCCCAGGGACCCAGAGCCTCTGCTTCCACTTTTGGTTACCACTAGCCACCAACAGAAGAGTACCAGCACAGTTTCCTATAAAGTGAGGGCTTTAAAAAGGTTTATTGAGGGAATGAGTAAATAAAGGATGGACTGAATAAATAAAGGATGAATGGGAGGCTGTTTCTAGGGGTGAAGTGATCAGAGTTGGGACTATGTTTAAGACAATGGAAATGGAAATTGGGAAGTAAATCCCAGAAACAATTTCAAAGAAGAAATCATAAGACTTGGATACATACCGAACATAAACTACTATTTAGAGCTGTATTTCAAATGTATTAGTTACCACAGAATGCAGTGTCAGAGCAGTTGCCTTTGGCATATTCTAAGTTTTTGTTAAGTAGAAATTCTGTATTTGGAACAGAAATCACATTTCTTGTGCTATTATATGTAATGATTATTACCATGAAAACTCATGTCTCTTTACTTTCTACTCCTACTCCATCCACCCAAGTTCTTACCAGTTTTATCTCCTAATTGGCTTGTTGTTGGAGTCTCCTACTGAACTCCGGCCAAATAAACCTCCTCATCCTCAATCATACCTGACAGTTGCCGCCTCTCACCCTTTTGTTCATACAGTTGCGTTCCCCCATGAATGTTCTTTCTTCTATAATAGCATTTCATTCCCATGAGCAGTTGAAACCTTAGCCATCCTTCAGAATCAGATCGCATGCTGCTTCTCCATGCTGTCTGATCAACCCAGATGGGACCTACTGCTCTCTTTTCTGAACTCCCATAGCCACTGCATTTCATTATACTGCCTTGCCACTTGGGCAACTGGGTATCCATTTACCAGTGTTTTATTTGTATCCCCTACAATGACAGTACTGTGTGTTACCTGGTTATCCAATACATATTTGTGACATCAAACTATCTTAAATACTCCAAATCCTTTCCCAAACAAGAGTTTCCCTCTGCCGTTAGGGTATTCACCTTTGCCCTAGCATACATTGTTTGCAACATCGAGAATTTCACATCACTTTTGTTGGGGATACTTAGAAAAAGAAGGAATTTTAAGTTGAGAACAGAAAAGAATTTTTAAAGTGAAAGTACAGGATTAACCATTTTTTCAAGGAATCTTTCGGACAGATAAAAGAATCTAGGGAAAACTAAACCTGAATCTTTACTGCTGCCTTCCTGTCCCTTAAGGTGAAGAAAAGTGAACTGCATAAAAAAGAGGCATGGGTCCGAACGCAGTGGCTCACACCTGTAATCCCAGCACTTTGGGAGGCCGAGGTGGGAGGACTGCTTGAGGTCAGGAGCTCAGGAGCAGCCTGGGCAACAGAGGGAGGCCCTGTCTTTAGAAAAAATTTAGAAATTAGCAGGGTATGGTGGCATGTACCTTTAGTCCCAGCTACTGATGGCTGAGGCAGGAGGATCACTTGAGCCCAGGAGTTCAAGCCTGCAGTAAGCCATGATCACAACACTGAACTCAGGCCTGGGAGATAGAGACACTGTCTCTAAAAAACAAAAATTTCAAAAAAGGGTTTTTTTGTTTGTTTGTTTGTTTTAATTTTATAAAAGAGGCTTGGGACTCCAGCCTTTGAGTCCTTGGGAACCCAGAAGGACCTGAGAGTTGGAAATCCACAGCATTGAGGAGACGGATAAAGGAATGATGAGAAAAAGGTGTCTCTTAGCAGGCATATAATATTATCTGCCAAAAGGCAAGTGAATCTGTAAGCTTATCTGTGAATTTGCCACGGAGGGTGATTTTAGACTCTCTAGAGAATAAGAAATTTTTTTGTACTCCACCCATTATTACTAATGTAGGATGTGGAAATAGTTATTTTGTTGTTTACTGTTATTTTAATGAGGGTAGAAATAATTCATTTCCTTGGTTCACTCTTGACTTACTCTATTTTGTTCTTAAAATCTTAGGCTCCTCAATTATGAATTCTACTGCTAGGACTTTCAGGAACCTAATGTTGTAGGCTGGAGAGGGCTGTCAGAATAATATTCAGCCAGTATTTTCGGAACTGTTAAACCTGGCTAAACAGGTGTCATTCCACAGTGAAGTTGGCAATTCTTGAGGCTCCCAGAAAGTGACTGCTATCTAATGACTCAGCTTGTGGATACGTCGCTACCGTTGTCTTAAGATACCTTTCTTCCCTTCATTTTTACTTTTTTTGCAAAGTTAACCCACACTTATCCTACATAATTTTACTCAGATATCATCTCTTCCAAAAAGTCTTCCCTTGCTACTTCATTAGAACTACTCTCCTGGGTTGGGCGCCACTCTTGCCCCTTCCCACAGTGGCCTGGGCTTCCACCATAACACTTAGCTCGCCGTGTGGCAGTTGCCATTCGCGGGTCCTTCTCCCCACTGTGTAAGCTCCTCCAGGAGCCCTGTGGGTGCCAAGCTGACTTGGAAGGCTATGAGGGCTCAATACACACCCTCAATACTCATTGAATGAATAAAGGCACGGTCTCTGTGTAGGAAATGCAGGTGAACGTCCTTATGCCTCACTTAAGTGAGCTGCCAATATCGGAGTTTAAGTATAATTTTGGAGAACTGCAATCCGTCCTGTTTTCTCCCTACCCCGCGGGAGCTGGCTAAACCAGCCTGGAGGCTAGCAGTTTGCCTGTGTGCCCTAAGCTAGTGACAGCTCATATCAAGCCCAGTATTTAAGGAGCGTGATTACTTTTACTACGTAGTTCCCAGGGAGAAAAGCAACTCAAAACATTTTTGTATCTTTTTGTATCTTGTTGCACAAGATACAAAATTGTGCACTAAGATACAAATTGAAACTCGAATTGAAATTTGGCTGCCAATTTATTAAACCCACCCCAACAATCTTCCCTATTAACAACAACAACAACGAAGAGATCTCAGGATACCCATTTTCATGTGTAATATAAACCGATGCCACCCATCTATCATATCCATCTAAATCTAATAATTCAGCTTTTTGTTTGGCGGGAGTACGACAGGTCTTTATATGATTCAATGTTACAAAGTTTTTCAGAGGACAAATGATGAAAGTGTGAACCCACGGCTATGATGAAGCCGCAGTCTCTTTGAGTACAGAATCATGAGCTAGATATAAAGAACTGGCTTTAAATTCTGAAGTAGATCTTGCTTTTAAATGTTATAGTGGTGGGTAATAATTTCCTTTGCTTCAGTTACTATTTAAAAAGTAAATATGTGTAGATGAAAATGCAGGATTTAAAAAAATCTACTTTGTAGAATAGGATACCTATCATTTATATTAAGCCCAATGCGTGGGAAACGGATCAATGACTTGATGCGGTGCCTATAAAACATTATAATCCAAAGTTGCATTAGGACATAAAAATAACTGCTGATAAAAGTTTACTCAAAGTAGCATCTGCCCCTAATTCAGTTTGTATTTTTATCGTAAAGACCTAAGGCGCCGCGGGAACTAGGCTGTGCGTTCGCCCCCCGCGGCAGACGGCGGCGCGCGGCGCCTCTGGAGCGCCCCTCCGAAGCCCCGTGGGGGCGGCCGTGGCCCCGGGGCAGCCGCTGGCGAGCACCCCAGAGGTCCGAGCCCTCCGAGCCCCAGGTGCCCGGGGCCCGAGCCCCGCCTGCCACTCTCCCCAGCTGCCTTTCCAAACGGCGGCGTGCTGGTGGAGAGAGTTTTCCCGCACCTTGTTCGCCCGTCAGAAAGCGGCGCCGGGAGGGAGCGAGCGTGAGAAAGTGAGCGTGTGCGCTGCAGGAGAGCACGACCCAAGAGCCGGCGCCCGGTGTCCGAGCGCCCAGTCCGCCCTGTCCGCCCCCGGACCCGCGAAGGGCGGGGGCCCGGAGCAGCGAGGCGCGGGAAGCGAGGCCGGCGGGTGCCGGGGGTTGGCGGGACGCGCGCTTCGTGCCGGCGCCGGCCTCGAGCCCGCGCTCCCTCCCCCCGCCCGCGTGCCCGCGCCGCTGCGCGATGCAGTGTGGGGAATGGCTGGGGTTGGCTGAAGAGCGCACAGTGGAGTTTTAATGTCCGCCATGTTGGCCATGGCGTATTGAAGAGAGCGAGCGAGAGAGGAGCGGAGCGGCACAGCCTCCCACCCTCCCGGCTGGTGTTAGTGCCCGGACGGCGGGCTCTGCGCTCCGCCCCTCAAGTCCCCGGCAGCGGTTGGCGAGTGGGGACCGAACCCCCGGTTCTCCATGATCCCGCTGGCCGGGGCCGTTTCCCCAGAGCGGAGAGGTATCTGCTGCGCCTGAGATGAGTAAACTGTCGTTTCGGGCGCGGGCGCTAGACGCCTCGAAGCCGCTGCCGGTTTTCCGCTGTGAGGATCTGCCCGACCTGCACGAATACGCCTCGATAAACAGGGCCGTGCCGCAGATGCCCACCGGAATGGAGAAGGAAGAGGAGTCGGTACGTGTTAACTCCCCTGTCCGACCCACCGTCAGGCCCGCTCCCTCTGCTGCCTGCGGCGGCGGCGGAGCAGCAAACCCACACAAAATGGCCGCCATCTTCTCTTCGCCGCCGACTCTCAGTCGCCGGCCGGGCCTATACCCCGCCTCCCCCAGCCTCGACCCCCGGCCGCCGCGGCCCAGCGGGGCCCCTTCTAAGGCCACCCGCTGACCCTGGCCACTTGTACCCGGGTCCCGCGGAGTTCGGGGGCCCGAAAGGCACAAAGGGGTCACGTGACGAAGCTGCCGGCAGCCATTTTGTGTCTTAGTTCTTGGGTTGGGCCTTGTGCATCCGGAGAGGGGAACGGGCTGGGTGGCTGTGGGGGTGCGGCGAGTCGGGAGCCGTGGAGGACCCGCCTACAGGCCTCTCCGTGGGCCGCTGGGTGGCGCTCCAGGGCCACTGCGGCCTGCGCGCCGCTGCCCGGGCCGGGAGCGCAGGTTCTGTGCACAGTCGGGGAATTTGATTGCCCCATGGTCTGGGAAGCTTGTTGGGCTCAGTGCAGCCCCCACGTGGAGCCTCAGACGGGCATGTCATGTCGCCTGCTGCTCTATGAGGCTTTTCTCCCCCTCTGCAAGGAAATGTCGAGGGTGCAGCGTGTTTGCCCGGACGACTTACTTTTCTAGAAGATAAGACTTACTTTCAGTGTCCTCTTTCTGGGACGTTTGTATCCATCCCTCTCCAGAGCTAGTTGGTCGGAGGATAATAAACCACTATCCCTGACTTTTTCTGTGATCCTTGCGAATATCTTGCAGATTTGTTTGGAGTACCTCTCTCTTCTGAAGCCTGTAACCTTACCTATTTGTAAAATAAATTTAAGTTCTCCTGCTCTCTGGTATCTCAACATAGGGGGAGAAAAGACCCAATTTAAGTAACTTTTATAGATCTAAATTTCGAAGGAGGATCCTTTCTTATTCAAAACCGAACTAAAACTAAGTGACTTGATTCACAGAAATCTTAATATTGAGATGTCTAAATTGGGTGGGTTTCAGCACGTAAATGTTGACAACTAATAGACATTTTACCATCGCTGTGGCTTTACCTTGTTGTGGAAGTTGGGTTCGGACACCAGGATAATAGAATCTTCCTCTCATTTCCCCCAGATCCTTGACAGTATAACTTGATGACTTCTAATCCTAAGGAATTGCATACCTTGGTTTTCAGGTACAGCCATTTAAACAGGGTGCAGTGTATTGACAGTTCAAGGAAGTCCAGGAGTCGCGTGGATTTGTGTGCTACAATTTTGTTGTGGAAAATTGTACTGTAATACTTCTCTTGGTACTGTAAGAATTTTTAATGTAGAAATTATGCTCTGTAATGTTGTTTTTGGAAATAAAACTGTTTAAACTCTTTGGGTTGTTTAACCTTTTAAAGTGAAATAGCTGTGACAGTGAAATGTTACTTTTGAGAGTAGTGTCTTAAATCTAACTTTACAGATAAGCCAAGTGTATGTAGTAGCTCAGATTGTCTAGTTGGGCACTGACTTTCAGCACATTGTCTCATGAGACACTACCTCTTAATTTATTTTACTTGTATCAACTTTAGAGTAGCATGGCCATTTGTTTATTTTTTAATAAGTGATTTGTTTTTAAAAATTAAAGTACTTGTGACTGCAGAATCTTGTCTTTTGGTTTTATTTTTATTTCTAAGTTTTACAGATAATACTTTCAAGTATTGGGGTGTTGGTTTTACCCTGCCCTGGAAATTAATTTGTAATTCTTGTTCAGCAGCCAAGGAAGGGGAAAGCCTTGATTAAAGCAAGACAGCACAACAGTACACTTTAGACTTTAGTTAAGTCTTGCTTCTGTGAATACTTTGGACAGTCCCAAGAGTTACAACCTGAAGTCAGAGCTGAGCTCAATGAAGTATCAGTGCTTGTTAAATTTTACGGGTAATTTTTATTCGCTGAAATAATTTAGATTTTTCTTCTTTTCTTTTCTGAGATGGAGTCTCACTCTGTTGCCCAGGCTGGAGTGCAGTGGCAGCATCTCGGCTCACTACAACCCTCCGCCTCCCGAGTTCAAGTGATTCTCCTTCCTCAGCCTCCCCAGTAGCTGGGATTATAGGCGCTTGCCACCGCGCCCGGCCGATTTTTATACTTTTAACAGAGACGGGGTTTTGCCATGTTGGCCAGACTGGTTTTGAACTCCTGACCTCAGGTGATCCGCCCGCCTCGACCTCCCAAAGTGCTGGGATTACAGGCATGAGCCACCGCGCCCGGCCAATTTTGACATTTTATACTGCAGTGGCTATCAATAGTTTGTAACATGTGGAGTCCCTAATTTTGAAACACAGGGATTTTTTTTTTTCTTCAGATTGCCTTTTCCAAATATCTGTTTAGAATTTTTCACTTCACATCCAACCAAAGCTATGTATGAGGAGAGAAGCATAGACCTCAAGAATAGACACTGAACCTAATGGAAGAATGTAAAAAGTACCTGGTAAACAAGCTGCTTTACAGTCCTGTGGTTCATGCTGTTAGTGGTAGGGTGTGTAAATCATAATATTGAAAGTAGTGTGTTATGCAGTGTTGAAAAGGTATATTAAACATAAAGGTAATTGAATTCTGGATTCTCCATAGAAAAACAAACTTTTTGATGTGCGGAAGTATTTTGTACTTCTAATAAAGAGGAAGGGTTAAAGCAAACTTCTGCCTTTAACTGACACATTAGTTATTTGTTATCTTATTAGGTCACTGTAACCTAGAACCTGAACTGACTGTCTTAGAAAAAAAAGTATGTAGTCCTATGTTGGTCCTGAAAGGTGAGGGCAGTTTTTTTATACACCACCTGATTAAAGCATTTTATTGATCAAAATAATCTGCAGAATTGTCATGTGAAATACACCTAGTAATTGTTACGTTGTTTCTGGATATACTTGACAGAAATCCAGGTCTTTTAACATTGGGAAAATAAGTATTATTCGTGTATTCCCATTTAACCAGTTTTAATACTATGAGCTGCACACACGGGCCTAACGAGGCAGACTTTTTAAGAAACAACTTTAAGTAGAAGCCCTTACACCCCCCCCCCAAAATAATTTGGAGGCAGAAAATGTTACTGAACTTATCTATTTTTTTAATTGTAGTAGTACTGAAAAAGTAACTTCAGATTGTGGTAAATTGAAGGATTTGACTGGGTCAAAGATGTTAGAGATTAAATGTGAATTCGCAGAATGTAATGCATCGAAATTTGCTAAGTCTGAAAGTAACAGATTGGCAGGATGCGGTGGCTCACGCCTGTAATCCCAGCACTTTGGGAGGCCGAGGCGGGTGGATCACCTGAGGTCAGGAGTTCGAGACCAGCCTGGCCAACATGGTGAAACCCTGTCTCTACTAAAAATACAAAAATTAGCCAGCCGTGGTGGCAGCTGCCTGTAATCCCAGCTATTCGGGAGGCTGAGGCAGGAGAATCGCTTGAACCCGGGAGGTGGAAGTTGCAGAGAGCTGAGATCCCCCCACTGCACTCACAGCCTGTGCAAGAAGAGCGAAACTCGTTTCAGAAAAAATAATTTAATTAAAAATAAAGTAACGGATGATGAAAACAATGTATTTAATGAAGTACAGATGTGACTTAAATCACAGCGAAATAATAGACTTTCAGCTCTGAGATAATTGAGTCCCTTTGGGGTTTAAAAAAAGATAAAAGTTTAAACAAGTGCTTGGTTGGTGTGGGGCATATGTCCTATTATGAATATTTTACAATGTTAACTTTAAGATTATAATTTAATTATCTTTATAATCTTAAATCTTGTGCTACGGCTTCGCATTCTATTGAAAGGTTAAACTTACCAAATGGATTAATACTATCAAATCTTTTTATTAAAATTGACTCTTGATTAAAATTGGAGCTTTATGTTGTTAACAATTCTCCTTTATGGAAACATCACTTTTAAAAAGTCGATTTTAAAATGATGTTTAGCAAAATGGAGCTACTGTTCCACAGTAGTTTAACTTTTCATTGGGTTGTCTAGGGTGCGTTGTTCCATTTATGAGGGGGTGGCAACTTAACCTTTCCTCTCCTGTTACCTAGACTGGTTTGGGGAGGAGATTTGGTGTAATTAAGATGTTAATGATGTTTTCATATTGATACTACCCTACAGTCACCTTTGAAACTGTTACAAGTAGGATCTAACCACCATAATCCAGCACCTTGGTTCTATAGGATTCTAACAGGACAGGATGGTCTTTATACTCCCACCTTTTCTGTATTACTGGCACAATATACATTGTTACTAAGCCCAAGTTAAGAACTATTTATAAGAAGTGGATGGGAGTTGTTTGTTTTTAATTATGGGGAAATGGGAAATATGTACATATCCTTGATATGAGAAAAAAATGGTTACCCCATTTCCAAAACTTAGTAATAAAAACCTAGTTTAAATTTAAATCACTTTGAAAGAAACCAACAGTCTCTTTCTTTAACCTTTAATATTTTAAACCAATATTTTTAGTCCCTTTATCTGGAGCTGTAAAGATCAATCTAGATTTCTCCATTCTATCCACTCTCTTGGAAGTGAAGAGAAATACATGAAATCTCAATTATAGTAGAAGCAAAGTTTAACAAACTAATTACAGATAGTTTGAATTAGAAAAGAATTGAGAGTATGGGGATTTTTGCATTAGATTACAATTACTTCAGATAAAATCAAAGAGAATTAATAAAATGTTTCAGCTTTCTATACTGTCCAAAGGTATTTTTGCATAAAGTTGCTAAGCTAGGGTTCTGAGGATTATGTGGAAATAATTCTGGAAGTGATGGATTCCCACCATATGCCTATAAAATGTTAGAATATATTTTTCTAGGGAGAAGGTTCACACTTGTCATCAATTTCTCAAAGTATCGGTAATGGGCTGGGGCAGAAAGCCCAGGGGTTAAGATCAGCTGTTCCATAAATTTCAAACTGAGTCATTTTGGTTTTATCTCAGTTTGGCAGTTACTAAATAGACTTAGTCAAAGGAGGATAATTGAAAAAGGACAGGCAGTCCAGGAAGAGACTAAGGATTCTTGAATACAGAAGGGACCTTTTGAACACTTTACATGCCTATGCACCTGAAATGTTAGTATTAACTTTTGTTTCAGTATACCATTTGAATGTGTTTATGTATCTAATGGTATTTTGTGGGTGCTTTTCATGATCAGCAATGGCATTTGTACTGAATTACATTTTTTTCTGTTAATAGGACTTAATTAAAAGTACTGCCTACAGTGTAGCTTAAATTTTGTAAACGAGAGAAAAAATTCTGCATAAAGGTTCATGAATGTGTGGGCAGGATTAAATATACCAACCAATCCTGTTAAAAATGGCTGGGTTTTAGTTTTATATTTTGCATTCTACTGTGTCATGGTATGTACTGGTAGTAATGGTAGAAACATAGAATCTATACACACACACAGACACACACACACAGACATGTGTCCATGTTTTAAAGCACTTAGTAATGGCAAGAGTCCTTTTTATGTATGTAAAGATGTGATTTCTGATTACATTTATTACTCAATTTTCTTGAAAAGTTAAGGATGCTTAATTGTTAACAGCAGTTAGTTAAAAGCAGAAGATAGCATTTTAAGGGAGCAATAATACCATGGAATTGTATCATTTGTGATTGTACTTCTTAGAAGAAGAGATGCACAAGGAAATGAGAATTTTATATTGTAATTCAGGAATAAAAAGAATTGAGCGTGTCTAAGGGCAAAAGTGATATGAAAGTATGACATACTTTCAGAGACAACTAGAGTATGTATTTACTTTTAAAGTAGACTTTTGGAACACTGAAGTGTGACTTGCATTGATAACAATAACTTTTTGGTAAGAATAAACCAAATTCTGAGAAATCAATGAGAAGACAAGGGATTCAAATGTTTTAAACAACTTGCTAGAATTGCGGGTTTTTTTTTGAGTCAAAGTCTTGCTCTGTCACCCAGGCTGGAGAGCAGTGACACGATCATAGCTCACTGCAGCTGCAGCCTCAACCTCCCTAGCTCAAGCAGTCCTCTCACCTCAGCCTTACAAGTAGCTGAGACTACAGGTACACACCACCACGCCTAATTTTTTCTATTTTTATTTTTAAATATTCACCATGTTGCCTGGGCTGTTCTCAAACTCTTGGGCTCAAGTGATCCACCCACCTTGGTCTCCCAAAGTGCTGAGATTATAGGCGAGAACCACTGCACCTGGCCCTAGAATTGCTTTTAATTTATTGATGCTAACTGTTGCCTTCAACACATTTATAAACTGTAGAAAATCTTTCTTGATTAGGTGTATTAAATCCTGTAATAATAGGTAGTGATTTTGAGTTCTTACAGTATTTTAAATATAGTGGACACTCAACTTTGCACCTTTAAATATATGAAGTGAATTCCATCTACCAACCCTGCTGTAATAGGTATATGAAAAACAAAAGCAAACTTGCTGTACTTATTACATCTACTATAATATGTTATCTGAGGTGTAGCTTTGATCAATGCAGATACAATCAATTTTTTAAAAGATAAAGCCCTCCCTCAAGTATTTGTTGTAATGGAGGTTATCTTTAAAGTTTTGGTTCAGTTTTTGGATATGTGTTGTGATAATCACTTGCTGAATTGCAAAGCAGATTATTTAAGCAAATCGTTTTGGTTGAATTTCCCTCAGTATAGCAAGTACTGACTGAAGAAATTGGATGTGACCTTAGAGTGAATCTAGGGGCAAACATGACCTGAGGTTTAAAATGTCCTGTGAATGATTTAATATAGGTTCTAATCTTTTTATATATTGGGATGAACTATTTTGATAATGTAGCAATTGTATATCCTCTGAGCATCCAAATAGCAATTGTGTATCCTAAGGAAACTTTCCCTACCTTGATTTTGTATCCATTGACAAGTCACTTAACGTCACTGAAAGAACTTTAGTCTCTGCATTTCTTAAGTCTTCTGAGCTACCTTACAAAATAGCTCTGAGGAGTGAATAAGGCAGTGTATGAAAAATCATGTACAGATGAATTTCATTATTACCAAACACTAATAGAATTTTTAGAACGGCCTTGCTTTTTGTTCTCAGAAGATACTTAACATTATATTTTGTATTTGGGATTGTGTGACATAAAAGTGTTAGATGTATTTTGTGTCCTTAGAGAGTTGTATGATATGATTGTGAAAAACTATGTATTTTAACTTAGGTTGTTATTATTATTATTACTATTGAGAGAGAGTTCACTCTGTCACCCAGGCTGGAGTGCAGTGGCATGATCTCGGCTCATTGCCACCTCCACCTCCCAGATTCAAGCGATTCTCGTGCCTCAGCCTCCTGAGTAGCTGGGGCTACAGGTGTGTGCCACCATGCCCAGCTAATTTAGGTAATTATTAATAGGAAAAAGCATCAAACTCGGAGTTACTAGATGTAAGGCCTTACTCTAGCCTCTAGCTCTGCTTCCACATGCCCCAGGTTTTCTTGACTGTAAGATGCAGTAGGCCTATGGTAGTTTCCTGTTGTAATGAGAATATTCTGTTGCCATTATATTTAAATCTGTTTCCAAAAGAATTTTATGTGTTTAGAGAATAGTCATTAAATCTTGAGTTAATCTCATTTGCATATTATGTAGACATAATTTGCATGGAAGTAAAGGTGCATGGATAGTTGGTTCCAGTTTAAGAAGGGTCAAGTTCTAAAAGCCAGTCTCTAAAGGATTTAAAGATGTAATTGGATGCAGTAGTCAGAAAATAACTTTTATTGTCATGAGAATTTGAGATTAGAGCCAGAATTTATTATTATTTTTATTATTTTATTTATTTATTTATTTATTTTTTTTGAGACAAGGTCTCCCTCTGTTGCCCAGGCTGGAGTGTAGTGGTGTGATCTCGGCTCATTGCAGCCTCAGCCTCCTGGGCTCCAGGCTCCTCCCACCTCAGCCTCCTGAGTAGCTGAAACTCCAGGAGGATGCCACCATATGTTCTTATGTGGCAGTGGAACAAGATACTACAGAATTTTAGTTAGAAGGAGAAGGATAATTTTCTTTGGGTAGGTGGTTAGGAAACATGTGGCCTGAAACTTGAGTGGTGGTAATGAGCCGTGGGAAGATCTGCATGAGGAATAATCCAGAGAGACCTACAGGTGCACAGAGCCTGAGCTGAAACAGGAGGCCATTGTACTCAGAGCAGAGTGAGCAGGGGGTTGTAGATTAGGAGATGAGGACACATACGTACTCACGATCCAGATCAGGAAGGGATTGTTAGGCTACCATGAGAAGTTTTGACTGTGTTGAAATGAAGTAAGCTATTAGCGAGTTTAAGGGAGTGACATGATCTGATTTAATGGTTTTTCAAGATTATTCTGGCTACCATGTGGAGAATGAGTCATACTGGGCAAGAGTGATGATGGTGGCTTTAAGTAGGGTTGGTGCTAGTGGAAATGAAGAGAAATGGATGGATTTGAGATATATTTTGAGGAGCCAGAACCAACAGAACTTGCTGGTGGATTTGAATGTACTAGATGGAGAGAGAGAATCCGAGGATGAACCTCCAAGTTGAGCAGCTGGATAGATGAGTGGGCCTCTTACAGGGAAGGGACAGTTAGGGGTGGGGGATGTAGAAGGGATGGACTTGTTCAGTTTGAAATGTGCCTCTTTCGTCCTGATTGGATATGTGAGAATATGCACATTAGAGCAGTTTGTGCTAGAAGTGTATAATTTGGAAGTCATGAGTTGGTCCTATAAATCTGAGAGTCTTCAGCTTATGAATCGCATGGAATGCTGTGCTCTGGGACTCAGAGGAGGAGCTACTGAAAAGATTTTCTTCATTTTTAGAATAAAAGCATCTCAAGAAGGAAGGACATTGGTTAACTATGTCCACTGAGAAGATGAAAGTATGGGAAAGTAATTTAATTAGATATGTGCCATTGGCATGTTTTGGTGGAGTGGTGAGAAGGAAAGCCCAGCTGGAGTAGAAGAAATAATAGAAGATGAAAAAGGGGACATAGCAAGTATAGTCAACTCTTTGGAATAGCTCTGCTATGAAAGAGAGAAAAAAACAGGGCTGGAGTAGCTGGAGGAGGCTCCCAGATCAGCAAATGATTTCTTTTAAAAATTAGTTACAAAGTTCCATCAGGCACAAATGAAGGAAACAAATGAAGCTGAGCCCTAGATTGACCCACTTCACTGCCTTGAGAGTTTTCAGATTGCAGCACAGGGATGGGAAATTCCAAACAGATGTGGCAGCTCCTTCAGTTGAAGAAACAGAATTCAGAGTGTGGGGAGGCCTAAGTGACTTTGGAGCAGAGTACCAGGGCTGCACAGAAAAAGAGCTCCAGATATTCACAGGGTGTCCCTTCGAGTGTCTAGCTGAAAACTGATCTGATCCTGTCCATGAGGAACTTCCAAGTCTAGGGAAAAGCAAGAGGAAAGAAAGAACAGTTTGGGAAGCTCATAGGGCTGAGACTGTGCTACACATTCCCACTAACCAGAATGGAAAGGCCTCAATACACAGCGTATCAAGTAGAACCCTCAGAAGGGTTATTGTCTCAGTAGTGAGGCCGAGGCCAGATTAGTTCTAAAGACTGTTCTGGACTTGCCCTAACAAAGATTGAGTACTAGCCTCAAAAGAATCAAACTAAATTTCAAGTAACTTGATTGTGTCCCAGAACAAAGGCCAAAAATGTTTAAAGGAATATTTAGAGATCCTGCAACATAAAGCTCAGTGTTTAGCATCCAATAAAAAATTATCAGGCATTTAAAGAAGCTGGAAAATATGGCCCATAATTAGGGAAAAAATTAACAGAGACATAGAAATAACCCAGGTAATCAAATTAGATTAAAATGTTAAAGCTACAAATAAAAGCAAGAATTACTAGAACTTGTAGAATTATTTCATTTGAAAAGTATGAAATAATCCCATCCTCTCTCCTACTCAAGGACTTCACTCCTAATAACTATTTTATGTCTCTCCTGGATCCATTTAATGGAGATATTGGTTACTAATTCCAACAGGAACTTTTTTTTTTCCTTTGTGAAAGGAAGGCAGATAAATGAGAAAAGATGCATGTCAGTCGTTAAGAGTTGATTATGACAGGATGAGGTAGTTTATCCTATGGTTGTATTTTCTCTATGAGGTATGAGTGAGGTCATCACCTCAAGAGTGAGGGAGAACCTTCAGAGATGAGGTAGGTATAGGAGAGCTAACTTAGAAAAATGTAAAAGGATTGATAGACTTGCTGAGGGCTCAATATTTGTGATCATTTAAAGTGAGACCAGTCAGCTCACTTGGGCAGTAGCATTCACTTGAGTTCCAGCACAAAGTAGGTAGATAGGGTTTGTCAAGGGTCAATGTTTGGCCAGCAAGTAGAAAGGAGGAAGACAGGGATGAAGGCATTAAAAATTAGGTAGTAGGCCGGGCACGGTGGCTCACACCTGTAATCCCAGCACTTTGAGAAGCCGAGGCAGGTGGATCACGAGCTCAGGAGTTCGAGACCAGCCTGGCCAACATGGTGAAACCCAGTCTCTACTAAAAATAACAAAAATTAACTGGACATGGCGGCAGACGCCTGTAATCCCAGCTACTCCAGAGGCTGATGCAGGAGAATTGCTTGAACCTGGGAGGTGGGAGTTGCAGTGAGCCGAGATCGTGCCATTGCACTCCAGCCTGGACAATAAGAGCAAAACTCCGTCTCAAAAAAAAAAAAAAAAAAGAAAAGGTAGTAGATTATCATGATGGACCATGGAATCTAAGCTGGGTAAGCAGGGAAAGAAGACATCCGGGAGCTGATGAATGGTAGAAAAGTGGTAGGACTCAATTGGGATGGAAGGCTCTGTGGAATTGATTTGTTACATTGGGAGTGCTTGAGTGAGTGAAACCAAGTCGGGAGGGTGGTGGCTAAAGAGGGACACGCTTGAGTTTAAACTTCAGAGGTGGCACAATTATTAGTGAACGCAAAATCTAGAGTATAACCATAGGAGTGGTGGCTGAGATGGAGTAGAGGAAAAGATCAGCGTGGGCGAGAAGGTCATGCTATTTCATCATTATCCATGTAAATTCTGTCATTAAAAATGATGCCAGAAGTGTGGTAGTTGAGAAAACAGCACTGTGACTGTGACTTAAAGAGTGTATATGACAGCTTTAGGGAGAGAGTGATGCTGTGAACTTCTGAGTGGTTGTGTTTTTTTGAAGGGACAACAAAGAAGAAATGGGATAGAACTGGCAATGGGAAGCAAGGAGAGTGGGTGTGTATGCCATCCACAAGTCTGTGGCATATGGGAAAATAAACAGCTTCTGCTTGAAAGGGCGATGGGGAGTATTGTTTCTGGAATACACTGCCAGGCTTCAGTTAGGGCAAGATGAGGGATCACTGAAAGAAGTTGAGAATGAATGTAAAGAAGAGTTTGCTGATACATCTTTAGTCTAGACAACAGAGTGGAAGACTTTGAGACAGTCAGGAAGGGTGGAAGATTGGGACAGATTAGGAGACACTGAGATTAGAATGGTGATGAGAGCCAGGGTGGTACTGTTATGTCTTGGACTCTGTTGATAATGGTTACAAAGAATGATGGGATTTATCCAGCCAACCTCAAGTGAGCAAACAATACAAGATAACCCTCCTGCTAGATATTCTAAACTGTAGAGGACCATTCTTGCAGCTAGAAGTGGTATGATAGCCTCAAGGAAGGGCAGCTCCACTAAGTAGAAAGTGATGACCGCTTGAACTCCAAGGAGTACCTATCATTCCTGCTGCACAATTGTATAAATATCTTCACAATGAAGGATTTTTGTACAGCACGGTTGTTTCAGGGCTCAGAAAATGGACCTTTAAGGGTTGTATTGAGTATCTCAGACTTCTCCTTCCTTTGCAGTGGTTCTCAACAAGGGCTGTATCATTCTCCCACTATGGAGACATTCTGGAAATTTGTGGGGGTGCTTTGGATTGTCAGTTATTGGGAGATGCTGTTGATATTAATTAAAAATAAGAGGGGGCCTAGTAATGACATAAACCCCACCTTACAAAACACAGTCTCACAGGATGACTTTTGACTATCCCAGAGAACATTCCAGCAGATAAAATTACAATTTATAAATTATCTGAGTCTAGGACCTAATTTAATTTTACATGTGAAGTGTACAGTTTTAATATACAGTAGACTTTCCAGAAAAGCAGCTAGTGTATAAAGAGGATGTTGTACTTTTTTTGTTCAGAACTTTTGCAGGAGTTCTTATTGTTCGAAAGTCACTTCATTGACATCACCATTTGTGGTATATGAGTCAATAGCATATACCTGTATAAAGTGTGATTTTTTTTTTTTTTTTTAGCTGTTATATTCAAAAGTCTTATCCTATCACAGCTCAAAGTCTAGAATCTCATCTAAGTTAGATTCAGGTACAGTTGGGACTTCTTGGATGTTCCTTAAGTACAGCTTCTCAAGTACAATTCCTGCTGACCTGTAAAGCCAAAGCGATATGTTACCTGGTCCTCATCCTTTCTCCAGACACTTGCCAAATATACAGTATTGGGTCAGGCTTAAGGTAACCTCTATAAAACATTCCTATCAAAGCGGGGGGCGGGTGCCAAGAGATAGTAGGCACAAGGGAATCCCTGGTCTGTAACAATTCTGAAATCCAATCAGCCAATCCTTAGGTGAGTCTCAATTCCTAGGTGTAATTCACCCCTGCTCTCAGCTTTGCCCTTTGGGCATGTGGTTGTTTCTCCACAGTCGCCTTTCCCCATGAAAGGTAGTACATGTTTGTTTGCAACTGACTAGTTTTCTTATCTTGCTTTCTACCACAATTTGGGGCCTCTGAAGGCTTCATTTTCCATCTGTTGTCTCTTTCAGTTCAAGCTGGCAGTGTTTCACCATATGTAAGTATTTTTTAAAACTTTGTGCATCTTTTGTGAATCCTTTTGGGGTCAATCTATTAGTTGAAAATCATATGCACAAATTTATTTGAGATACGCCCGTTACTACCTTGAGCTTTTACTGAGAGACAACACCCTTCTCGTAAAGCCTTATTGTCTGACTGAGATACACTGTGAAGTGCAAAATTCTAGCAGGGCTTTTGTCTGACAAAGTAGTATTCTGAGGTACTGTCTTTGGTATTTCTGAGCTCTTAACAGAAGATTTTATAGTTACTCCCATGGCTTAGTTTTTAGATCATGTTTTTCTGGCAGTGCCCTGGATTTGATCTTGGCTCAGAATGCATTTCTCAATGTTAGCATTGTTTGCAGTCTAAAGAGACTGCAAATTTTCTAAACCATCAAGTCCTTGCTCTTCAAGAGGTCTTGATTTAATTTATATCTTCTCATTTTTTGCTGTATATAGCAGAAACAGCAAGGCAGCACTTTCTAGTTGAAACTCTCCTTTGCTAAATCACTCAGTTCATTACATAAAATTTCCAGGTTTTTGTGGGGGATTTTTGTTGTTGTTTGTTTGTTTTTGAGACGAAGTCTCACTCTGTCGCCCAGGCTGTGGCACGATCTCGGCTCACTGCAACCTCCGCCTCCCAGGTTCAAGCGATTCTCCTGCCTCAACCTCCTGAGTAGCTGGGACTACAGGCGCACGCCACCATGCCCGGCTAAATTTGTATTTTTAGTAGAGACGGGGTTTCGCCATGTTAGCCAGGATGGTCTAGATCTCCTGACCTTGTGATCCACCCACCTTGGCCTCCCAAAAGTGCTGGGATTACAGGCGTGAGCCACCGCGCCCAGCCAAAATTTCTGGTTTTTATATGACCAAAGGTCACAGTGTTACTAAGCCTCCTGCCCCTTCCTAGGAAGGATACCTCCTCTTCTAGTTTCCAATAACATCTACCTCACTTTTCTATTCTCCTTGTAGCCTTATGAAATACCATGAGACTTTTTAAAAACAGCTTCTTAACTAAACTATCCTTAAGAGCCATGGTCTGTTTCCAAAGCCAATCCAACATTGCAGTGTTCTGTTATAGCAGTGAGGACTCCCAGTATCAACATGTATTACTTATCTATTACTATGTAACTAATTACCCTAAATGTAGCAGTTTAAAACAACAAACATTTGTAATCTTACAGTTTATGAGGATCAGGAATCCAGGGGCAACATCTGTTGGGTGGTTCTGACCTGTGTCTGCATAAAAGCTGTTCAGGATTGCAGTCAGCTGCAGCCCTGCTTCCAGTCTTGCTCACATTGTTGGCTGGAGGCTTCTGTCCCAGTTCTCTCTACTACCTGTGTGTCTTCACAGAACAAATGACTCGAGAGAGTGTGTACCAAGTGGTAAGACAGCACGCAAGTCTTTTATCACCCAATCTTAGAAGTGACGTACTATCACTTCTGCCATGTGCTGTTGGTCACACAGACCAACCCTTGTTCACTGTGGGAGGGGACTACCCAAGGGTATGAACACCAGTCATCCTGCAGGCTGGCTACCACAAGCCCTCTGCTCAGTGAACTGAACTATACTGTGCTTCATGCTCTCTCAGTGGGCCATGCTGTCTCTTACTTCTGCCTTTACTTATACTGTCCTTTACCCCAAATGCTTTTCCTTTCCTCTATCTGTTCAACAAACCTGTTTGCTGTCAACTGTTATGAAGCCTTTCCAAGCCCTAACACAGCACTTTTGGAAAACAGATTCATTTATGATTGTTTCCTTTGCAACAAACCCTTTGAAAGCAAAAACTATTTTATCTTAAAGGCGTAATATTGCACTAGCACAAGTGTTTCTTGAATTAGTGTTTAAATAGTTCTGGAAAAATCTAGGTAGTCAATGATAACTTTGTATTCTAAAATGGCAATCAGATACCTGTTTTGTGTTTTTCTGCCTTTGAGCTTTTGGAATGAGACTAATAAAGTAAGATTTAAGCTGTGCTTTATGGGAAGGACATGAGACATTTTAATAAACCAAAATTTTAAGCCAGAGAAAATGTTAAGGCCTCCCCCAAAATGTTTTGTGAAATGCTGTGCTTAGGCTACTTGTACATCATGTTGACTTATGAGATGACTTACTCATCAAACACTTATAAACTTATGTTTACAAAGTATAATGCTAAATACTGTAGAATTTACAAACATGTCTTATCTTGAAGGGACTTATAATTCACATGGTAAATAAAACAATCTGAGGTAGTCTTTTTTAAAGTCCCTGTTGTAAATATTAAAATACTTATTTTTACTTTGGATAGTTTATATGTTATCTCTAAGTCTAATAAAACTGCGTAAACCAACTTGTAATATTAAGTTCTGGAGAAGTCATCTATTTTTTTTTCATTTGAAGTAAATGTAAGTACGATAGATGATATAAAATCAAAACCAGTTATTTTACTCTATAAACTTTTGTATATTAAAATTTCTTCTCTCTAATCTGAAAGTTTTGAAAATGAAGATTTTAGTTGTAGTTACCATATTACCTGCCTTAAAGTTTTCTTTTCTTTTTTTTTTTTCTTTTGAGATGGAGTTTTGCTGTTTTTGCCCAGGCTGGAGTGCAATGGTGCTATCTTGGCTCACTGCAACCTCTGCCTCCCGGGTTCAAGCACTTCTCCTGCCTCAGCCTCCCAAGTAGCTGGAATTACAGGCACCCACCACCATGCCCAGTTAATTAAAGTTTCCTTTTCATTTACCATAATGGAATCTTGACACTAAATATGAGACTTCTATATGGATTTTTTCCCTTTGTGAATGTTTCTTTGTAATGCAATTTAAAAGAAAATAGCAGTCTTTTTTTCTGTATACCCTGAAATATACAGAAAAAATAATATACCTTGATTCATTTGTCTTGGAATTTTCTCTACACTATTTTAAAGCATTCATTAAGTTTTATTTCATCTTACGTTCGAACTTTTACACTGTGATTTTGTACAATACACACGAGATCAGACATTCTAACTTTTGTAGTGATGGAGCAAACATTTTGTTCCGCTTTTTTGGAGATGCTTTTTTTTCTGGCCTTTATATTTTTATGACTGGGGTTTTTTTCCCATAAAATTTCTCAGTTGAACCTTAATTCTTGTTCATATCTAAAACTATTTCTCAAGGATGCGTAGTACTTTGTATCATTAGCAAGAAACCAATTAATACCTATAATAATGTTCCTTTATTTGGGGGCCTAACTACCTTAAATCCTTTCTGGAATCTTAAATTTGAATAAAATCTGGGATTTCTAAGATTTGGATCCAGGATTTTTCACTAAGCAGCCTACCTTATCAATTGGGAAATAATGGAATATAATCCAGTGTGTTTGATTACTAAATAAAGTGGCATGAAACAAGATGACCACCCATCCCTAATACATGTGTGTCTTCTAAAACGATTGCTGGGGCTGTTGGAAAGGCATACTTGTGATGTAAATGCTGTTTTCTGTAAGCTAGCTGTAACAAATGGGTGTGGGCTGCCCTTCCACTCAGCTTAATGTATTCAGACTGACCGTGAATCCAGTGGAGAAATTGGAGAACTAGGATGAAGGTGTAGACAGGCTAGCAAAAGTTTAAAATAAGTTCCAAATATTTCAGATGTTATTGTCTCTATTGCTACTTCCATAATTCAAGGTATTGCCATCTCTTGCCTAAATTTAAGTAGCTTCCTCACTGGTCCTCCCAAGACTATAATTGCTGCCTCCCCAGTATTCTTAATACAACCAGTGGCCCTTTGAAAAAGGAAATCTCATTGTGTCACTCTTGCTAAAAACCTATGAAGAGTTCCCATTGTTTTCAAAGTGGCATTATATACTAGGCTTTATGTAATCTGGCTCCTATGTCCTTTTAGTACCTCCAAAGCCTTCAAATTCACTTCAGCCACAGAATCATTTCTCATTTATTCTCATGCACTGAAACACCATTCCCCTGTGGGTTGGTTTAGTAATCTCCCACAGATCCTTCAGATCTCAGCTCAAGGTCACTTCCTTAGGTATCCACTCATTATGACAGGACTGTCACAGGCTCTCATAATATCATCTTTCATGGCAATTACTGCTGTAAATTTCCATTTTATTTATGTAGTTATTTGGTTATAGTCTCACCACATGACTCTTAAGCTCCAAGTACCTCTAGCATTGGAGCTTAATGCCTCTGTAATTTTTTTAATAAATGACTGGATTGGCTTATTGTTAATTTATTCATGTGTTTCTAGTTTAGTCTATCCCAGAGCTATGTTTAGAGATTAGAAGGGACATAACTCCTATTGTAATTTAGAGTTATATGAAGATAATGATGGTTCCAGCAGAGTCTACCCTGTGGTTACTATGTGATTAGACAAGTAGCTTAACTGCTAGCCCTCATTTTTATCATTAATAGAGAAAACTTGAAATAGATTATCTGTGTGCTTGCCTCTTACTTGAATGTTCAATTGAGTTTAAGGGTTTCCCTCCATTTATTAGGATAGGTATGGTTGGGCTATAAACATAACAATCCCAAAATCTTAGTGGCTTTGCAACAAAGTTCTGTTTTTAGCATTGCACTATCCATTGGGTTGATTTGGGGGTTCTGTACTATGTGGCCTCACTCCAGGATGCAGACAGGCAGAGCAGCCTTTATCCTGAACATTGTGTACACTGCAGTGGAGGAAAGAGAGCGCTGGAAATGTCTGTCTTTGCATCAGCTGTTAAGATGCTCTGGCCAGAAGTTACATGCCACTTTTGCTCACAGCTCATTGGCCAGAACAAGAAACATAGCTGCATCTAATCATAAAGGAGCCAGGAGGTACAATCTTGTCATATGACCAAAAGGCAGAAACAACCACATTAACAAGTAGGCCAAGGTTTGGCTTACCCTTCTTCTCACAGAGAAAATACACTCCTCTCCCCCGGCGAAGCCAGCTCAGAAGTCCCAAGTAATGATTGCATCAAACTTAAGAGTTTCCAGGTGATACGCATAATTCTGTATATCAGACCTGTATGTGTTTCCTTGACCTGGAGAACTGTGAACAAAAATGTTACCTGCAACCACCTTCCTGCCACACCCAATATACGTTGAAATAACAGGGACAGGATAACCCCAATAAGCACTTCCATGTGTATAACAGAACATTAGAGGAGCACTGCAGTCCCCATCCCACCGCCATTCAGAAATCCCCCCACAGCCCCGTGTGACAAGGGCTGGCTTACCCTAGATATGGAGAGTGTGCTGGTTTCAGCACTAGGTCTGCTCCCTGGTGGGGAACTCCCCAGGCCATTGTTTTTTGTGGCTGTTGGCACTGATATCTAGGAGATTGATTCCTCCTTTTCCATCATCTTCCTTAGCCTCATCTGAAGTAGTCATTGGAAAATATGCCCTCATTGGGAGCTAAAACCCTTGACAACCTGCTTCCTATAGAAAGTTGGAGACTTAAGCATACTTTTAAATCAGGTTTTTAATTCAGGCTCTGGGTTGTTTGTTGGTAGCACAACTGTGCAAGCTTGTAATGTGTCTAAAAACACGTTTCCATTCAGCTCATATGCCAGTGTTCTTTACCAGATGTATGTCTTATAAACGCTGCTACCGGTAACCTGTTGGGCTCTGTGTGTGTGTATTTATGTGTCTTTTTCTTTTCCTCAGAGCATTTTATTCAACTGAGAGCATTAATTGGGTGTCACAATTTTAATTGGATCTCTGCTCTGAGACTCTTCTCTTTAACCCGTTCAGATGTTTTAACAGTGAATATGATGCTCATACTCTTGATTTGATTTGATACTCTTCCTTTGTTGCTCAAAGCCTTTGGTGGTTTTTAAACTTATGGCTTGGGGTTGAGAAATCTTTTCTTCCAACTGTGCAAGCCTCCCCATTTTGGGGCCCTCTTCCTTTTATTCCTGCTTACAAACTCTGGTCAATTTTAAAATTTGTTTCTTTCTTGCAATACCAAACACAGTCAAAACAACCAACATACCATTTTAATGTTAGGGTTTTTAAAATTGGCACGTAGTGATCATACATACATTTATGTTCTGCATAGTGACGTTTCAGTCAACAGATCACAGACATGACTCTGGTGTCCCCCAAAGTTATAATACCATATTCTTACTGTACCTTTTCCATGTTTAGATATGCTTAGATCCACAAATACTTTTTTGTGTTACAACTCCCTACAGTAATCAGTACAGTAACATACGATACAGGTTAGTAGTCTGTAAGCTATACCATATAGCCTAGGTATGTAGTAAGCTACACCATCTAAGTTTTAAGTAAAATCTATAGTGTTTGCATGATACAGTCACCTAATGATGCATTTCTCAGAACACATTCCCATTATTAAGCAACACTTGGCTATATTTATGGAGTAATGTTCTATACATGTGTACACTGTGTAATGACCAGATCATGGCAATTAACATAGCCATGACCTTAAGCATTTATCATTTCTTTGTTGTGAGAACACTCACAATCCTTTCTTCTGGCTATTTTGAAACATATAATGTGCTGTCGTTAGCAATAGTCACTCTACTGTCCAATAGAGTACCAGAACTTACTCCTATCTGACTGTAAATTGTACCCCTTGACCAACTTCTTCCTGTTTCCCGTCCCTCCTGATATCCCCAGTCTCTGGAAAACACTGTTCTTCCCTCAACTTCTATGAGTTGTTGTTTTGTTTTGTTGAGATTTCACATATGAATGAGATCATGTGATATTTATCTTTCTATGTCTGGTTTATCTCACTTTAACATAGTATCTCCTAGGCTCATCTGTGTTGTAGCAAATGACAGAATTTCATCCTTTTTTGTAGCTGAATATTATTCCATTGTGAGTGTGTGTGTGTGTGTGTGTGTGTGTGTCACCACATTTTCTTCATTCATCTATTGATGGTAATTTACATTGATTTTTTTTTTTTTTTTTTTTTGAGGACCCTCTCCATGCTGTTTTCTGTAATGGCTGTACTGATTTACGTTCCCACTGACAGTGTGTGAGAGTTCTTTTTTTCTCTGCATCCTCACCAGCATTTGTTACTTTTTGTCTTTCTAATAGACGTTCTCACTTGAGTGAGGTGAAATTTTATTGTGGTGTCGATTTGCATTTTCCTGATGGTTAGTCATGATGAGCATTTTTTCCTATACCTGTTAGGAAATGTCCAGTTTTTTTAACCTCTTCCTCTAGAGCTGTAGGTTTATTAAATACATTATCTGCTTTTCAAGTTATTATAACTGACTTTTACCAAATATTTTGTACTGCTTGTTAAGGATTGCCATCCTTCTAGCCTCTGAGAAGTTTCCTTGCTGCCTGGCCTTCAAGCCAGTGGCATATATTTTAGTTTTTTTTGTTATAATAGTACCCTATCTCCAGGTACCAATTTATATTTGTTAGGATGGACTAGGATATGCTGTGATAACCAAGAACCTCAAAATCTTAGTGGCATAAAATACGCAAAGTTTTTTTTCTTATTCTTGTCACATTTTGGATCATTGTCCTGGATCAGCAGGGGAACCAGGGTGATACAGCAGTAAACATCTCAAGCCTGGCGACAGGTGGAAGAGTGCATTGAAAGATTTCACATCTTTCACTGACAGTTAAATGCCATGGTTCAGAAGTCATATAGGTCACTTTGACTTACAATTGGCCAGAATTAGGCACCTAACCCCTCCCAGCCACACGACAGCCAGAAAGTACAATCATACCAGAAATTTTGATGAACAACTCTAAAGACTTAACCCTTTCAGTATTCGTTTTTGTGTATTGGAAGAGGAAGGATAAGGAAGTAGGGATATTGTAGGTTCTGTCCTACAACTCCTTGCAGTGTGTTAACTGTACTTTTGTTTTTTGGAGATCTTTGAGAAGACAGATAAGAGGTATAAATTCATCAAGCCATGTTTCATCTGTCCTGAGTTTAAGGTCTTTATCCTTCTTCCTACTATTAAAAAGTAAGTTTTGCATTCTAACCATGATTTGGTCAGACTTTAACATAAAGACCTCATTTACTTACTGGAAGGCATACTGTAGTTGATATTGTCAGACTGAAATAAATTCCTAATTAAGTACAAGTGTTGTAACACCAGTCCTCTGCTACCATTTATCACTGGAAAAAGTTAATTTGCCTTTATAGAGTTAAAAAAAAAACACCAAAAAACCGGCAGTGTCTGCCACAGTTTGCTTCTTTGAAATGAGATTGTGATTACTCTTTTTTTGCCTACATTTGGAAGAATCAGCCTTTCATTCTAACCAAATTTAATGCATGATACAAACTTTTAGTATGGTTTAC
Organism: Homo sapiens; assembly: GCF_000001405.40. Lineage (NCBI taxonomy): Eukaryota > Metazoa > Chordata > Mammalia > Primates > Hominidae > Homo > Homo sapiens. Next base: position 32,325,644 of record NC_000010.11, on the reverse strand, counting down.
TTAATATTTTTGTAGGGAACATCTTAAATATTATCTGGAAACTTTACTTGATGTATTTTATCTCCTTCCACTCTGAAATAAGGGAATTTGTGTGATGTTTATATTAGCCTCAGAACCTTTACAAGAAAAGATAAAATTTTCCTTCTTTTATGTCACGTTTTGCAACCATTAGCCCCTTCCTGTGGAAATTAAAGTTGTTAGGAATTTTCTCTTGTTTCCATAGGAAAGAAGAAACCAGATTTATTTAACATAGCATTAAGCTTTAAAAATGATCCAGTGAGTTATCTCATATCCATTGTGGGGTGAGGTATGTGTTGTAAATAATCTTTGAAATGAATTATTGCTATTAATTAGAAAAGCTGTAAAAACAAGGCTTCCCTGTGATGGTAATACACACTTTTCTTTTTTAATTTTGTTTTGTGTTTTACAGTGTGTAGAGAGATCTCATTCTCTTGTACAAGTTGAAGTTTCTGACTATACTCAATATAGTATAGTGCTTGAATTTATCATAAAACGTCCTTAAGTTCTACAGTGAGAATTGATTATGTTCATAGGTTGACACTTGTTTTGTTAACAGTGACAGTCTGCAGCTAAAAATTAATTCAAGGTTTTATTTATTTATTTTTATTTATTTATTTTTCTTTTGAGACAGAGTCTCACTCTGTCGCCCTGGCTGGAGAGCAGTGGCAGGATCTCTGCTCACTGCAACGTCAGTTACCTGGGTTCTGCAGGTTTGCCATTTTCCTGCCTCAGCCTCGCAAGTGGCTGGGACTACAGGCTCCAGCCACCACGCCCAGCTAATTTTTTGTATTTTTCGTGGAGACGGGGTTTCACCGTGTTAGCCAGGATGGTCTCAATCTCCTGACCTCGTGATCCGCCGACCTCGGCCTCCCAAAGTGCTGGGATTACAGTCTTGAGCCACCGCGCCCGGCTAAAATGTGTTCTTGTTTGTTTGTTTGTTTGTTTGTTTTTTAAGATTAGTAGGAGAAAGAATATCTTTTAAGAAAACACAAGGTAAATTTGGAACTAAAGTTTTAAAAATTTATCTACTTATTTATTAAGTAAATAAGAGTAAGATTTATTAGAGTAACTTTTTTTTTTTTTGTCTTTTTTGAGACAGAGTGTCTCACTCTGTAGCCCAGGCTGGATTGCAGTGGCACAATCTCGGCTCACTGCAGCCTGGCATCTCGAGTTCAAGCGATTCTTCTGCCTCAGCCTCCTGAGTAGCTGGGATTATAGGCACCCGCCACCACGCAGAGACGGGTTTCACTACGTTGGCCAGGCTGGTCTGGAACTCCTGACCTCAGGCGATCCACCCGCCTTGGCCTCCCAAAGTGCTGGGATTACAGGCGTGAACCACATGCCCAGCCTAGAGTAACTATTAAGCTTATTTATTAAAGAATAACTAGGCCGGGCGCAGTGGCTCACGCCTGTAATCCCAGCACTTTGGGAGGCTGAGGTGGGCGGATCACGAGGTTAGGAGGTCCAGACCATCCTGGCTAACATGGTGAAACCCTGTTTTTACTAAAAAATACAAAAAAATTAGCCAGGCGTGGTGGCGGGCGCCTGTAGTCCCAGCCACTTGGGAGGCTGAAGCAGGAGAATGACGTGAACCTAGGAGGCGGAGCTTGCAGTGAGCCGAGATCGCGCCACTGCTCTCCAGCCTGGGCGACAGAGCGAGACTCTGTCTCAAAAAAATAAAAATAAAATAAACTATTTCTAATAACAATTTAGGCCATTAATTATTATAATTTGCCTATTAGAATAATAAATGCACCAGGACTTTATGGACGTATGTTTATTTAATCCTCATGGCAACATTTGAAGTTAGGTGGCATTTTCTGTGCTTTATCAGTAAAGAAACAGGTTGATTTCATTAGTCAGAGAGCTAATATGTGTATGCTAGGGACCATGCTAAGAGGTTTATGTCCATTTGTTGTTTCAGTTTTTTCTTATAATGGCAATTACGTGATTTTACTAATAAGGAAATTTGGTTTAGAAAAGTCAAGTCACAATTAGTAAACAGCAGACTTGGAATTCCAATTCAGATTTCTGATCATTGTGTGCTGTTGAATAGTATCATATCTTTTATATACTTAGATACCTTCCTATTTGATAAGACTCATCTAATGAAATCAGAAACTTTGTTTCCTTACACCATGTTATACAATATAGAAGAAAAGAATTTATGGTATCAAATAATATTAAATTAGAAATTATGAAATACTGCTGTGGTAATTATAAATAAAAGGGGGTAAGCTTGAACAAACATAAAATACACATATTTGAACAAGAAAGTTTTGAGATTGTCAAAGTCCCTTTTATTTTTTAACCAGTCCAGGAAGACACTACTTCTATTACAAATATCAGAAATTACACTGGGGGGGATTTTGTGGTTTTGGCGAAACTTAGGGACTCGGTGAAAAGGAAGAAAAACCTGTAAGATTATTTTTAGTTTTAGTCTGAAGTGAATAAGAAGAAGTACATTGTATATACTTCTCTTTTTAAAAAAATTATGGATACATAATAGTACATATTTACAGGGTACATGTGATATTTTGATACAAGCATACAATGTGTAATGATCAAATCAGGGTAATTTGAGTATACATCACCTCAAGCATTTATCATTTATTTGTGTTAGGAACATTCCAGTTCCACTCATTTAGTTGTTTTGAAATATACAATAAATCATGGTTTTTTTAAAAAAAATGGTCTCTTTATTGTGCTGCCAAACCCTACATCTTATTCCATCTAACTGTGTTTTTGTACCCGTTAATCATCCCTTCTTTATCCCTCCCTCCCCACTACCCTTCCCAGCCTTTGGTAACCATCACTTTATTCTCTGTCTCCATGAGTTCAGTTTTTTGTTTTGGTTTGTTTTTTTAGCTCCCACATATTGATGAGAACTATCATTTCTCATACTAGCCACATTATAGTATTTGAGAGTCATCTTAAACATGCACAAATGTCAGCATTCATAGAAATCCTAAAGGTTTATATTTTAGATAAGTAAAACAATGTATGTAATAAAGTAAGTGTAACAACAGCTAAGTGCTACATTGACTGGCAAGAAACCAACCATAGATAAATCTGTTATTTTTGATAGAAGAACAGTGCATGGTCAAATTTAGTCTACTTGATACTTTGTTTCAACCTATTTAGTTCATCACATAAATCCTCCTCTCTCTGGATGGTAAATAATTTAGTTATCTTCTGACTTCTTTTATGGTAGCTTTTATAGTAATAATAAAGTACTAAGCTGATTCCTTATAAGTAAACTCATTTCTCATTACTTTCTGTAAAAAGATTATATTATTTTGTTTCCATATATGGTATAGTAAATGTGTCAAAGATAGAAGCAAAGTGTTAGAAATCCAGAGGAAGAACTAACAAATTTTAATAGTTTTCTATTTTTGTGTATATTAAGCAAGATAAAACAGACTTTTTACTGCGAACTGCGATACATGTAAGGCTAATGCGTGATTAAGAATGGCATAGGGAAGCATCTGTACCTGGTCTTGGCTTTCTTGTGACTTCATCTTCCTCAGCTCTGTCCTTCATATCTAGGATGCCTGGACATTAGCAGCAGTTAAGTCTTAGGAGCTAAAATCAAGTAGAAGTACTCTAAGGAGAATCCTGTAAGCGAAGCTAAGAAACCTGCTCTTACTTCCTTAGGTGGACTGGTTGTAGCATTCTAATAATCCTTATACCTAGGATGCTGTTGATCATCTCTTCAGCCATTTAAAGTCCTTTTTGCTTCTCTCTTAGTATTCTGAATCTTCCCCTGAGTACCAACCAGAACCCAGCCATAGATGGGGAAGGCAGAAGAAGACAAGAAGGGAGAATTAAGCTACAGTAGAAAGATCATAGGGTTCTGGAGTCAGACCTCAGTCCAAATCCTACTTCCGCCACTTCGGACAAGTGACTTAATCAGTCTTCAGAGTGAACATGAAGTATCTAATAAAGGGTCTGAACATAGTGATACGGTTTTTTTTTTTACTTAATATTACTTCCCTCTTCTCTCAGTCATTTTCACTATGTAAATAGTAGAGCATTCTTTAGTCTCTGCCACTGATCTACCTTACCACAACTAGTCTGCTGAACCTCAAAAATTAAATGGATCTAAGCGGGGTGTGGTGGTTGCACCTGTAGCACCAGCTACTTAGGAGGCAGAGGCAGGAGGATCACTTGTCCAGGATTTTGGGGCTGTAAAGTGCCGTTTGTGCTTGTTAATAGCCACTGCACTCCAGCCTGGGCAATATAGCAAGACCCCATCTCTGAAAAAAAAACAGATCTATATTAAAGATCTGCAAACTTTTCCCGTAAAGAATCAGATAGTAAATATTTTAAGATTCGCTGGCCCTACAGTCTGTGTCATCACTACTCAACTCTCTTGGTGAAGGGCAAAAGCAGCTGTGGAATGATATGCAGACCAATGAGTGTGGCTATGTTCCAATATAATTATTTAGAAAAACAGGTGGTGGGCTAGATTTGGCCCCACACTATAGTTTAACCTCTAATCTTTGTCTTTAACCATTAAAGGTAGTTCCATTTTGAGATTTCATAGTCAAAATACAGCCCCCTTAAAAAAAATAAACTAACTGAAAAAGACCTCATTATGAGTTGGACAGTGAATGGAGTTACAAGATGATGTTTCCCAAAATTGATGACATATATTGTGGAGGAGAATGGTACTATAAATTAAAGATCAGGTCCCACCAAACATTTAAAGAACTCACATGAACAGTGGTCAAAAGCCGGGTGTGGTGGCTCACGCCTGTAATCCCAGTACTTTGGGAGGCTGAGGCAGGTGGTTCACTTGAGTCCAGGAGTTGGAGACCAGCCTGGCCAACACAGTGAAATCCTGTCTCTACTGAAAATTAGCTGGGCGTGGTGGTGCATGCCTGTAATCCAAGCTACTTGGGAGGCTGAGGCAGGTGAATCACTTGAGCCCAGGAAGCAGAGGTTGCAGTGAGCTGAGATCACACCACTGCACTCCAGCAGGGGCAACAGAGCAAGACTGTCTCAAAAAAAAAGAAAAAGGTCAAATGACTAATTAAGAAATGTTGAATTCTGTATTATTAATTTGGAAGATCATAATGGATTTTGGCATACATAAAATCTGTGAGGATTCTTCTGTAAAGACGTTGTTCAGCATAGCTTATCCCTGCCTCTGTGCATATCCCAAAATTATTTAATCACAGAACTCCTCACATAACACTTAATGATATTGCTGGAACTGCTTTTCAGAGAACAGTATTCTGAAACTAGTTTAAATAGAGAAATTAAGAAATTAAGAAAGGGAATTTAAGAAAGAGACTTTCACTGACTTGTAAGGATTATGCAGGTACTTGGTAACAGTTCTGGAAGCAGTACTTGAATCTCTTGTACAGATTGTACTTTTTAAAAAAAAAGTCCTTTTGCTCTTAGCTTTATTTAAAAAAAAAAAACAACCATTATTTGGAAGTAATTTTACTTACAGAAAAGTTGCAAGAAGGGGAGTAGTAAGTACATAGAGCATTCTCTACCCTTTACCCAGACGTGTTAACACTTTGCCCTATTTGCTTTATTCTCTTTCTCATATGTACACACATATGTTTTTCCCAAACCATTTAAGTTGCCTACATCGTGGCACTTTACCCCTAAATAGTTTCATGGATGTCGGCTGGGCACGGTGGCTCACACCTGTAATCCCAGCACTTTGGGAGGCCAAGGTGGGCAGATAACCTGAGGTCAGGAGTTCGAGACCAGCCTGGCCAAAATGGTGAAACTCTGTCTCTACTAAAAATACAAAAAAATTAGCCAGGTTTGGTGGTATGCGCCTGTAAACCCCAACTACTCGGGAGCTGAGGCAGGAGAGTCGCTTGAACCCAGGAGGTGGGGGTTGCAGTGAGCCGAGATTGCGCCACTGCACTTCCAGCCCAGGTGACAGAGCAAGACTCTGTCTCAAAGAAAAAAATATACATCTTTTCATAGATGTTTTCATCTTTTATGACGTAGACATTTTTGAAGAATACAGTTTTGACTTTTTTTAATAGAGTGACCCCATTTTAGGTTTGTCTGATGTTTTCTCATATTGAAGTTTTGCATTTCCAGCTGAAATGTCACATAAGGGATATCGTGTCCCCATGACATCACATCTGGAGGCACACAGATGCATCTGCACCTCACTGGTAATGGTAATTTTCACCATCTGGTGAAAGTATGGTCCAGTTTCTCCACAGTATAGTTACTATATTTCCCTTACAACAAATAAGCAATCTGTGGGGAATCTACATCCTTCTTGTTACTTTCTTATCTTCTGCCACTTCCAGTATGTGTGAGGCAGGTTGTTCAGGGGTCATGGAATCTCTATCAAGAATTTTTTTCCAGATTCTGACTTGCTCAGTTTTCAACTTTGTAAAGACTTCAGTTGAATCTTTATGGAGATAGGCATTTTTAAGTCACTTCTGCCTGTTTTTTATGTTACCATAGTATTACATAATCATTGTGGAAGACTTTCCAAAAGCGGGGTAGACATCCTAGTAGAATTATAAAGAAGGGAGAAGAGTTATAGATGGAGTTAGAGGCAGGGAACAGTACATATAGATGTTACTAGAAAGTTCTATTAGATGCTTATTCTAGGTGGATTAGGAAATTCAGGGGAGAAAGTGGTCAGGTGTTGAACTGGAGGAATTAGCTAGAGCTAGGTCATGAGGACCTGTTTCCCAAGGCAAGTTTGAATTTCACCAGGGAGGCAAATAAAGACCCAAAGATGAAGTGTGAGAGTTGACTTGGTCAAACTCTTAGAAAGACCAGTGGAGAGTAATGTAATACTAGAGGTTAGAAGGCCACTTGCTGCACGAACTGTGGCCGTGGGATGGAGAGTATTGAGTAATTTCTAGTCATAAAACCAATGAGAAATCTGTGCCTGATTTGGAAATGGGGAAATAAGAAGCAAAAGGGAGCTGGAAACATTGAGGCTTCTGACTTGGGTGACTGGATAGATGACAGTGAAACTTGCTGACGTAGGTCAGGAGGAGGAACAGATTTGGAGAGTCATGGAGCAGGGGTGTCGATGTTATGTGAGAGATGTCTGTGGAACATATAGTAAGGTCTTTATATACATGTCTAGAGTTCAGAATTCTGAGCTAGAAGTTAAGATTTAGAATAATCACCAGCATCCAAATGGTAGTTGAAGCCATGATACTGGATGAAATTGCAAGGGTGCGTATATACAAGGGCTAAGGACTAAGCAGTGGGACAGATTTAGTTTGTGTTATTGATTATATAAGCACTTTTAGACAGATTTAAATTAGTTCATTGCTGCTGCTGTAGGGCATTTTAGAAAAAAACAGACACATTTGTATCTGTATTTTACTGCTCTCGGGGCTGTTTTGGAGGCATAGAAATCATCAGCATAAAGATTACAACAAAAAATAACAGTTTGGGAGAGCCTTTTAAAATTTAATTTTGGGGAAATGATTCAATTAGATTGCGGCTTTTCTAAGCGTAGAAAGAGACTCTAATTTTATTCCCTTCCCGCTTACATTGTCACACATCACACTGGGCATGTAGGCTCTTAATATGTACAGCATAAACGACCTAAGCCTAAACGGATGCTAGGGGTACAAATAAGGACATGAGAGGACAGAATCAGAATGAAACTTCATGTCTGGGCCACCTGTTATTGTGCTACTCAGTCACTTGACTTTACATCCTGTTGATTTTATAAGGAAAGTAGTAAATTGGCAAATGTTTCACACTGAAGAGAAATAACAGAACTGGACTATTTTATCTGTAAAGGTCTTCCTTTTTGTATTCTAGAAATTGATTACTGAGCTTTAAGCAAGAGGATAGGTAGAGAGTAATAACCTTGTATCATTTATTTCTTGTGAAATATAATAGATATTAAATTGCTCTTTTCCTTGCCAGATACTATCTGTCCTTAAACTATTACCACAAGTATTTCAGATACAAAAGTAAAATGTGTTCATTTTAATTTTTTCTTTTCTTTTTTTGAGACAGAGTCTTGCTCTGTCACCCAGGCTGGAGTGCAGTGGCACGATCTTGGCTCACTACAACCTCCACCTCCCAGGCTCAAGCAAGTCTCCTTCCTCAGCCTCCCAAGTAGTTGGGATTACAGCCATGTGCCACCACACCCGGCTAATTTTTTTATTTTTAGTAGAGACAGGGTTTCCCTATGTTGGTCAGGCTGATCTCGAACTCCTGACCTCAAGTGATCCACCTGCCTCAGCATCCCAAAGTGCTGGGATTACAGGTTTAATTTTTTCTTTGCTTTTATGAAATGTTATCTTTGTTTCTTTATGAAATCTATTCCAAATGGTAATAGTTTGTGGACCTTAAATAACTGGTATAATTCATTGGCTCATTTATTTATTAAATAAGTATTTATTGGATACTTACATGCTTTAGGCGTGATTGTAGACCTGGGATAAAGCAAAGCAAAAAAATCTCACTCCTACCTTCAAGGATCTTATATTCTGGTGAGAAGAAACTGTCAAGTGGTCTATAAGGAAGTCACAAGTGCTAGGGAAAAATAAAACAGAGTTGGGGAACACAGTGTTCTGGGGTTCAGCAAGATTTTACAGTGAACATTTTCAAACATTCAGTAAAAGTTTTAACAATTTACAATGAGAATTTACCCATAATATACCACTAGCTAGATTCTTCCATGTTATTATTTATTTTATCACCCATGTATTCATCTCTCCATTCATCTTATTTTTTAAAGGCATTTAAAGTAAATTACACATGAGTGCATGTTTTCCTAAATACTTCAGTATGCATATCATTCATTAGAGTTCACTATTTGTTTACTGTTGCTTTCATTTGAGTCAAAATTGACATGCAGTGAGATTCACAAATAGTGGATATTGGCTAAATTTTGTCATATTCATATATTTACATAACTCAGCCCCCCATCAAGATAGAGAACATTACCATCATTCCAGAAAACTCTTTCATTCCCCTTCTCGGTCCCTGCCTCCACTTCCCAGAGGGAACTACTGTTATGATATTTTTTTCTGTCATAGATTATTTTTGCCAGTTGAGAACTTCATTGATGTACTTTGTGCGAAGCTATTTTTACTCCCTATGGTGTTTTTGAGATTTACCCATGTTGTTGCATGTATAAATAGTTTATTCCTTTTTATTGCTGAGTAGTAGTCTGCTGTATGGCTTTACCACAGTTTGTTCATCTGTCCTATTTTGGTGGACATTTGAGTGGCTTCCAGTTTGGGCCCATTATGAATAAAGCTCTTTGAACATTCTTACTCACGTCTTTCTGTGGACTTGTGTTTTCCTTTCTCTTGAGTAAATTCTTAGGAGCAGACTTGCCGGGCTATGGATTGTGTGTGTTTGGTCTTACAGTATCTATCGGCCTTTCCTCACTAACCATGTATGAGAGTTCTAGTTATTCCATATCCTCCCCATCATGTGATGTTGTTAGCCTTTTCTATTTTAGCCATTCTGCTGGGCATATAGTGGGATAACTGGTAAGGAATGATCTGATCAGTCTGGGAAGATGACATTGAAACAAAAACTTGAGGTGAGGGAGCAGGCTGATTCTTACAAGATTGACAAACAGTAAGGAATCCAGTATGACTATAGCAGAGTGAGTGAAAAGGGGAATAGTTAACAGTACCAGAGAGGTAACAAGGAAAGGGGAGTGCAAATCATGTTGGACCTTGGAAGCAATTTTAAGGACTTTGGGATTTATTTTGAGTGAGATGGGAAATAAGTGTAAGATTTTGAATGGAAGAATGACATGACCTGACTTGTATATTAACAGGATTGCTTTCACTGTTCCATGAAGAACAGATGAAGGTGCAGGCAGGGAACCAGTTAGAGGCGATTATAACGAGTCAGGGAAGAGTTGGGCGTTTGGATGTAGAAAAACTAGGTGGTATTTGCTGGAGCAGTGTTCCTCCATAGAGTTACTTGTTTGGGTTCTTAGAAATGTCATTTGAAAGTAGTAGAGAAAATAATTCAGCTCAGGCCTTTTGTTCAACTAGCAATGGAGTCTCCCTCTACATGCATAAATATTCAGGGATTTAAACTTCTTAAGTAGCTTCTTACATAATTAGTCATCACTTATTTACACATATGGAATTTTGTATGATATTGTTGCTTTTAATAAGCTGTTTTTAATTCAGTAACCAAAAAGGTCTAAAGGTAGCCTTAATTGTTATGTCTAAGTGGTATGATCATTATTTGCTTAAATAAAAATTTAATGAATAAATGAATATAATTTAATCTTTGTTTAGGAATCTGCATAATATAACCTTGAATAGCTCTTTTTAGATTGGTAATGTTTATTATAATTTATTATAGAGCAAGTAGAAATGTCTTTTTTCATGTGTTTTATTTAGGTTGATCCTTTTCATCTTTTGACAATGGTATTTTATAAAATACTGAGCGCCTACAGTAAGCCAAAATATTATACCAGGCAATGAGTCCATTACAAAGACAATATTATTTAGTCCTCAACCTTAAAAGATTTACAGTCCCCAAATAGTACATGAGAATACATCTTTTGAAGGAAAAGATGCAAAGGCAAATTAGACATCGTCTCTACTCTTAAAGAGCTCACATTTTGGAGATCAGTATGTAAACATAAATAGTGATAGCACAATGCCCTAAGTATAAAATTTAGTATTGCAGAATCACAGATGAGAGAGAAATTCTTCCTAGGAGAAGTAGAGAAAAGATCATTTTGAACCCGACTTTGAAGATCAAGTGGGAATTTCCAATGGTGGGGTGAGAGCATGAGGAATGGCGATAGCAGCAAAGATACCCACCCATGTGAACAGAGGATCAGAGCAGATGTTTATGACACATTAGCAAAACCTATGCCTCCAGATAGGCTTTATCTACAGATAGTTAATGTCACTCTTATTTAATAAAAAATATTTCTGGCTTCTTAACATTAGTGATATGGCCTGTTTAGAGCAGGCTTACCCTTTTGTGTTAGCTAACCATGCATTTAACAGAGACCATAGAAAGCCACCTGAAAAGGCAATGTTTTTCATGGTGTAAGCAAAAGTAATAAAGAGAAAAGGGAGCATTTCCTGCTGGAGAGAAGAGAGGGAGATGGGTAAGGAAAATATATTTTGCAAATAATAAAAATACATAGCAGGGTGACTTGCTGGACTTGGAGTCAGATGTTGAAGCTAAAATTCACACTTGGGTCTCTAAAACCTGGCACTCTTCTATTGCACTAGGCAGGCTGAAGTAACAAAAGTGAATACTTTTGGAGCTGGGTGCCATGATAGCAAAGCTCATGACATGAAAGTGTGCCTCTGAACTTTCTAAAGATTGTTGTTCAGTGTTTTCTCATCCTCTTTTTATTGTTCATATTGCTATGTATAGAAAACTTATCTATAATTACTTTCAGCCCAAGAGGCTTTTAAGCTATTTGCTTAATTATAAGCTATGGTTCATCTGATTCCAATTCCATTTTTGTAAGATTGCATATTAAATATTTCTTTAAATTATTTAACTTTATTTCCTTTGTTCACTTTAAAATCAGGCTGATTTGAGAGTTTATGCCTCTGTACAATGAAAAATTGGAATTGATCTTGGTGTTACAGCAATTAATTGTGAAATCACAGCTGAACCTAATTATCGTAAATATTTTATAATTAAAGAAATTTTACCCATCCAGCATGTTATAAATAGTAAGTGGTCTTCAAACATAGCTATTCCCTCTATTCCCTCTTCTCTTTTTATTTTTATTTATTTATTTTTTTTTGGAGACAGAGTCTCGCTGTGTCGCCCAGGCTGGAGTGCAGTGGCGCGATCTCAGCTCACTGCAGCCTCCGCCTCCCAGGTTCAAGCGATTCTCCTGCCTTAGCCTTCAGAGTAGCTGAGATTACAGGCACCCGCCACCACGCCCAGCTAATTTTTGTATTTTTAGTAGAGGCGGTGTTTCACCATATTGGCCAGGCTGGTCTCAAACTCCTCAGGTGACTCTCTTGCCTTGGCCTCCCAAAATGCTGGGATTACAGGCGTGAGCCACCGCGCCCAGCCTGTTCCTTCTTCTTAAAACAATCTTTGACTTAACTCCAATTCCTGCAGATATTAGCTTAAATGTCACTTTCTCCACTGATAAAGCGATAGTCTCAGAAATGTTTCCTGTTTATATTTCTCTAAACATATTGTACTTTTCCTTCATAGTACTTTATTACACTGTACAATTTATTTTTAGATTTCATTAGTATCTGTCCTTCCTGTTAGAGTGTAACCTCTGCAGTGTCATGTAGAGCATGTCTCTCTTATTTGCCATTGTGTCCCAGTGCCAGGCACATAATGGTTAGCACTCAGTAAATTTAGACTAAGTTAATTAATGAACAGAATTAAGTCTGGATGTTCTGCCCTGTATCTCTGGTTTTTGTTTTATACCAGCATTTCCCAAACTGTATTTCAAAAGTTTTCTATCAATGATTAGTGGATAATTTCTGAAAAAAATGATTCCATTGTCATTGGTTCGGAATGGCTGTATCCTCCTTTAAGAACTACAGTTTACATTACCATGCTCTCAGAAGTCCTTAAAAAAAAAAAATCTAAGTTTCAAACCCAGCCTTCTGTACACTTAAATTATCAAACTTCTCATTAGACTACCTATTAATAATTTGAAAGTAGTACTTCAGTGAAACAGCTTGGAATATCATTGTAATTTACACTTGTATAATCTCAGATATTTAGTCAAGTCATTAGATATCTGTTGAATGAAACACAGAACTCATTTCCTAATTTATTTTGTTTCTTGTCTTTACCATTTTGCATCTTCTTCCTACTGAAAGCAAAAAAAAATCCCACTTTTTCTTATTTAATGTTATTTTATGAAAATAGTGTATATAGCTTTGAGTTTTAAAAATGTTTTTTAAAACTGTGTGTGCGTGCACATGTATGTGTACATGCACATATACATACACACATAACATTTAAGCACTCCGCTTTGTTCCAAACACTATTTTAGGGTGGTGATAACAGCAGTGGACAAAATAGACAAATCCCTTCTCTTATGTTGCTTAGATTGGGGGTGCAGGTGTAGGGAGAGATGGTTAACGGTAGTAAATAAACCAACTATATGGCCTTTCAGAGGATGGTACATGCTATGAAAAAATAAAGGTAGGGGATAAAGGAATATAGGGATGATTGAGATATATATCTATACTTTAGATTGTTTTCTGTATAGATAGGCTCAGTTGTGTCTTTTTCTTTAAAAGTATTTAAATATCTTGAACTTACAATTTTCAGATGTCTCTCTAATTGATGGTTTGTGCATGTCATTAAATGTCATTCAGAAATATTTAAGGGCTACGTATATTCTGTTTTATAAAGTGTGGTCCATTTACTACATAGCAGCCAAGGTGCTCTTGTAAAACCCTGCAGCCGCTATTGCTCGTAGAAAAAGGACAGATCCTTGACACGACCCCTAAGACTCTGCATGATCTGGCGCTTGACTCCTTGTACATAAGAATTTGTCACTCACCACCTCACTCACTGTGCTTCAGCCTCACTGGCCTTCTCTGTGTGGTCTCCTCGTCTCAGGCTCCTGGTGTACACAGCAATCCCCCATCATCCATGGTTTTGCTTTCTGCAGGTTCAGTCACCTACAGTCCAACTGCAGTCTGAAAATATTAAGTGGAAAATTCTAGAAATGATTTCTAAGTTAAAATGAGTTTTTAAAAACGTTTTAAATTAGTTTTCAGTAGTAGTCTAACACTACATCACAGTGCCTACCTTATTCACCTCACTTCATCACATCATGGAGGCATTTTCTCACATCACAATAAGGGTGAATGCGGTATATTTTGAGAAAGAGACTAGAGTCACATAACCTGTCACAGTATATTGTTATATTTGTTCTATTATTGTTACTTATTGTGCCTAATTCGTAAATTAAGCTTTATCATAGGTATGTACGTATAGGAAAAATATAGCATACACAGGGTTCAATAGTGGTTTCAGCCATCCACTGAGATTGTCTTGAAATGTATCCCCTGTGGATAAGGGAGAACTGCTGTACTTGGGGAGGGAGTAAATATGAATAGTAGAAGGTAATGATTATTTCAGCTGTTGAGGAAGGAAGGTTTTTGTTGTTTTTTTTTTAAGCCTTAGAAGAACCTAACCATATTTGTTTTACATTATATACATCCCTGACCTGTAGTGCCCTCTTCTTTATCCAACTTTTTATTATAAAATTTTTCAAATGTATAGAAAAGTTGAAAGAGTAATACAGTGGCCATCTATATACCTTCAACCCAGATTCTGCAATATTTTGTAGTATTTTCTCTTGTTCTTTTTTGTTTTTTTTTTTTTTGAGACGGAGTCTCGCTCTGTCGCCCAGGCTGGAGTGCAGCGGTGCAATCTCGGCTCACTGCAAGTTCCGCCTCCTGGGTTCATGCCATTCTCCTGCCTCAGCCTCCCTAGTAGCTGGGACTACAGGCGCCCACCACCACACCCGGCTAATTTTTTTTTGTATTTTTAGTAGAGACAGGGTTTCACCGTGTTAGCCAGGATGGTCTCGATCTCCTGACCTCGTGATCCGCCCGCCTTGGCCTCCCAAAGTGCTGGGATTACAGGCGTGAGCCACCGTGCCCAGCTGGTTTTTTTCCTGTTCTTTAAATCTTGTTTTCTGAACCATTTGAAAGTATGTTGCATATATCATGACACTTCACCCCAAATGCCATTTATAAAATGGAGATTGTTTTCTTGACTGTTAAAGATAAGAGGTAATTATGTGAATTTTTTTTTCTTTTGAGACAGAGTCTTGCTCTGTTGCCCAGGTTGGAGTGCAGTGGCGTGATCTCCGCTTACTGCAGCCTCTGTCTCCCGGGTTCAAACAATTCTCCTGCTTCAGCCTCCCGAGTAGCTGGGATTACAGGCACCTGCCACCATGCCTGGCTAATTTTTGTATTTTTAATACAGACAGGGTTTTACCATGTTAGCCAGGCTGGTCTTGAACTCCTGACCTCAGGTAAGCCACCACGTCTGGCCTGTGTGAAATATTTTGTACAAGAAAACTACAAATAAGATTTTTTAAAGCAGTGAGTGTTCACTATAATATTGATACACAAAATTTTGGTTTCACAGTTACGAAAAGTGGATATAACATAAGGGAAGTTTTTTTCTACAGAACTATTCATACAAGAGGATATAAATGGTAACTAAGGGTATGAAAATCTTCAGCTTCTCTAATAATGAAAGGTATAGACTAGCTGCCATGCATTGGGTACTAGTACATCTTGGGCATGTTAACCACAATCCCACGTGGTAGGTATGTAATACACATTTACAAATAATAAAACTCTTGCTGGAAAAGAATAAATAATTTATCCCAAGTCCCAAAGTCATAGAGTTAGTAAACTGTGGAGCCAACATTCAAATACCAGGGAACTCTTGATTACAAAATCCATGTTCTTTATTTTTTCTTTTTTTGAGACAATATCTCACTCTGTCACCCAGGCTAGAGTGCAGTGGTGCCATCTCAGCTCACTGCAACCTCTGCCTCCTGGGTTCAAGCGATTCTCTTGCCTCAGCCTCCTGAGTAGCTGAAACTACAGGTGTGCACTACGACACCTGGCTAATTTTTGTATTTTTAGTAGAGACGGGGTTTCACCATGTTGGCCAGGTTGGTCTTGAACTCCTGACCTCAAACGATATACCCTCCTTGGCCTCCCAAAGTGCTGGGATTACAGGCATCAGCCACCACACCTGGCCAAAGCCCATGTTCTTAACCACTATACTATATTGCTTGTAAAAATCAGAACTCCTTAGGGGTCATGTTTTATACCTAAAGAATTAATTTTATTATGGTTTATTTGAAAAAAATAAATGAGAAACCTGATAAGGAAAAAGTATGAGTGGGAAATTACCATACTAGATAATAAAATGCAGTATGAGGCTACATTGTTCTTCTTCTTTATTTATTTTTATTTTTTTTGAGACAGGGTGTGGCTATGTTGCCCAGGCTGGTCTCGAACTCCTGGGCTCAAGTGATCCGCCTGCCTTGGCCTCCCAAAGTGCTGGGATTACAGGCGTGAGCCACCGTGCCCAGCCCAAGGCTGTGTTGTTTAAAACACATTAAATACTGGCATAGGAGAGAGTTGAGTGGAATGGGAAAAGAAAAAAAAAAAAAAGCTTGAAAATACTCCCAGTTGCAAGTGAAATGTATTTTAAAATATAGATAATTTTTTAAATTTTTTATTATTATGGGTACATAATAGGTATAGATATTTAGGGAGTACATGTGATGTTTTGATAGGGGCATACAATGTGTAATAATCACATCAGGGTGATGGGGACATACATCACTTCAGCATTTATCATTTCTTTGTCTTAGGAACTTTCCAATTCTACTCTTCTAGTTATTTTAAAATATGTAATAAATTATTGTTGGTTGTCATCATCCTGCTGTGCTATCAAATACTGTTCAAATCTTATTCATTCTATCTCACTATATTTTTCTGCCCATTAACCATCCCCACTTTTTCTACCCCTCCCCAGTACCCTTCTATTGTTTTAATGAACAATTGAGTTCAATTGTTTTAATTTTTAGCTCCCACATAATGAGCGAGAATATGCGAAATTTTTTTTCTGTGCCTGGCTTATTTCACTTAACATAGTGTCCTCCAGTTCCATCCATGTTGTTGCAAATGATAGATGTTTTCATTCTCTTTTATGGCTGAATAATATTCCATTGTGTGTAGTTCCACATTTCCTTTATCCGTTTATCTGTTGATAGACATTTAGGTTGATTCCAAATCTTGGCTATTGTGAAAAGTACTGCAGTAAACATGAGAGTGCAGATACCTCTTTGATATACTGATTTTCATTCTTTCGGGTATATACCTAGCAGTGAGATTGCTGAATCGTATGGTAGTTTTATTTGTTTCGATTTTTGAGGGACTTCCATACTGTTTTCCATAGTGGCTGTACTAATTTACATTCTCACCAACAGTGTGTGAGGATTCCTGTGGGAACATTTTTAATGATTAAGGAGAACAGATTATTTCATCCATGACATTAGGACAGATGGCTCACTATTTGGGGAAAAAAGGTAGATCTTTATCTCTTCTTATAGAAAAAATAAATTACAGATGTAAAAATAAACTATTAAAAGGGGTAAAGACCTGACAAAGGTGAATTTGTTTCATAATCTTGAGGTGGGAGGATGTGGTAATATGTGAAGTATTCATTTTCTGACCAACTAATAGTCTCAGACATTGGTGTATGCTTTTTTTTTTTGAGACTGTTGCTCAGTTACCCAGGCTGGAGTGCAGCGGTGCAGTCTCGGCTCACTGAAACCTCCGCCTCCCAGATTCAAGCGATTCTCCCTGCCTCGGCCTCTCAAGTAGCTGAGATTACAGGCACATGCCATCACACCCAGCTAATTTTTGTATTTTTGTATTTTTAGTAGAGATGGGGTTTCACCATGTTGGCCAGGCTGGTCTCAAACTCCTGGGCTCAAGGGAGTTTAAGCCTCCCAAAAGTGCTGGGATTACAGGCATGAGCCACCACGTCCAGCCGACATTGGCATATTCTGTTCTCAACTACAGCTACCTCTCATTTGGACCAGGTGCCAGATATCAGAACTAGTTAAACAAAATAAACGAATGCTTGAATGCTATGTTCTAAAGGCATCACCAGGAGTAAGACAGATTTGCAACAGTCCAAAAGGTAAAACATCTAACTTATATGTTCACCTACACATAGAAATTAAGGGTTAAGAGATTAAGGGTTGTGAGCTGGGAACAAAAAGCAAACTATGAATCACGTGTCTTGCTTCCGTACTCTCTCCTTGAGTTTGGTGTGTGTGCTAAGAATATTTCTCTTGACATTTGAGGATATCTGAGAGTTCAAGAGCACGCATGTAACTGACATACACTGGGGTTGGCAAAAATGCCCTGTGTCAGTGGGCATTCAGGGCCAGTAAATATGGCAATAGACTACCAAAGTAGAAGATAGAACTTGCTGTTTAGTGACACTGTTTTCCCCACCCCATATACACACATAAAGACTTAGTTTCTACCAGCTCCCAGGAGTCATTAGGCATTCTGAGGGTTTAGAATCAAAAATCAAATTGAGTATGAATAAGAAAAATGCAACACTTTTGAAAATGAGCAAAGAAGAGCAACATTTGAAAGAAAAGAAACTTTATCATTTGTAAAGAAATTAACCTAAAGTAACAAGAAGGGCAAAGAGTTTTAAACTCAAAAGGAATATTGAGAAATAGTTACTTAAGGAATGAGGAATATGTGTTGTTACAACCTTAGATATACCCTTTGAGCACTTCCATTTGTAGTTGTCCTACAGATGCCTTCACAAGTCCACAAAGATATCTTGTACATAGTAATACATGAGTGGTTCTTTGTAGCACTTAGGAGATGGTAGGCATTTAGGTTGTTGCCAGAGTTTTTTCCCTTTCAATTTGTATCTGGTTAAATAAATTTGGTAAGTCCATATAGTGGAATATAATGCAGCTATTGTAAGGAATGTAGTAGAAGTATTGGTATGGAAAGATCTCCAGGTTATATCAAGCAAACCAAAGCTAGGGATAAAGTTCTACATTGTGTATATCTTATATCCATTTATATAGGAATATATATATTCCTTTACATATTTAAATATGTACACATTTGTATATACATTAAAATATTGGGAAGAAAATACACATTCCTAATGGACTACCTATGAAGACTGGAACTTTTCATACTATTAGAATGCTTTTTATCCATGAACTTGTTTGTGTGTGTGTGTGTGTGTGTGTGTGTGTTTGAATTTAATAAGGCATATACCAAAATTCAGTGTTGATAGGCCTGGATGAGACTAATACCTTTATATGGCAGTTGGTAGTATCACAAACTAGGAAAAGCTTTCTGTGTGGTGGCTAAACCAGAACTTATTTTGAGCACCTGTTATATGTCAGGCATTATACTAAACATTTTATTCACATTTATCTTACTTAAATCTCCAACTCTGTACAGTAGATTCTTTTTTTCTCTTACTGTAGGAAATAGATTTAGAAGACTGGTTTCTTGCCGGGAGTCACAAACTGTTTCAGTATCGGAGTTGGGTTCTAATCAGACAGCCTGAGTCCAGAGAATGTGCTTTCTGCCCCTACACATACTCTGCAGCTGCTCAGAAAGGGCTCTGGAAATGTGTATGAAAGGTTATCATTTCAGACAAAAGACCAGGATTTGAGTCTGTCAGTTTCAACTCAAAATGGAGATAACCTCTGCCCTTCTTTGAAGAAACCATATTTAGTTGATTTGTATTCAAATACCTTCTAAATTTATGAAGTATTACATGAATAAGAGATTTGAATCAATAAAATATTTTTAACCATAGCCCACTTTCTTTATATAACAAGTTCAAATGTTTTAACTCCTTCTCCACGTCTCATCCGTAAAATGCAAGCTTTGTTTTTGTCAACTATTTTGAATCTCTTTATATAATTCTGTTTTGGCAATTCCTTTTGCTATATTGAGGAAATATTCAGTGTTTCTGACAAAATTTTTTTTGTTTCTACCTGAACTGATTTTATCACTAGTTGTATCGTGTTAACAACATGCTTTTAAGATCTACTACTAGAATCTCTCTATTTTAAAAACAAATGAGCCAAAAAAACCTTTTTGGCTATATGATCTGTTTACTGCTTTTTAAAAATACATGAACTTACCTGTTTTTTCTTCTTTTTAGGAACATCATCTTCAGCGGGCTATTTCAGCACAGCAGGTGTATGGCGAGAAGAGGGATAATATGGTTATACCGGTCCCAGAGGCAGAAAGTAATATTGCTTACTATGAGTCTATATATCCTGGGGAATTTAAGATGCCAAAGCAGCTCATTCACATACAGCGTAAGTAATGATTCTCTTAATGATTGTATTTTCTATATTTCTCTTATTATGTAACTTGACAGATTTTTATCTCTTCAGGAGCGTTTTTGTTATTTGTTTCATTGACCAGCATCAGCTTAAGAGTTAGTAGAGTCCATTTTCAACTTTTAAAATGATATTTGAGATATCTGACAAGAAAAGATAGCATTTATTATTCTACATTTTTTGTTTCATTCCAGCATACAATCTTATGCTGCTTTAGTCAAGAAGGATAAGAAAAAAAAAAAAAAACTCAGATATAGAAATAGTTTTCTTCCTGTTTAGAATTAATAATATTAATAGTCTTAAAGAACTTCTTGATGTAAGTGAGAGTCAGCAGACTTTTTCTGTACAGGGTCAGATTGTAACTACTGTAGACTCTGTGGGTCATTCTGTCACAACTATTCAGTTCTGCTGTTGCAGTGCAAAATCAGCTAAAGAGAATAGAAAAATGAATGAATGTCGCTGTGTTGTAATAAAACTTTACTGATAAAAACAGATGGCAGGCCAGAATTGGCCCATAGGCCATAGCTTGCCAACCCCAAATCTGTTTTTTCTAGTAGAGTGATGCTAATTTTTAAAATTTAGTGCTCTGATTGGGAACTTATTTCACTTAATAGTGATAGGTTCTTCATAAGCAGTGATCGTTTGATAACTGTGTGACATTTGGTGATGAATAGCTGAGAGCTTTTACTCAATCTCCAATTAATTAACAACTTAAAAACAAATAATTGAAAGGTTAGTAAGGTAAAATTCCTGCAGCTTTCATTGTCTTGTTAATCTTTATGATCAAGAGGTTTTTCTTTTTTCTTTTTTCTTTTTTTTTTTTTTTTTTAAGACGGAGTTTCACTCTGTTGCCCAGGCTAGAGTGCAATGGCGCGATCTCGGCTTACCACAACCTCCACCTCCTGGGTTCAAGGGATTCTCCTGCCTCAGCCTCCCGAGTAGTTGGGATTACAGGCGCATGCCACCACGCCCAGCTAATTTTGTATTTTTAGTAGAGACGGGGTTTCTCCATGTTGGTCAGGCTGGTCTCAAACACCTGTCCTCAGGTGATCCGCCCGCCTCGGCCTCCCAAAGTGCTGGGATTACAGGCATGAGCCACTGTGCCTGGCCTGATCAAGAGGTTTTTCTAGGGGACCATCTAAATTTTTTTTCTTTAGGACAGCGTAAACCTATTTTGTTTTTATTGTTCCTTGCAAGCACATTGAGAAACCAATTTTAACTAGTCTACTTGTGCAGTCACGTTTTGTTACATTTAAGAGACAGACACAGACGTTATAAACAAGTGTGATAGATATTAGAACCTAAAAAGTTGTTTTCCAGAAAATCATGCCAAGGTGGATTTGAAAGCTAAGGATCTGATCTTCCCCATGTATGTTAACTAAAACCACATTCTGTTCTGCTGCCACAAGCTATATTATCTTATAAATGCATGCTTTTAGGTTAAAGCAAGGTTGAGTAAAATAAGATAAAATTATACTAATTTACATTATCATTATGAGAAAAAATTAATACATGTCTTAAAGATGGCTTACTTATTGATGATCAGAATCTATAAAATACATTTGACTGATAACTAGTGAATTATATGTGGTCAGTAAAGTCAAAAGGTACTACTATATTGAAAAAGGAATTGACTCCTGACATTATAATCAAATATTAATAAATGACAGCAGAATTGTAGCTTATTTGGGAGAAAATTTTTTATTGTACAAATTTGAGGTAACTTGTCTTTGGAAAGATGTATACTTTGGAATATTAATAAAGATAATGCTGCTAAATTTGTGTTAGCTGCCCTGTATCTATGGGAGGTTGCAGAGAAATGTACAGAGAAGTCTCCTGCACAGTTCCTCCAGCCTCATCCAGTATTAACTTCATGTACAACTATTGTACAGTATCAAAACCAAGAAATTGAAATTGGTACAATCTAGAGTTTACGCAGATTTCACCAGTTAGATGTGTACCACATATGTGTGTGTGTGTTTGTAGTTGTGTGTAATTTTATCATGTATAGCCCTGCATAACCACCACCACTATCAAGACACTCACCTGCACCATCACCAGCAGATGCCCTCTTCTTACTTCTTTATAACCATATCCCTGCCTCTCCCCATCCCCTGACCATCACTCATCTGTTATCCATCTGTATAATTATGTTCACGGGTGTTACATAAATGGAATCATGCAGTATGTATCCTTTTGAGGTTGGCTTTTTTTCACTCAGTATCACAGGTTCATTCAGTTGTTGGATATATGAATAGTTCGTTCCTTCTTATTGCTGAGCAGTATTCCATGATATGTATACATCACAGTCTGTTTAATCATTCACTCATTGAAGAACATTTGGGTAGTTTCCAGTTTTTGATTATTACAAATAGAGCTGCTATGAATATTCATGTATAAGTTTTTTTGAGAACATGAGTTGTTTGTTGTTGTTTGTTTGTTTATTGAGACAAAGTCTCACACTGTCACCCAGGCTGGAGTGCAGTGGTGCAGTCCCAGCTCACTGCAACCTGCACCTCCTGGTTCAAGCGATTCTCGTGCCTCAGCCTCCCGAGTAGTTGGGATTACAGGTGTGCACCACCACACATGGCTAATTTTGTACTTTTAGTAGAAATAGGGTTTCACCATATTGGCCAGGCTGGTCTCGAATTCCTGACCTCAAGTGATCCACCTGCCTTGGCCTCCCAAAGTGCTAGGATTACAGACATGAGCCACTGCGCCCAGCCAGAACATGAGTTTTTCTTCCTCTGGGGTATATATTCATGAGTGTAGTTGCAGGGTTCATCCATTTTTAGTTTGGAAGGACACTGTTTCCACACTGTTTCCTGGAGTAGATGTACCATTTTATATTATCACCAGGTGTATATTACCCAGTTTCTCCATATCTCTCTAGCACTGGGGGTTGCACTATTTTTTATCCTAGCCTATTCTAATAGGTGTGTAGTAATATCTTATTGTACTTTTCATTTACATTTTCCTAAATGGCTAAAATGAAATATCTTTTCATGTGTTTATTTGCCAGTCTGTACATCCTCTTTGGTGAAATGATCGTGCATGTCTTTTGCGCCGCTCCCCCACCCTCCTTTTTTTTTTTTTTTGAGATGGAGTCTCACTCTGTTGCCCAGACTGGAGTGCAGTGGTACAGTCTCGGCTCACAGCAACCTCCGCTTCCTAGATTGAAGCAATTCTTCTGCTTCAGCCTCCCGAGTAGCTGGGACTACTGGCGCGTGCCACCATGCCCAGCTAATTTTTGTTTTGTTTTAGTAGAGATGGGGTCTCCCCAAGTTGGCCAGGCTGGTCTCAAACTCCTGACCTGAGGTGATCCACCCGCCTCGGCCTCCCAAAGTGCTGGGATGATAGGCATGAGCCACCATGCCTGGCCTCTTTTGCTTACTTTCTATGGGATGGGTGTCTTAATGTTGAGTTTGAGGTGTTTTTAAAAAGATAATATTCTAGACACAGTGTCTTTGTCAGATATATGACTTGGAAAAAAATTTTTTTTTTTTTGAGACGGAGTCTTGCTCTGTCACCCAGGCTGGAGTGCAGTGCAGTGATCTCAGCTCACTGCAAGCTCAGCCTCCCGAGTAGCTGGGACCACAGGCGCATGCCACCAGGCCTGGCTAATTTTTTGTATTTTTAGTAGAGATGGGGTTTCACCATGTTAGCTAGGACGGTCTCGATCTCCTGACCTCGTGATCCGCCCGCCTTGGCCTCCCAAAGTGCTGGGATTACAGGCGTGAGCCACCACCTCCAGCCGCGAAATTTTTCTACCATTTCTTAATGTCTTTTCATCTTTTTTTTTTAATAGACTTTCATGGGACCAAAGTTGTTAATTTTGATGAGATCCAGTTTCTCAATTTTCCTCGTAATGGATCCTGCTTTTGGTGTCAAGTCTAAGGGCTCTTTGCCTTTCCTATGTTCTCTTCTAAAAGTTTTGCCATTTTACATTTAAGTCTGTGGTCCATTTTAAGTTAATTTTTGAATAGAGCAAGAGGTTTAGATCAAAGCTCATTTTTTTCCCTCTTGATATCCAGTTGTTCCAGCATCATTTGTTTAAAAAGCTTTCCTTCCTCTATTGAATTGCTTTTGCTTCCTGGTCAAAAATTAACTGGACATTGTTGTGTGGATCTGTTTGTAGATTCTCAATTCTATTCAATTGATTTCTGTGTTTATCCCAAGACAATATCGCTGTCTTGAGTATTGCAACTCTATAGTAATTTTTAACATCAGGGAGAATGATTCCTCCTGTATTATCTTTCTTTTTCAAGATCGTTTTGATATTTTAAGGTCTTTCCTTTACATATAAACTTTAGAATAAACTTGTCTATGTCTACAGAGAAACTTGCTGATATTTTTGTGGGAATTGCCTTAAGTCTATAGGTCAATTTAGAGAGAACTGACATCTTTTCTATGTGAATCTTCCAGGTCATGAACACAATGTTTGACACTTGAAGTATTCAGGTCTTTTTTTATCTCTTTCATTGACACTTTATAATTTTCATTATACAGATCCTGCACATGTTTTATTAGATTTATACCTGGCTCTCCGCTTAATACTCGAAGCCTTTTTTAAAAGGGTAGTCAATGTGTATATTTTTATATGCATTTGCGTGTATGAGTGGGTGGGCATGTAGGTACGTAGGTAGGTAGGCAGGCAGATAGATAGATAGATAGATAGATAGATAGATAGATAGATAGATAGATAGATATAAATGTGCTTCTAATTCTTTCCTCTGTAAGGCCAAGAAGCAAAAATAAGCAAACATAGCACCTATTCTCTAATTTATTCCCCACTAAACGGCCCAGGAAGCCTTGGAGAAATGGCTGATTACAGGGCTGAGGCAGGGTAGGTACAAGATGGCCCTGTAACATCTTGTTATACTGGATATTAAGCTTCCAAAAAAAATGATGGTGGTGTGTCGTGAAGACACAGGGGTTTCCGCTGGCTAATTCTGGGACAGTTCGCACAACAATAAAAGTACAATAATTATAAACCATTGAAAAAGTAAAAATCGGCGGGACGCGGTGGCTCACACTTGTAATCCCAGTACTTTGGGAGGCCGAGGCAGGCAGATCACCTGGGGTCGGGAGTTCGAGACCAGCCTGGCCAACATGGTGAAACCCTATCTCTACTAAAAATACAAAAATTAGCCAGGCATGGTGGTGTGCATCTGTAATCCCAGCTACTCGGGAGGCTGAGGCAGGAGAATTGCTTGAACATGGGAGGCAGAGATTGCAGTGAGCCGAGATCGCGCCACTACACTCTAGCCTGGGTGACAGAGCAAGACTCTGTCTCAGGAAAAAAAAAAAAAAGAGTTGAATTGATACACTATAGAAAAAATGCAGGAGCGGGGGCGGGAGGGAAAGCATTAGGAGATATGCCTAATGTAAATGACGAGTTAATGGGTGCAGCACACCAACATGGCACATGTATACATATGTAACAAACCTGCATGTTGTGCACATGTACCCTAGAACTTAAAGTATAATAAAAAAAAATTTAAAAAAAATGCTAGAGTTAGAAAATCATTTTTGTGGCCCGGCACGGTGGCTCATGCCTGTAATCCCAGCACTTTGGGAGGCTGAGGCAGGCAAATTCACAAGGTCAGGAGCTCGAGACCATCCTAGCTAACACAGTGAAACTCTGTCTCTACTAAAAATACAAAAAATTAGCCGGGCGTGGTGGCAGGTGCCTGTAGTCCCAGCTACTCAGGAGGTGAGGCAGGAGATGGCATGAACCTGGGAGGAAGAGCTTGCAGTGAGCTGAGATCGCACCACTGCACTCCATCTTGGGCAACAGAGCGAGCTTCCGTCTCAAAATAAAAAAAAAAACTCATTTTTGCAATTATCATAAATCAGGGTTGGATCATACTAGAATCATCAGTGTGTGCTCAATAAGAGAGGAAATTTTGATGAGGAGATTTGCATGGCTTTAAGCTCTCTCCACAAACTACTCATTAATTACAAAGAAGAAGAAAAAATTGGGCAACATCTTGACTGGTGATCAAAATTGTCATTACTTATGAGGAACAGATGAATATTGTGTGCCTCTAGATGTGGATATTCTGAGAAGGACTTAAAAAGTTTACTTTGCAATAACCTAGCCAAGAATGTGTAATCTAATCACAATGGAGAAAAAAATCAGAAAAACACAGAGTGAGGAATGTGCTAATAATAATAATAATGATGATGATGATGATGATGATGGAGGCTTGGGGAGGGGGACATACCCAAAAAACATCAATGTCTTAAAGACAATGGTGGCCAGGCACGGGGACTCACGCCTGTAATCCCAGCACTTTGGGAGGCCAAGGTGGGCGGGCCACCTGAAGTCAGGAGTTCAAGACCAGCCCGGCCAACATGGTAAAATCCCATCTCTACTAAAAATACAAAAATTAGCCTGGCATGGTGGCAAGCGCCTGTAATCCCAGCTACTCAGGAGGCTGAGGCAGGAGAATTGCTTGAACTCAGGAGGCAGAGGTTGCAGTGAACTGAGATCACGCCACTGCACTCCAGTCTGGGTGACAGCGTGAGATTCCATCTCAAAAAAACAAAACAAAACAAAAAAGCCATTATGAATATAATGTACCCTCCTATGGCTTCGAAAATGAAAAAATAAAGAGTGAGCCTGCATAATGAAAGTGCACACAAGCACGAGCACATGTGCGTATGATAAAACAAAATAAAAATTTAACAATAGCTGAATCTGGGTAAAGAGTATGCAGGTGTTCCTTGTACTGTTTTTATTTCAACAACTTATATAAGTTTTGACTTCTAAGTAAAGTTTTTTTAACGGATACTTTTTTCCTAAAGTAGAACCTACATTTTCAATACCTCTCAGAACAGATATCCTGTCTTTGTGCTCTGATTCTGAAAGATTATTTTCTCCTTCCCACTGCCTGCCTCAACATCCCCTGCAGCATATTCTGCTGGTACTGCTTTCTGACAGATAAAATCTATAACAGCAACCAGAGAACTTTATGTACGAAAGATCTTATATCTGAGATTTCAAATCTAATATTCACCATTTTCGCTCCCTAAGTACATTCTGGAAGTGACCCCAAGCTCTAGCTTTTAAGCAAAGGAAACTGAAGATTTCCATGATCTGGCTAGTCAGCGATATCTTTATCTTAGAGCTGAGGCAAGGATGTCAAATACCTATCACCCCATAGTAAATAACATCTTCACAACAGTCTTTTCTGCTGCTCAGAATTGATATCAAGAGCTTTGCAAGTAGATATTATTAATCATGCAGTTAGTGCTCGTGTTAAAACTGGTGTGACAATTTTTCTTCAACCTTGGGTAGTGTTCCTACCTTCCTTCCTTTCAATCAGGGTGTATATTCTGTTCCTAATCCACATTGTGTGCTGTTTCATGGATCCAGATATCCTTTCACTATTTGTTTCCTGTATTTTTAAAACGCTGTTTGAAGTTATGGACATACTCACCGAATGCACACTTAGTTTGAGTCATAAATGGCACTTGTTACGTAGACACTTACATTCCATCTCTATTACTAAACTTTAATATCTTTGTCTTAGATCTAAGGCAAAGATGTCAAATACTTCCCACCCCATAGTAAATATCTATTACTAGACTTTAAATACCACGGTTTGTACCAGACTGGATTTCCTTTAAAAATAATCTAACTGGCCAGGCGCGGTGGCTCACGCCTGTAATCCCAGCCCTTTGGGAGGCCGAGGTGGGCAGATCACGAGGTCAGGAGATCGAGACCATCCTGGCTAACACGGTGAAACCCCATCTCCACTAAAAATACAAAAAATTAGCTGGGTGTGGTGGCGGGCGCCTGTAGTCCCAGCTACTCGGGAGGCCGAGGCAGGAGAATGGTGTTAATCCGGGAGGCGGAGCTTGCAGTGAGCCGAGATCACGCCACTGCACTCCAGCCTGGGCGACAGAGCGAGACTCTGTCTCAAAATAATAATAATAATAATAATCTATTCAATGTATAAGTCCTGTTGTATTTTACTTAGGCTTACTTTATGTCTACATGGCAGTTATGGTATACTTTTTCCTACATCTGTGTATCACACTAATACTGTATTCTGTTTACCTGTATGCATCTCTGGGTTTATTCCTATCAGAATATTTTTAAAGGAGCCAGCTTACACAGTGTAGTTCTCGTTATTATTTAAGAATTATAGGCCAGTTGCGATGACTCATGCTTGTAATCCCAGCACTTTGGGAGGCCAAGGCGGGCAGATCACCTGAGGTCTGGAGTTGGAGACCAACCTGGTCAACATGGTGAAACCCCATCTCTACTAAAAAATACAAAAATTTGCCGGGCGTGGTGGCAGACATGTGTAATCCCAGCTACTCAGGAGGCTGAGTGAGGCAGGAATATCGCTTGAACCCGAGAGGCGGAGGTTGCAGTGAGCTAAGATCACAGCATTGCACTCCAGCCTGGGCAACAAGAGCGAAACTCCATCTAAAAAAAAAAAAAAAAAGAATTATTAACCTGCTAGGTCTCAATTTAATTGATAGAACTTAATTAGAAAAGATGACCTATTTGCCTGTTTTTCTTTAGACCCTTTTTTTTACTTTGAACACATCCAATAACATGACCCAGAAAATCTGAAGATACTCTTAATTCTAGGAACATGATGAATATTTTACATTTTTATTAGCTTGGGTTGAGGTGTTTATTGGAAGCTGCAGATTCAGCTACAGCTAAATTACATAATAAGGTTGTTGGGTGTGGGTTTTTTGGTCAAATGAAATTCCAAAGTGGGTTTTTACATGTTAGCTTTTCTCTAGGGTTTTGGTATTCTATATATGAACAAGATTGGGTACTCTTCCTATTTAATAATTTTTTTTTTTTTTGAGATGGAGTCTTGCTCTGTCGCCCAGGCTAGATTGCAGTGGCGCGATCTCAGCTCACTGCAACCTCCGCCTCCCGGGTTCAAGCAATTCTCCTGCCTCAACCTCCCGAGTAGCTGGGATTACAGGCACCCGCCACCACGCCCAGCTAAATTTTGTAGTTTTAGTAGAGATAGGGTTTCACCGTGTTGGCCAGGCTGGTCTGGAACTCCTGACCTCATGATCCACCTGCCTTGGCCTCCCAAAGTGCTGGATTACAGGCGTGAGCCACTACGCCTGGCCCCTGTTTAAGATTTTATATGAGTTTGCACTGAATAAAAGAAAAGCCTCTTGCAGAGGCAAAAGGGCTCAGACACTCAGGTCCTTGTTAATGTCAGAGGGAAAGACCCTGAGCTCCTTGATTCATATGATAGAAATCATCCTTTTCAGTCTTGATGCAGCCCCTGATATGTTGGGTGTGACTTGCCATTGATAATATAATATCTACCAGAAGCTATGGCAAGTGTATTTTGATGCGAAGCAAGGTGATCCTTGGCAAGCTCATTTTGTTTTAATGAATAATTAGGCTTTGTGATTGTGGTTTGACATGTGATACGATCTAAAGAAGAGGATGCCAAACTGTAGTGTATAAATGAGATCCTAAAAATGAAATATAACCTTAAGAAGCAGAACATTGGCCGGGCGCGGTGGCTCACGACTGTAATCCCAGAACTTCGGGAGGCCGGGGCGGGTGGATCATGAGTTCAGGAGTTCAAGACCAGCCAGCCTGGCCAAGATGGTGAAACCCCATCTCTACTACAAAAAAAAAAACTACGAAAATTAGCCAGGCGTGGTGGCAGGTGCCTGTAATCCCAGCTCGTTGGAAGGCTGAGGCAGGAGAATCGCTTGAACCCGGGCGGCAGAGGTTGCAGTAAGCCGAGATCGCCCCACTGCACTCCAGCCTGGGTGACAGAGAGAGACTCTGTCTCAGGAAAAAAAAAAAAAAGAACATTGAGAACATTGCTAGTTGGTCCCTATCAATTTGGCTTTCTGGATTATTTTCATCAGTGCTCTTTAATAGAACTTTCTATGATGATGGAAATGTTCTGTAATCTGTGCTAATACAACACTAGCCACATATAGCTATTGTAGTACTTGAAATGTGGCGATTGTGACTGAGGAACTGAATTTTAAATTTTATTTAATTAATATAAATTCAGTTAGCCGCACATGGCTAGTGGTTACCATATTAGACAACATAGACCTGCATTATTTTGGTTAGGAACAAAATATATCAAGTGTTTTTAATCTAACAGTTTTAATCAACTTGAGGATCTCTAAAAGCTGTTTACGTAATAATGACAAAATGAGATGATGGAAAATCATTGGAGGGCCCATGATTGCAGGTACTGTGAGTACAGAGATGTTAACATCTAGAAATTTTTATAGTCTGAATACTTACTTATTTTAATAGGAATGTTATAGAAGTGATATAGGTCAAAATAAAAAATAAAACAGTGAAATAATACATTCAACTGTACCAATGTTTTTTTACTTCCCCAGGCCAGACACTGTGTTAAGCTTTAAGCAGAGATGGCAGTATTTGGCAGCTAAATAGTGCCCTTTGTACCCATCACAGACTTTAATGTCTGACTGGGTTTGGAGGTTATTTCCCCCCACTTTAATAGACGTAACATTACAGAGGTGGCATACAAGGTGAAACCTGTTACCCTCCACTTAGCGGTACAGAAGTAAAGAAGGCATGCCTCTCCCTAAAGAGATCACACACATTCTAATAGGGAGGCATGCTTAACAAGCAGATTATAAAGTATGTGAAGTGGGTTCTTAGCCACTAAAAAAGATGAAAGTGGTTAGGAACCACTTCTTGGGTGGGGAAAAATCAAAAAAGGATTCTAGATGAGTGATACCAGGCTGGGTGCTAAAAAGAATAAATAGGCATTTGCCTCCTTGGTGGGCAAGCAGAAAAACAGGGATTTTTGTAAAGGCCTGCAGTCATGAAATAGCATACTGCATGAAATCAATGAAATCTGATGTTACTAGATCATAAAGAACTGATAACACTGGAGAGAATAGGAAAAAAGGGCCTTATACCATTCTAAAGATGTGGACTGTAATGTTAGTAGAAGGAATTAAGTAAGGGAAAGATGTGAGACAAATTTTTATATTAAAGCTATTTAATATTTTGCTTATATTCATATCAACCTAGCTTAATTTTGGTAAGTAATTAAACAACATTTGATAGTAGCAGCGGTTCTTGCAGATCTAAGATCCTCCCATTTCCATCAGCATGACAGTGTTCGCGTAGAGAAACAAACTTCCTAGGCAGGAACATACTCACCGAGTGACAGCTGCTGAAAACTCAAAATCTGAAATGCTCCGCAGTTCGAAATTTTTGAGCACCAATGTGATTCCACGTGTGGAAAATTATACACCTGCCCTCATGTGATGATGGGTCACAGTCAAAACTTCACGCACAAAATTATTTAAAATATTACATAAAATCACCATCAGGCTATGCATATAAAGTATATGTGAAAAAAATGAATTTTGTGTTTAGACTTGGGTCCCACCCTCAAGAAATCTCATTATACGTATTCAAATATTCCAAAATCCAAAACACTTCTGGTCCCAAGCATTTTGGGTGAGGGATTCTCAACCTGTACTGTTATTGGTAGTGGCTTCTAACACTTCAACTTTAAAGACCACTCCCTTAGCTTTTGGTAAAGTAGTTGAATAATCTACAAAATAGGACTTAAATATTATAGAAAAAAATCTTAAAGGCCTTCTCCTTTTATATTATAAAAATTGCCTATGTGATGATTTTTGAGCTATAAAAATGGCACTTCACATGGTTCAACCAAATAAGTTTTAATGATCGCTTTATGTTCTTAATAGGCTTCTAGTGTATTTGCTTTTAGGAGTGGTTGGAGGGTGTCGCATCCATTGTCTTTTATTACTTATATGTATATTCATAGTAAAGATAATCTCCTTTCTTTAACTTTAAATGTGTAAGACAAATCTAAGCTTAGATTGTTTGCGACTCTGAAAACAAAATCCAAGAATTCTTTCTTATTTCTTTAGAAAGTCTAGGTCTTGTTTTTATGCAGACATCTGTGGAGTTTTTGTCGGTGAATTCACACAGTAAATGATTGCATATGGTTCCTTCTGTCAGCTTTTAGTTTGGATGCTGAACAGCCTGATTATGATTTGGATTCTGAAGATGAAGTATTTGTGAATAAACTGAAAAAGAAAATGGACATCTGCCCATTGCAATTTGAGGAGATGATTGACCGCCTAGAAAAAGGCAGTGGTCAGCAGGTACAACTTCATTTGTATATAACAAGTATATACATATTCTATGTAAAGAACTGTATTGTATGGAAAGAGTGTGAGATTGCAGGTTGGGGGTAATCAGTCAGGCTTTAGAGTTAAAAAGTATGAATTCAAATCTCATCTCTGCTTATCAGTAACCTGTGTAATCTTGAGCAATATGTTTAAATTTTTCTGTGCCTTGGTTGCCCTGGGATTGTCGTAAAGATGAAATAATGTATATAAAGCACCCTAGTTCAGTGACTGACAGGCATAATGTACTCCTCAAGTTTCCCATTTGTTAATAATGTTGTAATATTGATTATTGTCCTTTAAATTTAGAAGTAAATACTTATGAACCTTGTATGTGTATTGTATGAAAATGACATAATGGTTTTACATTTAGCCAGTCAGTCTGCAGGAAGCCAAACTACTGCTAAAAGAAGATGATGAACTAATTAGAGAAGTTTATGAATATTGGATTAAAAAGAGAAAAAACTGTCGAGGGCCATCTCTTATTCCATCAGTAAAACAAGAGAAGCGAGATGGTTCCAGCACAAATGATCCTTATGTGGCTTTTAGAAGGCGTACTGAAAAAATGCAGACTCGAAAAGTAAGTGAATTTGAAGAATTTTTTTGATAATTATATAATAAAAATTATTTATAGTTATGACTGTCTCAATACTGTGGTTTAATTTATATTCAAATATGACTTTCCAATTATAAGAAAAATACTTAAATTGAACTTAAGATTTATTATGCAGCTATTAATGTTATATTTTAATGTTAATCCATTTAAAAATCAATACAAAATTGATTTCCTGGTGATCTGTGCTCCCTTTTATTGTCTTTAAATTCTAATTTAACCCTTCAAATATATAAATTTTATGGGTCAATAACTATACCACTAGTTAGAAATACTTACTAACATTAAACAAGCAACTTCACATTTGCAGAATCGCAAAAATGATGAAGCCTCTTACGAAAAAATGCTTAAGCTGCGACGAGATCTAAGTCGAGCTGTTACTATTCTAGAGATGATAAAAAGAAGAGAAAAAAGTAAAAGAGAGCTATTGCACTTAACACTGGAAATTATGGAAAAGAGGTAATGTATATTTTAATAATGTTAGAGGAAGTATAGTGCCATTAACATTTTGTATATTGAGTTAATTTATTTCCTATGCAATAATCTAATTACAGAAATATCTTTTTTTAATAATAGAGACTTTAAATATGTGGTATGATACTTTTTATACTTTTACATGTTTTCCTCTATTTTCTTTAAAAGTGACTGGATTCACTTAAGTTAAAACATACCAAGTATTTCCATTTCAAAGTGGTCTTTTTTGGTCCTTGAGTTGCATGTAGGACTTGAGTTAATTGATAGTACTGCTTCTTTTTTAATGCATATAAAATTTAAAACACTGGATTGTTAAATAGAAAAGGGTAAAGAAAGAGGGAGAAAGGCCCATATATCTTACCACTCAAGCATTTGGCAAGGTACACAATGAAAACTTAAAGAAAACTTCTGCCCTATTTCTAGTCCCTATCCCCAAAGAAAACCACTTTTAAATTTCTTGTGATTACTTTTAGAAAAATTAGTTTTAAAGCCCAGGCAATTCTAATTAGCAGAAAGATCCTTAGCACCATTTTAGGCATTACTTTCAACTTCACCAAATCTTTCACCAAAATTGCTACATTAAAATTCCAGCTTTTGATTTTTTCCCAACAATCCTCTATTTATATGCCATGATAAAGCTATAAGCCAAAAAAGTAAAAGGAAGAAACAAAAGGAATTATGTAATCTTTGAGAGAAATTGAATAGTCAAAGTTTAACTACAATCTTGCCTTAAATGTAATTGGTGTTTATAATTATATCTCAGTCAGCTAGTTATTAATGGTTATAAAGATAAATACTTATAAAACTAACTTTCCAAAATTTTCTTCTTTTTCCTGCTTTATTTAGGTATAATTGACAAATAAAAATTATATATTTTATATGTTGGTCAAAGGGTACAGACTTACAGTTATGAAATGAATACATTCTGGAGACCTAATGTACAGCATGGTTAATAACAATGTATTATATACTTGAAATTTGCTAAGAGTAGATCTTAAGTAATCTCACCACATATACACACAAGGTAATTATGTGAGGTGATGGATATGTTAATTAGCTTGATTGTGGTAATTATTTCACAGTATAAATGTATATCAAAACATCACATTGTATTCCTTAAATATATATAATTTTAAACTTTCATTTGTATAATTTTAGGTATAATTTGGGCGACTACAATGGAGAGATCATGTCTGAGGTTATGGCACAGAGACAGCCAATGAAACCTACTTATGCCATCCCCATCATCCCTATTACTAATAGCAGTCAATTTAAACACCAGGAAGCAATGGATGTGAAGGAGTTCAAAGTTAATAAGGTGATTAATGTTTTTGTGATAATAGTATCTAATAATGGGATGGTATTTTATCATTAGAATGAAAGTTAAAAAGAAAAACACACATAGGCCGGGCACAGTGGCTCACGCCTGTAATCCCAGCACTTCGGGACACGGAGGTGGGTAGATCACCTGAGGTCAGGAGTTCGGGACCAGCCTGACCAACATGGTGAAACCCCGTCTCTACTAAAAATACAAAAAAATTAGCCAGGTATGGTGGCATGCGCCTGCAATCCCAGCTACTAGGGAGGCTGAGACAGGAGAATTAATTGAATCCAGGAGGTGGAGGTTGCAGTGAGCCAAGATCACACCATTGCACTCCAGCCTGGGTGACACAGCAAGACTCCATCTAAAAAAAAAAAGATAAAAAAAGAAAAATACATATATACCCCACCTTAATGTATACTGCAATGATTGTGCCACAATATGAAGAAAAGCAGAAGTCTATAATTAAAATTTTATTTTTGTTTCTCTTCCTTATAAAGGGAAGCTTTTGTTACTATATCTGATAAAAGGAAAAATATTCCTTTTACAAGTTGTAGGATTATGAAGTATTGAAATAATTCATACAAAATATGGAGAGTTAGGGAGAAAGACATGAAATCCTCCCTGATCAGATGAGTTTTTCTTTCTTTCTTTTTTTTTTTTTTTTTTTTTTTTTGACAGAGTCTTGCTCTGTCACCCGGGCTGGAGTGCAGTGGCCGGATCTCAGCACACTGCAACCTCCACCTCCCGAGTTTAAGCGATTCTCCTGCCTCGCCTCCCCGAGTAGCTGGGACTACAGGTAGCACGCGCCACCATGCTGGGCTAATTTTTGTATTTTTAGTAGAGGTGGGGTTTTGCCATGTTGGCCAGGCTGGTCTCAAAACCCCTGACCTCAGGTGATCCGCCCGTCTAGGCCTCCCAAAGTGCTGGGATTATAGGCGTGAGCCACTGCACCCAGCCTCAAATGAGTTTTTCTGTCTTTTGTGGACACAATAGTGTATAAGAGGGAATTTTGATATCTTAATAGTAATATAATGATTTAGAAATGGAAATATTTGACAAATTAGTACTTAACTAAGTCACAATTTGTGAAGAATAAAATTTGTGAGAGGAAATAAAATTAGTGAAGGAAAACTGAGGTAAATAAAGGAGAGCCATTAATTAAGTGGCACTTTCTTGGAAAGTGTACATCTGAGGAAAAAGTACGTTATGCATTTTTTGTATGAAATTTTTCATGGCCGGGCACGGTGGTTCATGCCTGTAATCCTAGCTCTCTGGGAAGCCGAGGCAGGCGGATCACAAGGTCAGGAGATCGAGACCATCCTGGCTAACACGGTGAAACCCTGTTTCTACTAAAAATACAAAAAAAATAGCCGGGCGTGCTGGTGGGCGCCTGTAGTCCCAGCTGCTTCAGAGGCTGAGGCAGGAGAATGGCGTGAACCTGGGAGGCAGAGCTTGCAGTGAGCCGAGATCGCGCCACTGCACTCCAGCTTGGGCTACAGTGCGAGACTCCGTCTAAAAAAAAAAAAAAAATTTCATGAAACTTTGCATCTACCATACCAGTTTAATTTGAGGAATGGGAAAATTTGCCATCAGTTTTATCTCCCCTGCATCATTTAATATCATGCTCACTCAGGTTTTTTTTTTATTGTGGTAAACAGACCTTCAAGCCTGAATGTACAACCTGCCACACAGTTAGAATGAATGATGATTTCCCCAGCCTGGACTTTTTTTGCAGGGGGAGGCGGGGAGTTATTTAAAGCAGTGCCAGGGACCAGACCATTTTGTGAAAAAACATGGACTTTTTTTTTTCCCACTTTGTTAACATGGACATTTTGATTTTTAAAAAACGTAGGGGAGGGTGGGAGGGAGAGTAGAGTTATTCTCGTTATTCTCTTCAATGATCTGGAAAGTTAGAGCTGTGCCCCAAAATACTGTTTTAGTTTACTCATGTAAGTTTTTATTTAAATTTTGCATTTATTTAAATTTTATGTCCTGCATTTGTAATATATTAGTTCTAAATGTATCTTTAAAGTTTAATGGGATTGTTCCCACTGTTACTTTTTTTTTTAAGGCAGAGTCTTGCTCTGTCACCCAGGCTGGAGTGCAGTGGCGCAATCTTGGCTCACTGCAACCTCCGCCTCCTGGGTTCAAGCGATTCTCCTGCCTCAGCCTCCCAAATAGCTGGGACTACAGGCGCATGCCACCACGCCTGGCTAATTTTTTGTATTTTTAGTAGAGACAGGGTTTCATCGTGTTAGCCAGGATGGTCTCAATCTCCTGACCTCATGATCCTCCCGCCTTGGCCTCCCAAAGTGCTGGGATTACAGGCATGAGCCACCCCACCCGACCTCCCACTCTTAACTATTTTAATGTGGTCCCCCCCTCTGAGCCCTACATGATTTTGTGGACTACTTTAGTGTTATCCTTCAGTTATCATATTTTAAGATTAATTATCCTATTATTTGCTTTCCTCTATATGTGCCACTCATACTTGAAAGTTACTTTAGGCCGGGTGCAGCAGCTCATGCCTATAATCCCAACACTTTGGGAGGTAGAGGCAGGCAGGTCACTTGAGGTCAAGAGTTTGAAACCAGCCTGGCCAACATGGCGAAACCCCATCTCTACTAAAAATACAAAAAATTAGCGAGCGCAAATTGCTGTAAATGGGTAGTAATAGCACCTAAGCATAGCATAAGGCTTTGAATTAGTAGGTACTTGGGAGGCTGAGGCAGGAGAATCACTTGAACCTGGGAGGCGGAGATTGCAGTGTGCTGATACCGCACCACTGTACTCCAGCCTAAGTGACAGAGCAAGACTCCATCTCAAAAAAAAAAAAAAAAAAAAGAAAAAAGTAATAGATAATAATGTAGTCCTCAAGCACTGCCCTAGCTGACAGCTGATGTTAGCTTTTAAATAATGTTTTGCATTGCCATGGCCAACTTTTGATTTGATTATCCTGTCAAATACAACAGTAGAAATTGTGGAGAGATGCCTTATGGTTTGGGAAAACCGTAGTTTTCCCAAAAAACCATAATGTCATAAACTACATAAAATGTAACATGAATATTTAGCGTATTTACATAACCGTGGTATTTGCCGTGATCTTTTTCTTTCCAACAAATACAATTTTTGCCACTACTTTACCTTACCTATTGCCTACGTATCAAATTCATACTTCTCCCAACCTTTGCCATCATCTGCAATACATGTTTCGAACATGCTGTGTTCCATCAGCTCAGTTACTGTTGCCTGTATATTTTATCCTGCATTTCCCCTATTTAATGATTTCATATCTTTATCCTTTAAAACTGTTCAAAAGTCACCATTTCAGAAAGCTTACATTGTTCAGCCCACAAATCCTTACTACTCTTTATTTGTATAACCCCTCACTCAGCATTATGGCTTTGTTTTCTACTATGTTAACAGTTTTCTGTAGTTTGCTTTCTGTGTATACGAAGACATTTTCATTATTATTTGTCCTATATTTATTATTTGTTGAGAATAAGGATTAGACAATCCCCTTTAAAAAAAAATTCTCTTCTAGAATTTTCATAGAAAATTAAGAAAATGGGAGGAGCCAGCAGTAAATACACTAATTGCAGTTGTAAGACTTCAGAAGTTGGAGAACTTCTGTTCTCTCCTTTTAATTGAAACAGAATCATTTGTGTGATTATGTTTAGATTGTAGGACAAATTTATGCTTTCATGGAGGCCAACTTCTCTAGACTTTACACTATAAGATGGCCAAACATAGAGTGTTGTGTCTCTTATGAATATGAATGCCCTCATTATAGCAATAAACTTCTTTTTAAAATTTCCCCCAAAACTGCAAATTTGTTGAACATGGTTTCTGGTGTATAATTAATTCATGTCTTTGTTGCAGCAAGATAAAGCCGATCTTATCCGACCGAAACGGAAATATGAAAAGAAGCCCAAAGTCTTACCATCGTCTGCCGCTGCTACTCCCCAACAGACGAGTCCTGCTGCACTGCCAGTCTTCAATGCTAAAGATCTGAATCAGTATGACTTTCCCAGCTCAGACGAAGAACCTCTCTCCCAGGTACAAATACAATTCTCTATGAACATTGAGGAGGGATGTAGGAAGTCACGTATCTGACCTACTTTCTTTATTTCATTTAAAGGTTTTGTCTGGCTCTTCGGAAGCTGAGGAAGACAATGATCCTGATGGTCCTTTTGCTTTCCGTAGGAAAGCAGGCTGTCAGTACTATGCTGTAAGTTTCAGAGTGTCTTTGTAAATAACAAACTATTTACCTTTAACTGACAAAATTAAATAATTTGGATTTTTTTTTTTAAGCCTCACTTAGACCAAACTGGCAACTGGCCTTGGACTAGTCCTAAAGATGGAGGATTAGGGGATGTGCGATATAGATACTGCTTAACTACTCTCACCGTACCCCAAAGGTGTATTGGATTTGCACGAAGACGGGTTGGGCGCGGTGGAAGGTAAGGTATTTCTGTATTCCTAGCAGAAGGATATTTTAGGCATTAGGGTGATTGAATCTAACTTTTAAAGTCAGGTAATCCCTCTGAACAACTCATTAGTTCCTATTTGCTATTCTTAACTGATCTGTTGACTAAAATATTTTTGTTGCTGTGCTGCCTGGTTCTTACACATCCATAGTTTTTGACATAACTCTATTGGGTCCCTAGTGGACCTGCTTTTCTCCCCAAGGTGGAAAACCTCAGATAAATTATCAAGGGGTAGAATTGTGAGAAAGGGCAACAGATGAAGACAAGTGTAAATCCTGATTGCACACAGTGTATTAAGTTAAAGAAACTGCAAAAAAGTTGTTTCACACTAGCTAGTATAATGGGTTTAACCTGACAGTGAAAAGGATCCATGCATAACCTGATCTTGACATCCCAGTTTGTTAGGATCTAATTGTTCTTCCTTTGTTTAAACCTTGTAGAATTCCTTCCTTCATACTCTAAATGCCTTTATGCGAGTTGCTTGTATGGGGACAGGAAACAAATAGCAAAACACATAAACTCAAGGAATGGAGAGACGTTAATGTATAATGTGCGGGGAAAATTAAAAGGGAAAGCAAATAATAGTATCAAGGTGCTTTTTCAGGAAGAAACCCAAGCGTATATTTATGATAAACTAATGGCTTATACATATATTTTTTTCATCTTCAACTCTTAATTGCAGAGGGTTTTTTTTTATTATTTAAACATTGGTTAAGAATTATCTAGGCACTAAAATACATTTTATTTAGTCCGTTTTTTTCCATCACTGCTGACATCAGGAGCAGTGAAAATTCTCTACGTTAGCTATATTTTATTCTATTACTAACATTAATCAATGTTATTATTTTGACTTGGAGCCATTTATAATGTTTATATAAATAACATAAGAGGCCAGGCATGGTGGCTCACACCTGTAATCCCAGCACTTTGGGAGGCCAAGGTGGGTGGATCACTTGAGGTCAAGAGTTTGAGACCAGCCTGGCCAACATGGGGAAACACTGTCTCCACTAAAAACACAAAAATTAGCTGGGCATGGTGGCAGGCGCCTGTAATCTCAGCTACTCGGGAGGCTGAGGCAGGAGAATCACTTGAACCCTGGGGCGGAGGTTGCAGTGAGCCAAGATCGCACCATTGCACTCCAGTCTGGGTGACAGAGTAAAACTCCATCTCTCTCAATCAATCAGTCAATCAATCAATAACATAAGAATATATCCTCTAGAGTAGTGGATCTCAAATATTTTGTCTATAAGAAATGTTAATGGTATACTATGTTTTTTGTTGCTTTTCTTCTCTCTTCTCCCTTTCCCCCCAAAAGGAATGAAGTTTTTGCTTAAATATAGAATAAATGTGTTCGCAACATTTTATAAAGCATTCATTTTGGTGCTTTGTAATGGAAGTGAAAATCTTTAGTTGAAAAACAATTTGTTAAAAGAACTTTTATTAGAAATTGAGGTTGTAGCCTATAAAAACCAAACACTAAAATAATCAACTTTAAAGCTTTTAAATATTCAGTATGAGTTGGCCTTTTGGCAGTTGGGGGTAAAAAGAAAAAGCTTTAATATATAATCTTTGAATAGCTATTTTAAATAACTGTTTCTTGTCTGATTTTTTAATAGGGTCTTACTGGACAGAGCTCATTCAGACTATGACAGTGTGTTTCACCATCTGGATTTGGAAATGCTTTCCTCACCACAACATTCTCCAGTCAATCAGTTTGCCAATACCTCAGAAACAAATACCTCGGACAAATCTTTCTCTAAAGACCTCAGTCAGATACTAGTCAATATCAAATCATGTAGATGGCGGCATTTTAGGCCTCGGACACCATCCCTACATGACAGTGACAATGATGAACTCTCCTGTAGAAAATTATATAGGAGTATAAACCGAACAGGAACAGCACAACCTGGGACCCAGACATGCAGTACCTCTACGCAAAGTAAAAGTAGCAGTGGTTCAGCACACTTTGGTATGTTGACTGTTAATGATGTACGTTTCTATAGAAATGTCAGGTCCAACCATTTCCCATTTGTTCGACTATGTGGTCTGTTACATTTATGGCTTAAAGTCCTTTTCTCTTAAACAGTTAAAAAAAAAATCTTGGTCTAAGTATTTATTTGAATCCTGTTGCTATAGGAGTTTGTATGTGTGTGTCTTCATTTAAACATACCTGCATACAAAGATGGTTTATTTCTATTTAATATGTGACATTTGTTTCCTGGATATAGTCCGTGAACCACAAGATTTATCATATTTTTCAATAATATGAGAAGAAAATGGGCCGTAAATTGTTAACCATTTTATGTTCAGATATTTCTCTAGTTTTTACCTAGTTTGCTTTAACATAGAGACCAGCAAGTGAATATATATGCATAACCTTATATGTTGACACAATAATTCAGAATAATTTGTTAAAGATAAACTAATTTTTCAGAGAAGAACATTTAAAGGGTTAATATTTTTGAAACGTTTTCAGATAATATCTATTTGATTATTGTGGCTTCTATTTGAAATGTGTCTAAAATAAATGCTGTTTATTTAAAATATTCCTATAATCTTAGCTGTCTGTTTTAAAGCATAAGTTTGTGTTATTTGAAGCCTATATATTGTAGAAATTCACCATTGAATTATGTTACTACTGATTTTTGTAAAGGTAATCTGAGGACTATGAAGATATTTATCATTCCCCTAATTCACCCTGTAGGGTTATAGTTAAGTTGCTTCATAAATATGAACATTTGCTCTGATTCTTAAAGACCTCCAGAAAATGTTCCGTAAACTAATTTACTTGGTGGTTAAAAAAAAGTACAGTTGACCCCTGAACAACATGAGGGTTAGGGGCACCCCCCAATTGCAGTCCAAAATTCATGTATAACTTTTGACTCCCCAAAAACTTGACTAATAGTCTGCTCCTGACCAGAATTACCAATAACATAAACAGTCCATTAGTCCATTAACATAAACAGTCCAAACATACATGTTTTGTATGTTATATGTATTCTGTACTTCATTCTTAAAATAAGCTAGGAAAAAGAACATGTTATTAAGAAATTTATAGAGCCAGGCATGGTGGCTCATGCCTGTAATCCCAGCACTTTGGGAGGCTAAAGTGGGCAGATTGCTTGAGCCCAGGAGTTCAGGACCAGCCTGGGCAACATGGTGAAACCTCATCTCTACAAAAAATGCAGAAATTCACTGGGTGTGGTGGTGAGCGCCTGTAGTCTCAGCTACTCAGGAGACTGAGGTGGTAGGAGCCCAGAAGGTCAAGGCTGCAGTGAGCCAAGATCATGCCACTGCATTCCAGGCTTCACAGCAAAGCAAAACCCTGTTTCAAAAAAAAAAGAAATTCATAAAGGAGAGAAAATACATTTACTAATCATTAAGTGTAAGTGGATCATCATAAAGGTCTTTATCCTTGTCATCTTCACATTGAGGGGGAGGAGGGGTTGGTCTTGTCATCTGAGAGGTGACAGAGGCAGAAGATAATTTACAAATAAGTAGACCCAGGCAGTTCAAACCCATGTTATTCAAGGGTCAGCTGTACTTCTATGAAATGGAAGTCTTTCAGCTCATGAGAAAAATAATCACAATTCAGAAATCAGCTGGAAGATAAAGCTATTTTAGGGACTAACAGCTTATTTATAATCCCATTAATGTTACTGTCTTTATCACCAAAAGCCAGTTTCTCTCTACTTTTAT
This sequence comes from Homo sapiens, assembly GCF_000001405.40. Classification (NCBI taxonomy): domain Eukaryota; kingdom Metazoa; phylum Chordata; class Mammalia; order Primates; family Hominidae; genus Homo; species Homo sapiens. The sequence goes on along the minus strand of NC_000010.11, from coordinate 32,282,967 downwards.
AGTCTTAAGAATCAAAATAAAGAACTTTTCAATAAAGACTTACTTATAGTGTTAGTATAGAGGTTTTAACAGTATAAACCTGTCATAGGTTACCCTGATAATTAAGCTTTCTAAGCTGTAAAAATTCTTTAAGACTTCTCAGAAAATAGGCATGTTCCATCAATCTCCATCTTCTCCACCCCTTAAATAGAGAAGTTGAAGTGTATAACTATCCTAAATATTTAAGGATTTTATAATGCTCTTTTTTTATGAAAAATGTTTTGCTATACTGCTTTAGGCATATTAATAACAGTTGTAAAAATTGTTTGATTTGTGTTTGCCCAAAGAACATTAAAAGATGAGCATTACCAAAAGCTTAGCTGAAAAGAAATCATTAGTAACCTTGTAATTTTTCTTCTTTATCATTTCTTTCCTCCATATATGCGATACAACTATTTATTTATTTATTTAAGACAGGATCTTTCTCTGTCACCCAGACTGGAGTATAGTGGCACAGTCATGGCTCACTGCAGCCTCAACTTCCCAGGCTCAGTGATCCCCCAACCTCAGCCTCCTGGGTAGCTAGGACTGCAGGCGTATGCCACCATGACTGGCTAATTTTTTGTAAGAGATAGGGTCTATGTTGCCCAGGCTAGTCTTGAACTCCTGGCCTCAAGTGATCCTCCTGCCTTGGCCTCCCAAAGTGCTAGGGTTACAGGGGTGAGCCACTGCACCCAGCCTCAATACTACTTTTTAAAAATGAGTTTATCTATTTTTTTTCCTGTTGTCTTAATTATTTTCAATTTCTCCTTAAATTTTGCTAGATCTTCTAATACTTAGAGGATAGATACCTACAGACTACTGTAGGGTAACACTGTTCATTTATATTTGTGAATATTCCAGAGACCTAAAGCTTTTCTCTGCATACTTTATAAAGTATATTACAATGCAGCCATATCATAAGTGCATTTCACTTAATCCAACTCCAGGCCCCTGAAGAAAAAAAAAACAAAATTTAGGCCAAGTGTGGTGGCTCATGCCTGTAATCCCAGTACTTTGGGAGGCCGAGGCGGGCAGATCACCTGAGGTCAGGAGTTCCACACTAGCCTGGCTAATATGGCGAAACCTGGTCTCTACTAAAAAATACAAAAATTAGCTGGGCATGATGGCAGGCGCCTGTAATCCCAGCTACTCAGGAAGCTGAGGCAGGGAGAATGGCTTGAACCTGGGAGTCAGAGGTTGCAGTGAGCCGAGATTGTGCCATTGCATTCCAGCCTGGGCGACAGAGTGAGACTCCATCTCAAAAAAAAAAAAGAGAAAATGTAGCAGCTCAAATGTTATACAGAATTCTAAATACAATTTACTGAAAGAATATATTCTCCAGAGTGAGCCTGGAGTAGGGGAAGTTGAATGTGTTGGTCCTCTTACGGCGTGAGTGCCCGCATTGCCACTTTATTCATAGGTTAAGCATCTTACCTCATTCAGTAGTAATTGTGATTTTAAAGATAATTTTTAATTTTCATACAGCATGGCCCCCACATACAAACCAGACTACTTCCTCTGGCACTTAACCAAAGAAACTCTGATGTAGTCTGATGCCAGCAGAAAAACTGGCAGTGTTGGGCTAATTAAAACAGAAGAGTCAGGCCAGGCACAGTGGGTCATGCCTGTAATCCCAGCACTTTGGGAGGCCGAGGCAGGCAGATTGCCTGAGATCACCTCAGATCAGGAGTTCAAGACCAGCCTGGCCAACATGGCAAAACACGTTTCTATTAAAAATACAAAAATTAGCCAGACGTGGTGGTGGGTGCCTGTAATTCCTGCTACTCGGGAGGCTGAGGCAGGAAAACCACTTGAACCCAGGAGGCAGACGTTGCAGTGAGCCAACATCACGCCACTGCACTCCAGCCTGGGTGACAGGGCAAGACTCCATCTCAAAATAAATAAATAATAAAAATTATGCATGAAACAAAGTATTGACTGCATTTTGACTATGGCCCCATCACATGAGGCCAGGTGTAGAATTTTCCACTTGTAGTATCAGGTCAATGCAGAAAAAGTTTTGGTTCTTGGAGCATTTCAGATTTCAGACGTTCATATTAGAGATGCCCAAGTTGTTTATGAGTTTGGAAGTTAACTATTTTGTAAAATACAAGTCAGCTGATAAGCTTTCCTGCTACTTAAGCCAAATATGCGAGTTATAGTATAGCCATTTCTGATTATTCATTGTTTTTATGTTTGTCATGTTTTTGAGACAGAGTCTTGCTCTGTCTCCCAGGCTGGAGTGCAGTGGCATGATCTCAGCTCACTGCAACCTCCACCTCCCCGGTTCAAGCAGTTCTCTGCCTCAGTCTCCTGAATAGCTAGGATTACAGGCACCCGCCACCATGCCTGGCTAATTTTTGTATTTTTAGTAGAGACGGGGTTTCACCATCTTGGCCAGGCTGGTCTTGAACTCCTGACCCTGTGATCCACCCGTTTCGGCCTCCCAATATGCTGGGATTACAGGCGTGAGCCACCGTGCCTGGCCTTTTTTTTGAGATACAGTTTCACTCTGTCTCCCAGGCTGGAGTGCCATGGCGTGATCTCACTCACTGCAACCTCTGCCTGCTGGCTTCAAGTGATTCTCATGCCTCAGCCTCCCAAGTAGCTGGGATTACAGGTGCGCACCACCACACCCAGCTAATTTTTGTATTAGTAGAGACGGGGTTTCACCATGTTGGCCAAGCTGGTCTTGAACTCCTGACCTCAAGTGATCCGCCTACCTTAGCCTCCCAAAGTGCTGGGAGGCTAAGTTAAATAGGAAATTCTAAATGAAGATAATAGAAGTACATTTTAGTAAAGTGCATGAGCTTTAATATGCTGATTTTATAGTCTGTTTCAACTACTCAGAATCTTTTTTACTTTCCTTCCCACTCTTGACTATTTTGCATATTTGTGTAGCCTGAGCAGTCTGGTATCAGGCTTCCTAATACCTGAGTATTGTGTGAGTTAGGTGTGTTGAGTGCTTGGTCCTCTGGATACCATGCAGCAGGATAACACAGTGGTAAGGAACTGGGAAAGACCGTATGTGTATATGGAATTTTGGGGGCTAGGTTTTAGTACTTAAGGATAAATTGTATATTTTTAATAATCTTCAGTTAATAGGTGATTTTGGACAGTTTCCAAATACAGTTGTTTTTTTAATACTCACAAAAGCACCTTGGGAAGTTGAGTGTTCAGTGACTGACTATGCATTTGCATAAGGACTCTTATGTAAGAGTCCTTATATAATTCAGAAAGACTGGAAACAAAGTGATTTTTAAGCTACAATTCTATGTTCAATATGTGAATTCCTAATTTCCAGTAAAATTTCACCAGCATTCTGAATTATTTTTCTAAGCTCTCATATCTGCAGTAAAGATTTGGTTTATTTTTATAAACGAATAAGAGATATATGGTTAGAATGATATGTTCCAAGTCTTAATATCCGTAACTTAGTGCAATTTAGTTTGCAACATAACATCTTAATCCTACTGTGGAAAAGGAACTCTAGATTTGAGCACTGAATATTTTGTAAGATTTTGTGAATTTGCAGGACCTTGACTTTATTCAAATGTGTTCCAAAATTCATAAGTTTTTTTTCTTTTTTTTTTTTTTTTAAGACAGAGTCTCACTCTGTCGCCCAGGCTGGAGTGCAGTAGCACGATCTTGGCTCACTGCAACCTCCGCCTACCGGGTTCAGCGATTCTCCCACCTCAGCCTCCCGAGTAGCTGGGACTACAGGTGCGTGCCACCACGCCTGGCTAATTTTTGTATTTTTTAGTAGAGACGGGGTTTCACCATATTGGCCAGGCAGTCTCGAACTCCTGACCTTGTGATCCGCCTGCCTCAGCCTCCCAAAACGCTGGGATTACAGGCGTGAGCCACTGCGCCCAGCCTCAGAATTTTTTTTACTATAGAAGGTGGATTATTATATAACATCTGTAGCAGAGTCTGGAGTAGCACCTGTAGTAAAATACATTAATAGTTCTATAGTCATATAATAAAATGCAAGAATATTCACACTAAGAGGAATATTTGACTGCAAATAATCTCATGTTCAGTCATTCACGGCCAGATGAGGTCAGGTCTGGTCATAGTTTGCCAACAAATGAATTAAAACAAACTTTGGTTTTCAAATTAGATTGCTAGATGGCTGATAAGGCTCGTGAACCCTGTCAACTCAATCTCACTAATTAGGAGATCATACTTTAATAACTACCTGAAGAATCATTTTACCTTTTGTTTTATATTAAAATAATGTTTGGCCTGTGTACTAAAAGAAATTTCTAATTCAGGGTCTTTAGGCATTTGGGGTTACTTTTGGTTTTGTTATTAAAAACAAAGTAACGAGGTCAGGAGATCGAGACCATCCCGGCTAAAACGGTGAAACCCCGTCTCTACTAAAAATACAAAAAATTAGACGGGCGTAGTGGCGGGCGCCTGTAGTCCCAGCTACTTGGGAGGCTGAGGCAGGAGAATGGCGTGAACCCGGGAGGCGGAGCTTGCAGTGAGCCGAGATCCTGCCACTGCACTCCAGCCTGGGCGACAGAGCGAGACTCCGTCTCAAAAAAAAAAAAAACAAAAAAAAAAAAACAAAAAAAAACCAAAGTATACATTTTGAGGGGCTAGGTGCTGTGGTTCACGCCTATAATCCCAGCACTTTGGGAGGCCAAGGCAGGTGGATCACTTGAGGGCAGGAGTTCAAGACCAGCCTGGCAAACATGGCGAAAACTCCGTCTCTACTAAAAATACAAAAATTAGCCTGGTGTGGTGGCACACGCCTGTAATCCCAGCTACTTGAGAGGCTGAGGCAGGAGAATCGCTTGAACCCGGGAGGCCTGGGCAACAGAGCGAGACTCCCTCTCAAAAAAAAAAAGTGTACATTTTGGTAATCTAAACTCCATCTTTCACGGCTGAATGTTTCCTTAGCACCCATCACTTTCCCCTCAGCTGCACTCCTTTGATCATCTCAGTTGATCACCTTTAGCTATAAGAGTGCAGTGCACAGAGCAGCAGTCTGAACTATAGGCTGTTCCAGCTGCTGGTGTACCATACCATGGCTTCCCTTTAGTACAAATGGACTCAGAGAGTCTTAGGCCGGGCGCAGTGGCTCATGTCTGTAATCCCAGCACTTTGGGAGGCCAAAGCAGGTGGATTGCTTGAGCCTAAGGAGTTCAAGACCAGCCTGAGCAACATGGTGAAACACCCATCTCTACAAAAAAATACAAAAATTAGCCAGGCATAGTGATGCTCGCCTGTAGTCCGAGCTAGAGCTACTTGGGAGGCTGAGGTGGGAGGATCAGTTGAGCCCAAGGAGGTCAAGGCTGCAGTGAGCCCAGATCACACCACTGCACTCCAGCTTAGGCAACAGAGTGAGACCCTGTCTCAAAAAAAAAATTTCTGCCCAAGAAAATTGGTTACTTAGAAGCTACCAAAACAAAGGTAGTTTCTACTTCTGCCTAAGTATTTCTAGTGAAGCTAAATTCAACAACTTTCTAGATTGAGTTGTTTGAGGATCTTGGTTAGAAAGTTTGTCTATGTATTGAACCAAAAACTGCCTTCTTAAATTAAAACCTGCAGGTCCCTGGTTTGCTCATGGAAGCATACCGAGTGAGTTTGCTCCCCCTTCAGCATCATAATGGCCTTCACCCAGTTGAAGTCCTATCATGCTTCCTTTCCTAATCCCGTTCCTGGTTAAATATTTGGAGCTTTTAATCCTGTCCCACACATAGGATTCTCCTTGCGTAGACCCTTGTTTGTCAGGTGCTCTATGTGTGTGGGCTTTTTAAGCACTTGATTCATATTGTTGGTACCTCAGAAGATAGATTTCTTGTAAATATTAAATCCAAGAATTTTTGTCTATTTTTCAATTTAAAATCTCATTGCTTTGGGGTTCTCTTTTCCTTCCACTGTTACATATGTGTGACCTCAGAAGTTTCTTCATCTCTAGATGAGGTTGTAGGAAGAAATCCTACAATCTCTAAGAGTCCTTCCTGACCTCAAAATTTTTTGGTTTTGTGAAAGGATTCTGACTGTAGGTTTGGTCATCTGTCAACAACAACCATCTTGTCCACCTTTGTGGGAATTACAAACTTGATTCTCATACCATATCAGGAGGTAGACATACAACCTAAAAATGTTCTACCTTGATATCTCAATCCATTCATAGACATTTAGAGAGGGTGAGCATGGTCATTTTTGTCTTATTTCCATTTAGCATTTGGTTAGACTTTCAGGTTATAATGGTATCATGACCTGAGGTTCAGATTTCTTTTGCCCATATTTACTACCTTGGTACAGGTTTTTCTACTCATTCACACTGGGACCTTCTTTAGGAATTGAACTTTATTTCTCAGAAGAATATAAAACCTTAGCATCTCATAGCTGAAGAGGACCTTAATGATCACCTAATTTAATCTCATTCTCATTTTATTTATTTATGTATTTATTTTTAAGATGAAGTCTTGCTCTGTGGCCCAGGCCAGAGTGCAGTGGTGCGGTCTCGGCTCACTGCAACCTCTGCCTCCTGGATTCGAGCGATTCTCGTGCCTCAGCCTCCCGAGTAGCTGGGATTACAGGCATGTGCCACCACGCCTGGCTAAGTTTTTGTATTTTTGGTAGAGACGGGGTTTCACCATGTTGGTCAGGGTGGTCTCAAATTCCTGACCTCCGGTGATCAACCTGCCTCGGCATCACAAAGTGCTGGGATTACAGGCGTATGCCACTGCGCCCAGCCTGTCTTTCTCATTTTAGATGAAGACAGAGTCCCAAAAGATTTACTTTCTCAGGAATACTCAGCTAATTATGATAGAGCTGAGGACTAAGAATGTCAAGGTCTTTTGGCCCCTAGACCATAGTTATTATTACCACCACTTACAGCTTAAGGGTTGCTCTGTGCATTTCTCCTAGACTATTTGCCAAAAGTGTCCAGGAAAAATTTCATAACTAGACTCTGTAGAAGACAGCAATATCTAACAAATAGGCTAACATAGTAATCTAAAATGTTGATTGCATTTTTTTTTTTTTATGAGACGGAGTCTCACTCTGTCACCCAGGTTAGAGTGCAATGGTGTGATATCAGCTAACTGCAACCTCCACCTCCCGGGTTCAAGCGATTCTCCTGCCTCAGCCCCCTGAGTAGCTGGGACTACCACACCCAGCTAATTTTTGCTTTTTCCTTTTTTTTTTTTTAGAAGGAGTCTTGCTCTGTCATCCAGGCTGGAGTGCAGTGACGCGATCTCGGCTCACTGCAAGCTTCGCCTCCCGGGTTCACACCATTCTCCTGCCTCAGCCTCCCAACTAGCTGGGACTACAGGCACGTGCCACCACGCCCGGCTAATTTTTTTTTTGTTTTTTTTTTTTGGTAGAGATGGGGTTTCACTGTGTTAGCCAGGATGGTCTCAATCTCCTGACCTAATGATCTGCCCACCTCGGCCTCCCAGAGTGCTGGGATTACAGGCGTGAGCCACCGCGCCCAGCCAACTTTTGCATTTTTAATAGAGACGGGGTTTCACCATCTTGCCCAGGCTGGTCTCGAACTCCTGACCTCGTGATCCACCCACCTCGGCCTCCCAAAGTGTTGGGATTACAGGCGTGCGCCACCGCGCCTGGCCTTGATTGCATTTTTATTTCCAAGTCTGTATTAGGAAGAAGTTAACAGTTGTTAAGAAGTGAAATTCACAAGATCTTCAAAGACTCAGGATTAAGATGTTAAATAAGGCAAAAATATTTGGACTTTATTCACATTGATTTCTAATTAGCTATTGATAAATGTTTAATTAAACACACACGCCAGCAAAGTTCTACAAAAGAATACTTTCTTTCATATATATGGACTTTAATACATAGACATTCAGTGAATGCTAAATTATTGTTTTTCTATATATGTGATGACCTGACCTTCCAAAAATGGTTTGTTTGCTTTTAAATTTACTGAGCATTCCCTACTAGAAAAGCCAAGGCTTAGGCAAAACACTCAAACTTAGGAAATTAAACTGTAAATCTCACAAATATATTGGCAAAAGTATCTAGTGAGTCAAGGATTCTTACATTTAAATAATTTTCGTGGATTTTTTTTAAACATGAGAAATATTAACTATGAAATTATTTGAGGGCAGCATTGACTTTTTTAGATTTTCTTCAAGTTTTGGTATAACACATTTCTGTTTATATGGAAATGATCATGTTGACAGTTATTTTTATGTCAATATTTAGGGAGCATTCTATTATCAATAAAAATCTTTTCTACAGATTGCAGATTTGTGAATTACGAACATAGTAGGAAAAGGAGCTCATCAAAGGGAAGATATCAACTAAACAGATTTTAACACACACAGAAAATAAGAAAACCAATTTCCAACATTTTTTGCCCTTATAGCCCAAGAACTTAGTTCAACTCAAGTATAAGAACCTGTGTAGATACTAATAACTTATTAGGTTTTCTTGAATATTATTTCACAATTTTCTGATCCATTCAAAACATGGCAGAATTTGTACCTAACCTAATTTTCTAGTTGTACCAGGCAGAAAGTATATCCTGGAGGATAAAGAAAGATTCTTCATGAGTTATATAAGTGAAAAGTATAAAACTTGAAGTGATATTCTAACTAAATTATCAAACTGAAGTTAAACAACAAATTAGGTGACAGTATTTTGAAAACATTAAACTTTAGATTGAGGAAATGTGCATGATTTATAGATTCCCTGGTAGCCAGGGATGCATGATAAATCTTTTTTTGTTTTAAAATAATTCTTACTCAAACATCACAGGCTTCTTAAAGACGCCTTTAAAATCAGAGGTATTGTGATTGTATGTGCTTTTTTTTTTTTTAATTGGCAAAAAAGAGAAAAAGGTTTCCTTTTTAAAAACTGCACACACTTTTTTGGGGGGGTAATAAATGAACATTTTTTTGTTTGTTTTTTTTAGAACTGAGCTCTCCATAGACAAACATAAGTAGCATAACACAGTGTCTTTCCTCAGACATCATTCTGTACAGTAAATCAACATAAACAACTCCGTTCTTATTGACTGGATTTTTTCCAGGTGGGTTAATTGGGTGGGGAAAATTAATTAACCTTAACATTAGAGCCTCTTTTCTTCCTGTTAAACTTAAAGGATGAGTTCTTTAAAAAAAAGCAATAAACCAACCAACAACTGTAATCTTTCATATAGAGCAAATTTTTTTAATGACTACAATTAGAAAATATGTAGAACTATTAGTATATATACACAGAGCCATTAGGGATCATCTGAATGCCTTGGGAAGATATGGATTAAATAGAAACCAAATGTAATTATCAGATATTCTCTCAAGCTCAGTGCAAAGCTGAATTCCAAATCTATGGATTTTAAAAGCTGATATTATCTTTCTACACTGTGTAGAACAAGTGTCACAGCTTAAAAAAAAAATAGTGGTGTTGAAATTTGGGAAGTGAGCAGTTCTCTTTCCTGTGTTTAATTCAGGAAGTTTAATTTTTTTTTTCTTTAAATTCATGCCACTCTTGTTAAATGTGGTAGCAGAAACGCAGAAATTTTCATTTGGAAGTGATCTTTAGCAGGATCATGATCCTTTGTCAGATGCTTCAATTTTGCACAGATTTAATGCAGAATTTTTGTTTTAGTACTGTAAGACATACATGACAGCTGGGCATTTTTATAAAGTGTTTCTTTATTTTATGTTCAGCATTTACAGCCGAACAATACCAGCAACATCAACAGCAACTGGCACTCATGCAGAAACAGCAGCTTGCACAAATTCAGCAACAGCAAGCAAATAGTAATTCCTCCACCAACACATCACAGGTGAGGGATTTGTCTGTCTTATGATTATCCCTCATTGTTTCCCACCAGAGTTCATCTCTAATTACCAACTGTTGTCATAGAACCTTGCATCTAACCAGCAGAAAAGTGGCTTTCGCCTGAATATACAGGGTTTAGAAAGAACACTACAGGTGAGTATGGAAGCTGTTGCCTCTGCTCCCTATTTTAAAAAGTAAAACTAAAGCACTTAGTTAAATGAGATGAAGATACTGTCTTCCCGTCTGACCTGTAGTCCATTAATGTACCTCTTGAATATATAACCCCACCCAGTTCATTCTCTTGGGCATGTTAATTATTATTAAGGCTTTTAACATTATGCAAAAATAACCTCTCCAACTGTTGAAAGAGATAACTTTTAAACCTAAAGCATGATAAACGTTTGCCAGTTAAACACATGTAGGGCATAAAGGCTGAGGTTTGAGTCCCTGCATCTTGCAGGAAAAATATATTTTTAAAAAGTTGAGGGGCCTATCAATTTCTAGGTTAAATTATGTGATATTTTGTTACTTCCATTTCTAAAGGGATAGTTATCTTATCCCAAAGGTGCCTTTCATTGTGTGTGTATACATATGTGTGTGTGTATAAGTTAGGTGAAGGAAGTTTACATATTCATTTATTCATTATATGGATTTGCAAATCACTGAAATGTTTACTAGCATATTTCTTGTCCAACATTTTGTGTTGGAGGTTTGCTGTTTCCACATTATAGAAGGCTTATTTTGGTAATTGACTTATACATATTATATATTGTCACATATGAAGCAAAATTTATAACTTAGATTACTTTTCACTTATCAAATATATGACTATCAAAAGAGATATAATTACTGTTGCATCTCAAGGTACCAAAATAGAAAGATTTCAGTGGTTTGCCATTTTTACTTATATTCAAACTGATTTTGGTATGCATGTGTAGTTTTGATATTGATTTGATACTAAGTGATACTGATTAGATTTCTTTTGTATTTTCTTTTTAGGGTTTTGTTTCTAAGACTTTGGATTCTGCTAGTGCACAGTTTGCTGCTTCTGCTTTGGTGACATCAGAACAACTGATGGGATTCAAGATGAAGGATGATGTGGTGCTTGGAATCGGGGTGAATGGCGTCCTTCCAGCCTCAGGTAAGAATAAAGACATTTAAATTGTTTGGGTTATATTTATAACATATATCTATAATATAAACAGCAAAGTTGTACATTGTTTAGATGTTTCTTTCTTTTTCTCTCTAGGAGTATACAAGGGCTTACACCTCAGTAGTACTACACCAACAGCACTTGTACATACAAGTCCATCAACGGCAGGTTCAGCTTTGTTACAGCCTTCAAATATTACACAGACTTCAAGTTCCCACAGTGCACTGAGTCATCAAGTAACTGCTGCCAATTCTGCAACAACTCAGGTTCTGATTGGGAACAACATTCGATTAACTGTACCTTCATCAGTTGCCACTGTAAACTCTATTGCCCCAATAAATGCACGACATATACCTAGGACTTTAAGTGCTGTTCCATCATCTGCCTTAAAGCTGGCCGCTGCAGCAAACTGTCAAGTTTCCAAGGTCCCATCTTCATCCTCTGTAGATTCAGTTCCAAGGTGAGTAGTTATTTTTGCCTAACATACCTGGAATAAGAGATCTAACTTCAGTCCTCCAGCATCGTTCTTTACCTATTTCTTTGTGTTTCTTGTTCTTTTCCTTTTATACATTGAAAATGTATAGTTGAGAATTGATCACTTATTTATTCAAGAACTAAACAGTTCTTGAACACTTAATTCAATATTAAGAATTTGAACTAACTGGTATAGTGAATGTTGCATATATGATTTGGAACATCCCTTTCTTACTATAACAATAGTTATACCAGGTGCAGTGGCTCACGCCTGTAATCCTAGCACTTTGGGAGGCAGAGGCAGGCAGATCACCTAAGGTCAGGAGTTCGAGAACAGCCGATCCAACATGGTGAAAGGCCACCTCTACTAAAAATACAAAATCACCCGGGCATGGTGGCGCATGCCTGTAATCTCAGCTACTCAGGAGGCTGAGGCAGGAGAATCGCTTGAACCTGGGAGGTGGAGGTTGCAACCAAGATCGCACCATTGCACTCTGGCCAGGGCAACAAGAGCTAAACTCTGTCTCAAAAAAAAAAAAAAGCGTATAATGCTCTCAGTTTTCTTCCGTCTTTGGATGGAAGGAGTTCTCCTGAGAGCGTTTCTTTTATGACTTTTTTTCCACAGCTTCTCATGTAAACAGGTAGAATTGATAGAAACCCCTGCCCCATCACTGGTATGCTAAGCTATTCTTTTTTTTTTTTTTTTTTTTTTTTTTTTGAGACCGAGTCTCGCTCTGTTGCCCAGGCTGGAGTGCAGTGGCACAATCTCAGCTCACTGCAATCTCTGCCTCCCAGGTTCAAGTGATTCTGTCTCAGCCTTCTGAGTAGATGGGATTACAGGCATACACCGCGATGCCTGGCTAATTTTTGCATTTTTAGCAGGGACGGGGTTTCACCATGTTGGCCATGCTAGTCTTGAACCCCTGACCTCAGGTGGTCAGCCTGCCTTGGCCTCCCAAAGTGCTGGAATTACAGGCATGAGCCACCACGCCCGGCGTTAAGCTATTCTTATTAATGTAAAGACTTACAGTATTCATGCCAGGTCAACTCTAAATTGAACCATTATTTTTTGTGCTAACTTGCCGTCTTGGATTTCAGTAGACAGTTGAGAATTTTGCTTATGCTCTATTATGTTGTAGAATTAAGGGTAGTTAAAATCCTGCTGTCTACAAGGTACTGTGGGAGAAACAAAAGAAAAAGACAGGTGTTTTCAGTTTAGTTAGCAGACAAGCATAAAAGAGTGAGAAGTCCAATAATGCTAATTGTAGATATCACAAAGCATTATATACTTGTTAAATTAATTGTATAGATGATGGCTGTAATTCAGTATAAGGAGAAATCTTTTTTTGCACAGGGAATTCTGGGACTCTTCTAACAAAATAAGATCAGATCCAATCTGTGTTAGTCTTCGGGCAAAGAGGAGAAAGAAAAAGCATTTCTGGCAGGTGGAGTGAAATACAAATTTGAGGCTGAGTGAAAATACAAAGTTGAGGAAATACAAGTGTTTAGAAGTTAACAAGTAAACTGGTTTTTGTATAGGCTCAGGAAGGTTAGTAGTTTAAATTGGAATGGCAGGAGAAGCCATTCCAGATTCCTGGAGCACTTTAAATGCCAGACTGGTAGACTGTCTCAGCCAGGAGTGGCCCAGAAGAAAGCAGGGTTTGTAGCAATGAACTGTGGCCTGTAGTTTCCAAACCATGCATCTGCATCTGCTTCTGAATTTAAGTAACAGTCATTGTCTGCTTAATGCCAATCCATTCTTAATAGTATTCTGGGTCTAATTATATAGCTCATCTGTCAGCTATAGTTCTGACTCATATCATGATTTTACTGCTCTAGAATTGTTTAACCATGGAATATTTGCCATGTATAGAATTTTCATATCACATGTCCTTTTGTTTTTAAAGATGAAGAAACTGAGACGCAGAGAAGTTAATGTATTTCTCTAAGGACACTCAAAAGTCTAGACTGTAGAACCACTAGGGCCCTCGAGCTCTGTGGCTGTGCCACTCAGCTCCATGTATTAGACTGATTTAAAGCCTGACACAAATCTCAGTTATGTTTGTTTCCTTTTTAAAAACTCTTTTGAAAGGTTTAATAGAGAAGGAACTTGAAACAACAATTACTAAAACATGGGAATTCTTTGTTTTTAACATCTAGGTTGCTTGAGTACTACTATAATTTTGATGGTAATGTAGTTGACTGTGGAATTTATTTATAGTCAACATTAGCCTGATTTCTGATAATAAACTATAAAGATTCGTATTCCTCTACTTGCTAGCTTGTTCCCAAAGAGTCCAATTTCTTCCTGTTAATAAAAATAAACTTTTTGTTGGGAAGATAATGTTCATTTGCTGAATATTTATGTTGTAGATAAGTAATTGATTGAACTTTATTTCAACAGGGAAAATCATGAATCAGAAAAGCCAGCACTGAACAACATAGCAGACAACACAGTAGCGATGGAGGTGACGTAGCTTCCTCCGAGTGGAACTGCAGCCTGGGGACTTGATTAGGTGCTATGCATCAGTAGCATTTTGAATGCAAGGGATGATGGAAAGCAGCACATGCGTTTCTGTGGCAGCTGTGGGGACTTGACAGCAATGCTCATCTCTCATGCTTCAATTTTTCTTTTCTTACTGTTAATAGGAAAAAAATCAACATCTGTAAATTAAGAATACAGCAATTATCTGTACAGTACTGCATATTTGTAATACCCTTGTATATATGTTACTTGAATACAGAAATGTTCATTTGTGATGCTTTGCACTTGGGGGTGGGGGGTGGGAGGGAAATCAATTGCAACAAAGAGTGTGAGATGTGAGATTGTATAGAGATGAAGTGTCATCACATCATGTGCATGGTGCGGAACCTGCTGTTTTATCTATTTATTGTGCCGTGTTTACAGTTTTTTGTACACTGTACCTTCATTGGTTCCTGTGCTGTAGTAAATGTGTTAGGTAGCTGTGGACTCCTTGGTATTTTGTAAATGGTATAACATAACTTGGTTCCCCTCTGGGTCCTTGAGTTTTCTGTGTATCATGTGAAAAAAAATGGTGACATACATACAGAATTTTACAAAAAAAAAAAAAAAAAAAAAGGCATCAGTTTTTTTAAAAATGGGGAATGTACTATTAAATGGGGATCTTCCTGGTCTACTATCATTAGGACAAGTAACAAGCTAAAAATGAAGTCTCTTGAATCTTTCCATCCCCAACTTGCCCACAAAGCTGTGGGTGGTTTCTGGTACTTAAAGCACTAATATTATGTTGCTGCTCTGCGAACAGCCCAGTAGTCCCATTTCCTTCCACACCAAAAAGTGTTAAATCAAGTATGCAAATGGAGTCCTTACAACTGGAGTTTATGTTGTCTTGCCCTTTTTTTAGCACAAAAAAAATTGTACTTTTTTATTGTCGAATTGTTTAAAAGACTTCATTCTTTACTTGTTCTTACGAAAAGGATATAAGGGAGAAGAATGCAGTAATTGCTGTACGTGTATCATCATTCCAGTTTCTAAAAACAGCCAGCCAGCTTTTTTCCTTTTAAGATTCTCCAGAAGGCTGCAAGGCCAGAACCACAAATATCGGGTGCCTTCCTTTGGAAATATTTGACCTCTCTTCTGTGAAGAGAATGGTACTTAACAGACTACTACTAGTGCTTTGTCAGTACCGAAGTCTGAATGCCCAGTCCAATGGCATACATTATCCTTAAGGTTTTTAATCCCACCTGGAAAAATTGTGATAGAATTCTCACAAAATAAACCCAGGGCATTACATGTTGACAAACTAATGTGTAGTGGTCTTTTGCTTTTGTTTTCAACCCAAGAACCTCTGTGTGACTTATATTAGAATCATTCCATAAAGGAGGGGATGGAAATGGGGGGTGATGACTTTAAGTTCATTTTCTTCAACAGTTACTTACTGAATGACTGCAATGCCTGGGACCACTTTAGGTCCTACAACTGTGGGGAAAATAATTCCTGCCCTCATGGAGCTTATACTCTCATAGGGGGAAAATAAATAAATAAATGCATTTAAAATATATTACGACCAGTATTTGGAAGAAAAGTGAAGGAAGGGAACAAACAGTGCCCGGGAAGGCTGGAGGTTGCAGTTTCAAGTAGGGTGGTCAAGGAAGGGCCCACAGGCAGTTATGTTTCATCAGAGACTGGAAGTTAAGGAAAAATATTCCAGGCAGAGAGAAGTACAGAGATCCCGAGGTGGTAGTGTGTCTACTGCACTGGATAACACCGCCAGGGCTGGAGGGAGCTGGGGTAGGGCGTGTCGGCCACAGGGAGCCAGCTCACAGTGGACTGGGGGATGATTTAAGGACATTAGCTTTTCCTCTGAGAAAGGAGTTTGGAGCCATGGAGTGACATGGTCTGAAGAGGCTCACTCTGGCTTTGTTATTCAGAACAGACTGCAGGAGGAGCCCAGTTAGGAAGCTAGTTGCAGTAATGCAAGTGAGAGACAAGGATAATAAGGCCGAGGATGGTAGTGAGAAGTGATTGGATACTGTTCTTTAAAGGGACCTATTAAAATTTGCTTACTGAATTTAGATGTAAGGGGCTTGAGAAAGAGAAGAGTTAGGATGACTTCAGGGTATTTGGCCTGAGCAACTGACCACAGGTGGAAAGCACTGTGGGAGGAGTGGGTTTGCGAGATCCAAAATTCAGCTTCACACTGTTAGACATCCAAATAGAGATTTCAAGTAGGTGGTTGCATATATAAAAGTATGGAGTTTGGAGGAGAGGTTTCAGCTGGAGACCAAAACTTGAGAGTCATCTTCATCATTGAAGTTCAAAGCCATGAATTTGGATGCGATCACCAAGAGTAGAATCAAATCTGTAAAACAGCTGCCAATGATAGGGTGTTCCACTTACTCTTGACTTTAAGAATTCCTTGTCTCTAAAGGGTAAACTTCCAATTTGCATAACTTTTTGTTTATTCTGTTCTGTATTCTTTAAGGAGAAAATACAAAAAGCTGCCTTTTTCTAGTGACTGATCAGAGTGACTAAAATGTAAACGGTAAATTACTGGCTTAAATGTACTCAAGAATAATTAGGATTGAAATTTCTGAAATCCAACAGATAGAGCAAGGCCTGGGTCCCCACAATCTGCTCAGTATACCTGCTGCCCACAGGCACGTTCATAAATGGCTTGCGGAACAATGAAATGAGACTTGCGTTGGGGTTCATAAGTGACAAGCACTTCCATGTAGCATTTATCCTCTTATTCGACCAGACTAACTGTGAGATGCAGAAAAAATACAAATTAGTTTTATGTCCATTTTAAAATAAGGGCATTTAGCTAAAACTGGCGTTTTTGGCCTCTAAAATTTCCATTTTTCCATATACTTCCCCACCAATGTTGTAATAGCCCAAAGTGACCTGATACAAAAGAGTAATTTAAACACTTAGGGAAAATGAGAGATAAGTTATCAGGAAACCTTGACAACTAGTCTAATTAATAACTATCACTTACGGAGTATTTAACAGCCCCTGTGCATAGTCATTATCTCATTTAATCCTCACAAGAACCCTTTTAAGCAGATTCTAGGATTATCAGGATTATCACCATACCTGTAGGTGGGATTCAGTCAAGGTCAGATAGTGATTGGCGGTCTAGGATTTAAACACATTATCTGCCAGACACCAAAGGTGCTATTAGCCCACCACTCCTATGTGGAGAAGCCTGGAAACAGGTTTGAGCATAGCTTCCTTGGTAACCTGCATTCCTATTGTGTTCCTAAAGAAATTGGTCCTGTTAATTCTGTTACTCCTGGCATTGTTATACCTTTGTCCATTTCATGAGAAGTCCAGAAAACATCCCAAATGTGTGACTTTTTGCCCTAGATATAAATTTTTTTTTTCCAGAAGAACGATGTAAACTGTTTTCTGAACTCCAAATTTAGAAGGTTTTTTCCATGAATTTTTTATTCTTTTTTAAAATGGAGTTTGGCTCTGTTGCCCAGGCTAAAAAGTGCAGTGGTGCAATCTTGGCTCGCTGCAACCTTCACCTCCCAGGTTCAAGCGATTCTCCTGCCTCAGCCTCCCGAGTAGCTGGGATTACAGGCACGTGTCACCACACCCGGCTAATTTTTGTATTTTTAGTAGAGACGGGGTTTCACCATGTTAGTCAGGCTCATCTCGAACTCCTGACTTCAGGTGATCCAGCCGCCTCGGCCTCCCAGTGTGCTGGGATTACAGGCATGAGCCACCGTGCCCGGCCTTTTTCATGAATATTAATGCATAATATGTTACAGATAGGTAGGCAGAGGGCTTCACAGCCCTGACTAATGCTCAGCAGAGCAGATCTACTTTTGTCTATGTTATATGTTGGTGTTCCATGTGAGAATTCTTTCAACAAGTGTTCCACAATTTTTTTAAAGTTTGAAATAGCAATAGATGAATGAATAGATAAATAGCACATTGATTCAACAAATATTTATTAACTATGTCATGTGCTATTGTAGATGTGTAAAGGTGTGATCAGATGACCACTGAGGTCCAGGCAGCTATGGTTCAAATCCTGGCTGTGTCGCTGGCTAGCTGTGTGATTTCACATTTAAGTCACTTGCCTTCCCTAAACTTAAGTGTCTAAAATGGGGAGAAAAATAGTACTTACATTGTTCATTGTTGAGAGAATTAAATGTTATATGCAAGTACAGTATTCACTCGCTCCAATGTTTAGAGGGAAAAAAAAGATAAAGTACACAATGCCTTCGACTAAAAAGGACTGAATTTTTTTTTCCTTTTTTTTTTTGAGACTCACTCTGTCACCCAGGCTGGAGTGCAGTGGCACGATCTCGGCTCACTGCAGCCTCCTCCTCCCAGGTTCAAGCGATTCTCGTGCCTCAGCCTCTTGAGTAGCTGGGATTACAGGCAAGTGCCACCACGCCCGGCTAATTTTTGTATTTTTAGTAGAGGTGAGGTTTCACCATGTTGGCCAGGCTGGTCTCGAATGCCTGACCTTGTGATCCACCCGCCTCGGCCTCCCAAAGTGCTGGGATTACAGGCTTGAGCCACCGCGCCTGGCCAGGACTGAATTTTATGCTGTTAAGATGATGCATTCAGATAGGCATTTGGGAAATAATTCACAGCTTGGTATTTGTTCTGGTTTTCCAGTTTTTTGCCAATAAGTTACAGACACATATACCCTTCATTTCGTGTTCTATTACGATGAGAAATTGACTCAGTTCACTGTGGCCTAAATTGCAAAAGACATGCAAAGTTTAGCCAAGATATACTGGAGCCCACTCACATTGGCTCATGAGAATCAGCTGTCAACGTTTTCAGGAATTTAATGAACTGCTGGCTAAACAATTATTATTTTTTATATAAACTTGCAGTTAAATATATAAAAGTGCCGGGCAAGTGGCTCATGCCTGTAATCCTGTAATCCCAGCACTTTGGGAGGCCATGGCGAGCGGATCATCTGAGGTCAGGAGTTCAACACCAGCCTGGCTACATGGTGAAACCCCATCTCTACTAAAAATACAAAAATTAGCCAGGCATGGTGGTGTACACCTGTAATCCCAACTATTCAGGAGGCTGAGGCAGGAGAATCACTTAAACCCAGGAGGCAAAAGTTGCAGTGAGCCAAGATTGTGCCACTGCACTCCAGCCTGGGTGACAGAGCAAGATCCCATCTAAAAAAAATTATATATATATATATATGCAAAGACAATACAAGAAAATAAAACTACAGACCAATATCCGTGGTGTGAGTATTGATGTAAGATTTGTTACCCAGAAAAAAAAGCAGGGTTCGTCCACCTGGTGAGTAACAGACAAGTCCCCATGAGAGTGTGGGTTTTGATCAATATGAGTTTTATTACTTGGCACACATAAAGAGAGCACTGGGCACATTCTCCCAAGCAGTGTCTCCCTGAGGGAAAGTGACAGGAGGGTTTGATGGGTGATGGAGATGGGAGAGGATGCACCATTGCACATAGAGGGAGGGGGTCCCAGTTGTGCAGATGCAGTGAGTCATTATGTCAGCACATAGGTCATGTATTATGGTAAGGAAGTGATAGCTCCTCCCAGGGTGTGTCCAGAGTTTAGCATGGTAATAAAAGTTCACTGGGGTTCATCTATTAAGTTGCTGGGGTCTCTCAGAAGCTGTGTTAAACTAGGTGACCACATTCCACACAGGGTTTGGGGAAAAAAAAAACAGGCTGATTGCTCAAGTTGATTAAATTCCTATAGTCCCTGGAGACGCTCCCTCCTGTCTCTGTCACCCAAGGGCTGGAGTCCAGTGGTTCAGTCTCGGCTCACTACAGCCTCCACCTCCCAGACTGAAGCAATTCTCCTGCTTCAGCCTCCTGAGTAGCTGGGACTACAGGCACGCACCACCACGCCCAGCTAATTTTTGTAGTTTTAGTAGAGACTGGGTTTCACCATGTTGACCAAGCTGGTCTCGAACTCCTGACCTCAAGTGATCCGCCCACCTTGGTCTACAGACGTGAGCCACCACGCCCAGCCTGCTTACAATGTTTTTAACAAAATACCAGCAAACAGAATTCAGGAGCACATTAAGAGGATTATACAAGATAACCATGTGGGATTTATTGCCAGAACGCAAGGATGGTTCAACATACGAAAATCAATCAATGTAATACACATCATTAACAGAATGATAGAAAAAAATCCACACAATCTTCTCAAATAATGCAGAGTTGGACAAAATTCAATACCCTTCATGAGAAAAACACTCAACAAACTAGGAACAGAGGGAAACCACCACAGCATAATAAAGATGTGATAATCAGAAATGTATATATTTGTTCTCTGTCCCTGGTTCAAAACCCTTGGAATTTCCCCAGTGATAGGGGTGAGAGGAGCATCTCTTGTTATTCATAGCCAGCCCCTTTCAACAATACCTGGGTTTATGCTAATAAGGTGACTGTTCGTGGGCCCCTAAATAGCTCCAGGATGGGGACTGGTTACCAGAGGAACCAACCATGTGACTAGGGGACTGGAACTTTCAGTCTGACCCCCAGACTTGAGGGAAGTGAAGAGGGGCTAGAGATTGGGTTCAATTACCAATGGCCAATGATCTCATCAATCATGCCTACTTAATGGAACCTCCATAAAACTCCCTAAATACCAGGGTTCAGAGAGCTTCTGGATTGGTGAACACATCGAGGTGCTAGGAGGGTGGCATGCCCAGAGAAGGTATAGAAGCTCAGCACCACCAGGCCGGGAGCAGTGGCTCATGCCTGTAATCCCAGCACTTTGTGAGGCCAAGGCAGGCGGATCATCTGAGGTCAGGAGTTTGAGACCACCCTGACCAACATGGAGAAACCCCATCTCTACTAAAAATGCAAAATTAGCAGAGCTTGGTGGCATGTGCCTGTAATCCCTGCTACTCAGGAGGCTGAGACAGGAGAATCACTTGAACCCGGGAGGCAGAGGTTGCGGTGAGCTGAGATTGCACCACTGCACTCCAGCCTGGGCAACAAGAGTGAAACTCCGTCTCAAAAAAAAAAAAAAGAAGCTCAGCACCACCAACCCCATCCCATCCCTATTTCTTGTCTTATGCATCTTTTCCATTTGGCTGTTTCTGAGTTGTATCCTTTATAATAAACTGGTAATAGTAAAGCCATTTCTTGAGTTTTGTGAGCTATTGTAGCAAACTATCAAACCTGAATGTGAGTGGATGGTCATAGGAACTCCCAATTTATACCCAGTTACAGTTAGTCAGAAGTACAGGTGGCAACCTGGGACTTGTGACTAGTGTCTGGAGTGAGGGTGGTCTTGTAGGACTGAGCCCTTAGCCTATGTGGTTTACACTAACTCGAGGCAGTGTCTACATTGAATTGTAGGACACCCAGTTGGTGTCCAGAGGGTTGGAAAACTAGTTGCTGGTGTGGAAAAACTCCATATATTTAGTGTAGGAAGTGTTCTGGTGAAAACTCTTCATTGACACATATGAAAACCCCACAGCTAACATTATACTCAATGGTAAAAGAGTGAAAAGTTTTCATCTAAGATCGGGAACAAGACAAGGATACCCATCGTCACCACTTCCATTCAACACAATACTACTACCTGCTTTCAGGTAGCAGTCCCAGTGAGAGCAATTAGGCAAGAAACAGAAATAAAACTCATCTAAATCAGAAAGAGAGAAGTAAAATTATCTCTTCATATAACATGATCTTATATGTAGAAAACCCTGAAGACTACACACACACACACACACACACACACACACGCACATACACACACACAAACCTGTTAGAAATAATAGATTCAGCAGGCCGGGCACGGTGGCTCACACCTGTAATCCCAGCATTTTGGGAGGCTGAGGCGGGCAGATCAACTTAGGTCAGGATTTCAAGACCAGCCTGTCTAACATGGCAAAACTCTGTCTCTGCTAAAAATACAAAAATTGGCCAGGCGCAATGGTGGGTGCCTGTAATCCCAGCTACTTGGGAAGCTGACGCAGGGAGAGTTGCTTGAACCCGGAAGGCGGAGGTTGCAGTGAGCTGAGATCGGGGCACTGCACTCCAGCCTGAGCAACAGAGCGAAAGAAAGAAAAGAAAGAAAGAAAGAGAGAGAGAGTTATAATAGCACCAACAAGAATAAAATACTTAGGAATGCACTTAAACAAGGAGATGAAAGATTTATACACAGAAAACTACAAAACATGGCTGAAGAAAATCAAGACACAAATAAATGGAAAGACATCTTGTGTTCATGGATAGGAAGACTTATTATTGTTAAGATATCAACACTACCCAACATGATCTACAGATTTAATGCAACCCTTATCAAAATTACTACAGCAATTTTTGCAGAAATAGAAAAACTCTTCCTAAATGTCAAGGGATCCTGCGTAGCCAAAACAATCTTGAGAAAGAACGATGCTGGAGGGCTCACACTTCCTGATTTCAAACCTTACTAAAACCTACAGTAATCAAAACAATGTGGTAATGGCATTAAGACAGATATAGAGGCCGGGCGTTGTGGCTCACAGCTGTAATCCCAGCACTTTGGAAGGCTCAGGCGGGTGGATCACTTGAGGTTAGGTGTTCAAGACTCAGCCTGGCCAACACGGCAAAACCCTGTCTCTAATAAAAACACAAAAATTAGTTGGACATGGTGACGCACGCCTGTAATCCCAGCTACTTGGGAGGCAGAGGCAGGACAATTGCTTGAACCCGGGAGGTGGAGGTTGCAGTGAGCCAAGATTGCACCACTGCACTCCAGACTGGGCAACAGAGCGAGATTCTATCTCAAAAAATAAAAATAAAAAAATAAAATGAGGCTGGCACGGTGACTCACGCCTGTAATCCCAGCACTTTGGGAGGCCGAGACAGGCAGATTACCTGAGGTCAGGAGTTCGAGACCACCCTGACAAACATGGAGAAACCTCATCTCTACTAAAAGTACAAAATTAGCTAGGAGCGGTGGCGCATGCCTGTAATCCCAGCTACTTGGGAGGCTGAGGCAGGAGAATCGCTTGAACCCGGGAGGCAGAGGTAGGTTGTGGTGAGCCAAGATCGCGCCACTGCACTCCAGCCTGGGCAACAGAGCAAGACTCCATCTCTCAAAATAAAATAAAATTATAATAATTAAATAAATTAATAAAATGTAAGACTGAAAACTCTAGAACTTTTAGGAGAAAACAGAAAGAAAAAGCTTCTTGGATTTGTTCAGATTTATCTGATACGATACCAAAGGCATAAGCAACAAAAGAAAAAATGCACAAATTAGATTACATCAAAATGTAAAACTTCTGACCCAGCTCGGAGGTTCATGCCTGTAATCCCAACACTTTGAGAGGGCAAGGTGGGAGGATTGCTTGAGGCCATGATTTCAAGACCAGCCTGGGCAACATACTAAGACACCATCTCTACCAAAAAAAAAAAAAAAAAAAAGGGCATAATGGTATATTCCTGTAATCCTAGCTACCCAGGAGGCTGAGGGAGGAGGATTGCTTGAGCCCAGAAGGTTGAGACTGCATTCAGCGGTAATCGTAACACTGCACTCCAGCCCAGGAAACAGAGGGCACCCTGTCTCAAAAAATAAAAATAAAAGCTTCTGGCTGGGCACCGTGGCTCACACCTGTAATCCCAGCATTTTGGGAGGCCAAGGCGGGCAGATCACAAGGTCAGGAGTTTAACACCAGCCTGACCAACACGGTGAAACCCCGTCTCTACTAAAAATACAAAAAATTAGCCGCGTGTGGTGGCGGGCGCCTGTAGTCCCAGCTACTCGAGAGGCTGAGGCAGGAGAATGGCGTGAACCCGGGAGGCGGAGCTTGCAGTGAGCCGAGATCTCGCCACTGCACTCCAGCCTGGGCACAGAGCGAGACTCTGTCTCAAAAAAAAAAAAAAAAAAGTAGAATTACCATATGACCTAGGGATTCCACTTCTAAGTATACATCTCAAAGAATTGAAAGCAAGGTCTTGAAGAGATATTTGTACATTTATATTCATAGCAGCATTATTCACAACAGCCAAAAGGTAGAAACAAAGTGCCCATCAACAAGGAAAATGTGGTGTATACATACAATGGAATATTATTCAGCTTTTAAAGCGGAGCTTGCAGTGAGCCGAGATCGCCCCACTACACTCCAGCCTGGGTGAAAGTTCGAGACTTCGTCTCAAAAAAAAAAAAAAAAAAAAAAACAGAAAACAAAAAACAAAAAAACAGGGAAATCCTGTCACATGCTACAACATGGATGAACCTTGAGGACATTATGCTAAGTGAAATAAAAGTCACAAAAAGACAAATGTGGTATGATTCCACATATTGAGGTATCTAAAGTACTCAAACTCATACAAATAAAAAGCAGAAAGATGGTCGCCAGGGACCAAGGGAGGAGGAAATAGGAAATTGTTATTTAATAGGTATAGTGATTCAGTTTTACAAGAGGAGGCCAGGCGCGGTGGCTCACACCTGTAATCCCAGCACTTTGGGAGACCAAAGTGGGCAGATCACCTGAGGTTGGGAGTTCGAGACCAGCCTGACCAATATGGTGGAACCCCGTCTCTACTAATAATACAAAAAATTAGCCAGGCACGGTAGCGGGCGCTTGTATTCCCAGATACTTGGGAGACTGAGGTGGGAGAATTGCTTGAACCCAGGAGGCAGAGGTTGCGCGGTGAGCCGAGTCACTGCACTCCAGCCTGGAGTTTTACAAGATGAAAAGAACTCCGGACATTGGTCGCACAACAATGTGAAGATACTTAGGACTACTGAACTGCACAGTTAAAAATAAAGAAAGGCTGGATGCGGTGGCTGGGGCCTGTAATTGAGTGCTTTGGGAGGCTGAGGCAGGAGGATTGCTTGAAGAGTTTGAGACCAGACTCTTGCAAGAAAGCAAGACCCTGTCTGTACAAAAAATAAAAAAATTAGCTGGGTGTAGTGTGCCTTGTAGTCCCAGCTACTCGGGAGGCTGGGGCAGGAGGATCACTTGAGTCCCAGAGTTCAAGGTACCACTGTATTCCAGCCTTGGTGACAGAGCGAGATCGTGTCTCTAAATAAATAAATATATAAATATATATATATATAAAAAGATGTAACTTTTATGCCATATATATTTTACCACAGTTAAAAATTTCTGGCTAGATGCGGTGGCTCACGCCTGTAATGCCAGCATTTTGGGAGGCCGAGGTGGGTGGATCACCTGAGGTCGGGAGTTTGAGACCAGCCTGACCAACACTGAGAAACCCCGTCTCTACTAAAAGTACAAAATTAGCTGGGCGTGGTGGTGCATGCATGCCTGTAATCCCAGCTACGTGGGAGGCTGAGGCAGGAGAACTGCTTGAACCTGGGAGGCAGAGGTTGTGGTGAGCTGAGATTGTGTCATTGCACTCCAGCCTGGGCAACAAGAGCGAAACTCCGTCTCAAAAAAAGAAAAAAAAGAGTATTATTTCTGTTCACTGTCTTTTTTTTTTTTTTTTTTTTTTGAGAGAAAGAATGGGTCTCACTCTGTCACCCAGTCAGGAGTGCAGTGCAGTGGCACGACACAACCACAGCTCACTGCAGCCTTGAACTCCCAGGCTCGAGTGATCCTCCCACCCTAGCCTCCCGCATAGGTGGGACTACAAGTGCACACCATTACGACTGGCTGATTTTTATTTTTTTTATTTTTTGTTGCCAGGACTGGTCTCGAACTGTTGGGCTCAGGCGATCCTCCTGCCCTGGCCTCCCCAAGTGCTAGGATTACAGGTGTGAACCGCCACACTGGGACTGTTCACTGTCTTCTTTTGGAGCAAGAGGCTTGGGGAGAGGGAAGTAAAAAGGATCACAGAGACCTGGTGGGGGAAGTGTCAAGCCTACAGTTCTGTGTTTGGACCTCTATAGGTCTGCTGCATTTTTCATAGCTGTCCTTTCTGCCCAGGACAGCTTGGACCAAACCCCCCTCCAGCAGAAGTCCCTGGGCCTGGTCCAAGCCTACACATCCCACATCTCCATGCAAACACACCTCTTTAAATATTAATGATAGAGAGACGGGCCAAAGTTAGTGGCTCTGGAATTCATTCTAATGTAGATAGAGAGATGGCCCAAAGTTAGTGGCTCTGAAATTCATTCTAATGTAATCAAAAGCAAAAAGAGCCAGATCTCTGAGACCATAGGTGGTAAACTGGCCGATAAAACATTCTACATTCTCGCTAAACATTTGGTAATTGCCTGCTAATTTGGCCACTTGATTAGTGATGGGGGAAGTCACTGGTGCCGCCTAGTGGCAATCTTTGGGAACGAGCGAAACCGCATAGCTGCCCAGAAATCGTGGACAATGAAAGGCCCAGTTAGGTGACAAAGTGCAAAAACAGAGTGTACCATTTTGCCTCCACTTGTGTTATCAAGAGGGATAGAGATTGGGAACAGGGCTACACATAGACTATCTCTAGAAACGTCACCATGTGATTGGAATGCTTTAAAGTGTTTTTAAGCAATAGATACAGTTTTTCCTTGTGTAAGGAGAGATGGATCACATGGCAAATGCTTACTGAGGCTGTGCCAGCCACTTTTGGACACTGTTTCTCAAAGTCTGGTCCTCCGACCACCCGCATAGGAATCACTTGACACGCTGATAAAAATGCATATCCTGGCCGGGTGCGGTGGCTCACGCCTGTAATCCCAGCATTTTGGGAGGCCGAGGTGGGAGGATCACTTGAGGTCAGGAGTTCGAGACCAGCCTGGCCAACATGGTGAAACCCCGTTTCTACTAAAAATACAAAATTAGCTGGGCGTGGTGGCTTGGGCCTGTAATCCCAGCTAGGAAGGCTGAGGTGGGAGAATCGCTTGAACCTGGGAGGAGGACGTTGCAGTGAGCTGAGACCATGCCACTGCACACCAGGCTGGGCAACAGAGTGGGATTCCATCTAAAAGAAAAAAAAAAAAAAACCTGGGCGCGGTGGCTCACACCTGTAATCCCAGCACTTTGGGAGGCCGAGGCAGGCGGATCACCTGAGGTCAGGAGACCAGCCTGGCCAACAAGGTGAAACCCCGTCTCTACTAAAAATAAAAAATTAGCCAAGTGTGGTGACATGCAACTGTGGGCCCAGCTACTCAGGAGGCTGAGGCAGGAGAATCGCTTGAGCCCAGGAGGTGGAGGTTGCAGTGAGCCAAGATGGCACCACTGCACTCTAGCCTGGGTGACAGAATGAGATGCTGTCTAAAAAAAAAAAAAAAAAGCATATCCCCTAACATCATGCAAACCCTACAGAATCCGTGTCTCTGGGAGTGAACATGCAAAACAAGCTCTCTAGGTGAATCTTATGAACAGTTTTTGAGAACCACTTGGATTCAAACAAGTGTAAGAAATTGAAGTGGGAGACTCGGCAACATAGAGAGACCCCCATCTCTACGAAAAATTAAAAATTAGCCCCACACATGTGTGGTCCCAGCCACTAGGGAGGCTAAGGTGAGAGGATTACTGGAGCCCAGGAGATGGAGGCTGCAGTGAGCTATGATCACACGACTGCACTCCAGCCTGGGCAACAGAGCAAGACCCTGTCTCAAAAGAAAGAAAAAGAAAGAAGAAAGAAAGAAAGAAAGAAAGAAAGAAAGAAAGAAAAAGAAAGGAAGGAAGGAAGGAAGAAAGAAAGAAATTCAAATGGTTTATCATTGTTGGTATAGCTGCCTGTCACTGAAATTCTTGTGTATAATCTGACCCAGATGAAAGGAGTCCAAGGGGACAGGACTATTAAATCTGTGTGATCCTTCACGGATCCTCTTCCGGAAAAAGGACAAGAGTGGGAAAATTGATGAAATTCGAAAAGTGTCTGAATTAGTTAATAGCATTGCTACACTGCCAATTTCCTTGTTTTGATCATTGACCTGTGATGATATCTCAAGTATTAACTTTTAGGGAAATTGGGTGAAGGCTCTGTGGAAATTCTTTGCACTACTTTTTTCCTAGCTTCTTTGCAAGGACAAAATTTTTTGAGAATAAAAACTTACAATTTTTAAAAAAAAATTCAGTTTCCCATTTGGTAAGGGAACTTGTTAGGAATATAGATTCTCGGCCAGGTGCAGTGGCTCATGCCTGTAATCCCAGCAGTCTGGGAGGCCAAGGCAGATGGATTGTCTGAGGTCAGGAGTTCCAGACCAGCCTGACCAACAAGGTGAAACCCCATTTCTACTAAAAATACAAAAATTAGCTGGGCGTGGTGGCAGACACCTGTAATCCCAGCTATTTGGGAGACTGTGGCAGGAGAATCGCTTGAACCTGGGAGGCGGAAGTTGCAATGAGCTGAGATTACGCCATTGCACTCGAGCCTGGGTGACAAGAGTGAGACTTCGTCTCAAAAAAAAAAGAAAGAAAGAAAGAAAGAAATACAGATTCTCAGCAACACCCCCAAGAACTAATCCAGAATCTACAGTTTAATTAGAGATCCCCAGAGGGATCTTGTGGATTCTCATTCATATGCTCACTGAATTCTCAGAAAGAAAACTGTACCCATATCCTCATTTTATTGATGTGGGAAATGAAACTCAGAATCATCACCTGTGGGTGCGGTGGCTCATGCCTGTAATCCCAGCACTTTGGGAGGCCCAGGTGGGAGGATCACTTGAGCCTAGGAGTTCAAGACCAGCCTGGCCAACATGATGAAACCCTGTCTCTACTAAAAATACAAAAATTATCCAGGCGTGGTGGCACACACCTGTAATCTCAGCTACCCAGAAGGCTGAGGTTGGAGGATCACCTGAGCCCGGGAATTTGAGGCTGTAGTGAGCCATGATTCTACCACTGCACTCCAAGCCTGGGTGAAGGGAGTGAGACCCTGTCTCAAAAATAGAATCATCACCTGAGCAAATAAGTGGCCCAGATTTGAACCCATGTCTAGCTGACACTAAAGCCCATTCTTTTAATAAGCTGCCTGCCATCTGGTGCAGATATAAAATTTATTATCACATGCAAGCCTGGGACTCAGTTCCTCCAAACCCTGTTTTCTGGTTTCGTGCCTGAAGGCAGAGAGATGCATTGGAGAGAGCCCTGCACTGCCCTCCAGAGCCACAGTCTGGTCCCACATCATGCCACACTGCAGTCCTGGAGGTTGCCAAGGCCTTGCAGGAACTCAGCCTCCTCCTCTGCAGGGTAAAGGGGCAGGACAGACACTGGTTCACACTGTCTTCCACAGCTCTGGCAGTTAGCTTCTGGTTACCTTTATCCAGGCCCTACGGGTCACTGGGGCAGTGGGGTAGGGAGGATAGCCCCCCATATGTGCTTTCATCTCAGCTGGCCAGTGGAGGTCTTCAGACCCCAAGAAGTGGGTGACACCTCTCATTGGTGTCCTTTCCCCCTCCTGTGCCCCAAATACTGCACGCTTCTCTTTTCCCAGACCCCTGGCCTTTACCTCCTGCCAATAAGATTATCCTCTCAACTAGATGCCTGGGGCAGAAAGACCTAAATCAACAAATGCTCTTTGCAGTGTTTGCTGGAACAGCTTGCAGATCACAGACTGGTGCTCCCAGCCTTGGAGAAGCGGAGCTCAGGTGGTGAAATCTCAGACATGACTGTGAGCTGGGGAGGAACCTTCCCAGGCCCCTGGGTCTCACCACACACAGGTCTGGTTTTTCAAAGGTAAGCCTATGAGGGAGAAGCTGCCAGGTCATTAACACTACCGCCTGGGAGGAGGAAAGTGGTTTCAGCCACACCCAGTCCTGATGACACATCTGGAGGCTACTCCAGGGTAAGCCCAGTGAGAAGTCTGAGCTTTGCATCCTTTTAGAGTGTATCCTTCAGAAAATTTCGCGCAAAGGTTGTCTTTCCCTGGCTTCCTTTCTTGTCTCAACCCCATTGTATTGGCATGTGGTGGGATGGGGAGAAATGGAGATTGAGAGAATGAAATTAGAATGATAGAAACGTCCTGAAAATCCATTCAAACTGTCAGAGGTATTTGAACCAGAGCAACTCCATCTGGAGTAGGGGCTGGATAAAATGAGGCTGAGACCTACTGGGCTGCATTCCCAGGTGGTTAAGGCATTCTAAGTCACAGGATGAGATAGGAGGTCGGCAAAAGATACAGGTCATAAAGACTTTGCTGATAAAACAGTTTACACTAAAGAAGCCGGCCAAAACCCACCAAAGCGAAGATAGCGATGAGAGTGACCTCTGGTCAACCTCACTGCTATACTCCCACCAGCGCCATGACAGTTTATAGATGCCATGGCAACATCAGGAAGTTACACTATATGGTCTAAAAAGAGGAGGCATGAATAATCCACCCCTTGTTTAGCATATCATCAAGAAATAACCATAAAAATGGTCAACCAGCTGCCCTCGGGGCTGCTCTGTCTATGGAGTAGCCATTCTTTTATTCCTTTACTTTCTTAATAAATTTGCTTTCACTTTACGGACTCACCCTGAATTCTTTATTGCACGAGATCCAAGAATCCTCTCTTGAGGTCTGGATCAGGACCCCTTTCCTGTAACAAAACCAGGAGTGGAGAGAAAAGGGCCCTTCAAATTCCAGTAGCACAAAGGGTCTTTCTTTTCTTTCCTTCCTTCCTTCCTTCCTTCCTTCCTTCCTTCCTTCCTTCCTTCCTTCCTTCCTTCCTCCTTTCTTTTTTTATTTTTCTGGAGTCTTGCTCTGTCACCCAGACTGGAGTGCAGTGGCACAATCATGGCGCAATCTAGGCTCACTGCAGCCTTCATCTCCCACATTCAAGCGATCCTCCTGCTTCAGCCTCCCGAGTAGCTAGGACTACAGGCATGCACCACCATACATAGCTAATTTTTAAAATTTTATTAATTTTTTTTTATTTTTAGTAGAGACAGGGTTTGGCCATGTTGGCCAGGCTGGTCTCAAACTCCTGACCTTGGGTGATCTGCCCGCCTTGGCCTCCCAAAGTGCTGGGATTACAGGTGTAAGCCACTGTGTCCGGCCTTTTTTTTTTTTTTTTTTTTGAGACCGGGTACTGCTTTGTCACCCAGGCTGGAGTGCAGTGGCTCAATCATATAGCTCATTGCAGTCTCGAACTCCCAGGCATAAGCAATTCTCCCTAATAACTAGGACTACAGACATGTGCCACTATGCCCAGCTAATTTTTTAATATATATCTAGACATGGTGGTCTCGCTACATTACCCAGGCAAGTCTTGGTCTCTCCTCTTGGCCTCCCAAAGTACTGGGGTTACAGGCATGAGCCACTGCACCCCACCAGAGTAGCTTTCCTTCCTAAGAGACACCTACTGCGATAGTTCTGAAACTTGTTTGTCTAAGAATCATAATGGGGTAATTTTCACAGGTGTTGGGCAGGACCCAGGAATATGCATTTTTAATCAGTGTTCAGGCAATTCCACTGAGGAAGTTCTGAAGGTCACTCTCAGAGCTTCTCAAACTTGAGTGAGTATTCCCGGAGATTTTGTGAAAATGCAGGTTTTGATTCAGTGGGTCTGGGGTGCAGCTGAAGGTTCCGCATTTCTAGCAAACTCTGAGAGTCTACTAACACTGCTGGCCCAAGAGCCCCTGCCCGGAGTCGCAGGGCTCTGTCGTCTCAAGCCCCTTCTGGTTGTCTATCTTGATTCCAGTGCTTTCTAACAACATGTGCTTTGCTGTCATAAGCTTCCGGATTTATCAAAACTACAAGTTGATCTAGGAAAGCTACGACAGTAATTTTGTATACCCATTTCCCTGCTAAAAAAATAAATAAAATGTTGTGTGATTGCTAGAGCTTAGATAAAATTGTGGAAGACAACCAAACATAACTAAATCTTGCCAGTCAGCTAAGAAGTGGGCTATTTTTGAAAGCCATATAAAATTCAATAGAAAGTCTGCTGGGAACAGGTGTTTTCCGGTCTTGGGAGACAAAACTGCTCATTCAGGCTCCAGCTGCATGCATTTTTCCTTCTTGAATTTGTTTTACTCTTGGGAAAAAAGACTTTTAAATTCAGTGACAGCAGAGCTCTAGAGCTCATTTAGACAGAACTTAAAATGTTCTCCTGTGCCTTATCTGCTGAACTGTGTGTATCCCAAAGCCACTAGCAGAACATCTTCAGTGTGTCTGTGAGGAGATGACAGGAAAGGTGGAAGCTTGACCGAGGCTGGCCATACAGAACCAGGGTTCCAGAGAGGCCATAAAATGTCCTTTAGACTCTTTTTTTTTTTTTGAGCTTTTTACAAGCTTTTTTCCTTTTTTTTAATTTTTAAAATTGTGGTAAGATATAGATAACATAAAATGTACCATTTTAATCATCTTTCAATGTACAGTTCAATGGCATTCAATACATTCATATTGCTATGTAACCATCACCACTATCCACCTTCAGAATTTTTTGTCATCTTAAACGGAAACTGTAAGTAAACAGTAACTTCCCAGTCCCCTCTCCCCCTAGCCCCTGGTAACCACTGTTCTACTTTCTGTCTCTGTGAATTTGACTACTCTAGGTCCCTTGCATGCCTTAGTCAGCTTGAGCTGCCACAGCAAAATATCATAAACTGGGTAACTTAACAGACAGGCTGAAGTTCTGGAGGCCAAAAGCCTGAGATCAAAGTGCCAGCATAGTCGGTTTTGGTGAGGGCTCTCTTTCTAGCTGTAGGCTGTGGCCTTCTCACTATGTTCTTAGGTGGCAGGGAGAAACAGACGTCTCTGTGTCTTTTTTTTTTTTTTTGGAAATGAAAGTGTGTTTTCTTTTCTTTTTTTTTTTCTTTTTTTGAAGATGGAGTCTCACTCTGTTGCCCAGGCTAGAGTGCAGTGGTGCAATCTCTGCTCACTGCAACCTCCGCCTCTCAGGTTCAAGAGATTCTTCTGCCTCAGCTTCTCGAGTAGCTGTGATTACAGGCACCCACCACTATGTCCAGCTAATTTTTCTATTTTTAGTAGAGGCGGGGTTTCACCATGTTGGCCAGACTGGTCTCGAACTCATGACCTCAAGCAATCTGCCTGACTCAGCCTCCCAAAGTGTTGGGATTACAGGCGTGAGCCACCATGCCCAGCCTCTGTGTCTCTTCTTATAAGGACATGAAGAATAACACACCAAAAAATCAAATACTGTATGATTCCTCTTACATGATGCTGTTGAATGAATTGAGTCTACTCAGAATTCATATGTTAAAGCCCCAACCCCCAGTGTGACTGTATTTGGAGAAAGGGCCTTTATGGAGATAATGAAGTTTGAACCAGCCACCACACCCAGTTAATGTTTTGTATTTTTAGTAGAGACTGGGTTACTCCATGTTGGGCAGGCTGGTCTCAAACTCCTGACCTCAGGCTTCCTGAGGTGATCCACCTGAAGGTCATCAGGGTGTGGCTCTGATCCAACTGTTTGTTACTTTGTATTGTTATTTGTTGTGGCTTATTTCACTTAGTATAATGTCTTCAGGGTTCATCTGTGTTACAGCATGTGTCAGAATTTTATCACTTTTTAAGGCTACCATTCCATCATATGTATATACCACATTTTGTTTATCTACTCATTTGTTGATGAATATTTGTGTTGCTTTCACGTTTTGACTACTCTGAAGAATGCTGCTGTGAATATTGGTGTACAAATGACTGTTCAGGACCAGGCATGGTGGCTCACACCTATAATCCCAGCACTTTGGGAGGCCAAGGCGGACAGATAGTGAGGTCAGGAGTTCGAGACCAACCTGACCAATATGGCGAAACCTGGTCTCTACTAAAAATACAAAAATTAGCCACGTGTGGTGGCACATGCCCGTAATCCCAGCTGCTTGGGAGGCTGAGGCAGGAGAATTGCTTGAACCCAGCAGGCGGAGGTTGCAGTGAGCCGAGATCTTGCCATTGCAATCCAGCCTGGGCAACAGAGAAAGACTCTGTTTCAAAAAAACAAAAGGAAAAACAAAAACAAATGACTGTTCAGGTCCTTGCTTTTAAATTCTTGCACGTATATACCCAGAAGAGGAATTGCTGGACCAAATGGTAATTCAATGTTTAATCTTTGGGGAACCACCCCATGTCCCTTAGAATCCGGAGCCAGAGGCACATGTTGACATGTGTTTCCAAGGCCCCATTAGACCACCTCAACTCAGGGCTGACCTGGCAGAATCAGCGGGAGGATTTTATCTCTGGAACATGTTCAGCATGTCTAGTCCTTCCACCATGTTGCCCATCGGGAGACCTTTCAGCCCCTAGATGTGTCCATGATGGACTTGAGGCCTTTGCCTTCCCAGGGATGCTGAGCAGACTCAATACATAATAATCAAACTCCTAGAGGCCAAGGCCTCATGAGGAGCCCTGGAGCAGGTGTGAGACCTCAAAGATCCCTGAGGACAGTTAACTAATCCTGCTGCACACCACTCCTCCTCCTGCGTGTTTGTGTGTGGACCTGGCTCTGTAGCATTTTGAAGTGGAGGTCTGGAATCTGACCTCTGGGCTCTGACCTTCCTTTAAGGCTGTCAAAGAGACAGCTAGTTACCTGGTATTGTTATTGTTAGGGCTGGGTGCTGTGGCTTATGCCTGTAATCACAGTACTTCGGGAGGCTGAGGTGGGTGGATTAACTTTCAGGAGTTTGAGACCAGCCTAGCCATCATGGCGAAACCCTGTCTCTACTTAAAAAATACAAAAATTAGCCAAGCATGGTGGCACGTGCCTGTAGTCCCAGCCACTGAGGAGGCTGAAGCGGGAGATCGCATCACTGCCATCCAGCCTGGGTGACAGAGTGAGACTCCGTCTTAAAAAAAAATTACAAAATAGAAATAAATAAATAAAGTGGAGGTCTGGAATCTGACTTTTGGGCTCTGACCTTCCTTCAAGACCTTCAAAGAGACAGCTAGTTACTTGCTATTGTTATTGTTAAAATATGAACATGCAGTTCCTATTCATTTTTTGTTTTTGAGACGGAGTTTCGGTCTTTTACCCAGACTGCAGTGCAGTGATGCTATCTCAGCTCACTGCAACCTCTGCCCTCCAGGTTCAAGCGATTCTCCTGCCTCAGCCTCCTGAGTAGCTGGGATTACAGGCATGAGCCACCAGGCCCAGTTAATGTTTTGTATTTTTAGTAGAAACGGGGTTTCTCCATGTTGGTCAGGCTGGTCTCAAACTCCTGACCTCAGGTGACCCACCTGCCTTGGCTTCCTGAAGTACTTGGATTACAGGCATGAGCCACTGTGCCCGTTCTCCTATTTGGAATATGATGTGACACTGTCTCTCGAAACTGGAAATTCACAAGGAGTGAGTATTAATGTGTTCTCATGCTGCTGGTAAAGACATACCCGAGACTGGGCAATTTACAAAAGAAAGAGGTTTAATCAGACTTACAGTTCCATGTGGCTGGGGAAGCCTCACAATCATGGTGGAAGGCAAGGAGGAGCAAATCTCCTTTTAGATGGATGGCAGCAGGCAAAGAGAGAGAGCTTGTGCAGGGGAACTCCTTGTTTTAAAACCATCAGATCTCATGAGACCTATTCACTATCACGATAACAGCGTGGGAAAGACTTGTCCCCATGATTCAATTACCTCCCACTGGATTCCTCCCATAACACGTGGGAATTCAAGATGAGATTTGGGTGGGGACACAGCCAAACCATATCAGAGTGTGACCCAGCAGTCCCACCTCTTGCGCTTGTAAACAAGGATGTTGTGCAGGGTTGCTCATTGCCTCATCAGTCAGCCTTTCCTTTATGACTTCGGGGGTCTTTTTAAAGAACGGCTTTCCATCCCTAGGATTATAAACCTTTTCCCAATATTTTTTCTAATATTTAATACTTTTGTACTTGTTTT
This sequence comes from Homo sapiens, assembly GCF_000001405.40. Classification (NCBI taxonomy): domain Eukaryota; kingdom Metazoa; phylum Chordata; class Mammalia; order Primates; family Hominidae; genus Homo; species Homo sapiens. The sequence goes on along the minus strand of NC_000010.11, from coordinate 32,247,391 downwards.
CCCAGCTCTTATAGCCAGTTTGAAATTTGTTTAGTTTAACTGAGTATTGTTTGTGTTTAAATTGATAGCCAAATATCCCAAATAGTGTGTTGAATGAACCATATTTTCCTCACTGATGTGAAGTACTATCTTTATCACAAACTAAATTTCTTTATGTATGTGGATATAAAATGGTGAACAGTGGCCAGGCATGGTGGCTCATACCTGTAATCCCAGCACTTTGGGAGGCTGAGGCAGGCAGATCACTTGGCTCCAGGAGTTTGAGACCAGCCTGGCCAACATGGTGAAACTCCATCTCTACAAAAAATACCAAAAATTAGCCAGGCATGGTGGCACACATCTGTAGTCCCAGCTACTTGGGAGGCTGAGGTGAGAGGTCACTTGAGCTTGGGAGGTCAAGGTTGCAGTGAGCTGTGATTGTGCCACTGCACTCCAGCCTGGGTGACAGAGTGAGATCGTGTCTGGGGGAGTGGGGCGGAAAGGTGGGAGTAGGGAGAAAGTGAAGAAGAATCCTATGTGTCAGCTTTAAATTGGAGATATCAGTATAAATTCATGATTGTGCGTGTGTGTGTGTGTGTGTGGGTGTGTGTGTATTTTCTAGCTCCACACACAGGAAAAGTCTAAAAACAACACTCCAGAAACCTTAATATATCTGATGCACAGTTCTTGGTTTCTAAAATCCATTGTCCATTTAAAAGAATTAAGGATCCTTAGAGAAATTAGAAATCCTTTGGCTGATCCCAGAGCCCAAGGCATAGAAAGTCCAAGTTAAACATGAAATATCAACATCTTATTCCAAAAAGAAGGAAGAGCTCAAAGGCTAATGAGCTCATGTCAAAAGGACATAGAATTCAGTCTGAAGGAGATCTCACTAGCAAAATTTGAGATAATTTGGGTAACAGCTACAAAAGGGAAAAATAAAAGAAAGTTTATCAATTATAACCCACTGAACTTTAAAAATCCCTGAGTACATAGTGATAATCACAAAGAGAGATGTAGAAAAGAGAGGAAAAGAAATAATTTTTCTTTCTTTTTTTTCTTTTTTTTGAGACTGAGTTTCGCTCTTTGTTGCCCAGGCTGGAGTGCAGTGGTGTGATCTCCGCTCACTGCAACCTCCACTTCCCAGGTTCAAGCAATTCTCCTGCCTCAGCCTCCTGAGTAGCTGGAATTACAGGCACATGCCGCCATGCCCAGCTAATTTTTTTTATATTTTTAGTAGAGACAGGGTTTCATCATGTTGGCCAGGTGAAGAATTTTTCTTTACTGATTTCCAACTAATAAATGTAGAAGAAATAAAATACAAAGTCACCACTTTGTAACTCCCAATGTGATAGTATAGTCACGGATTTTTTTTTTTTTTTTTTTTTGAGACACAGTTTCACTTTGTCACCGGGGCTGGAGTGCAGTGGCACGGTCCCAGCTCACTGTAACCTCTGCCTCTTGGGTCAAATGTTTCTCATGCCTCGCCTCCCGAGTAGCTGGGATTACAGGTGCACGCAACCACGCCCAGCTAATTTTTGTATTTTTAGTGGAGATGAGGTTTTGCTGTGTTGGACAGGCTGGTCTCGAATTCCTGACCCCAAGTAATCCACCTGCCTTGGCCTCCCAAAATGCTGGGATTATAGGTGTGAGCCATTGTGCCTGGCCAGTCAAGGATTATTAATGGATGCTAAAATCATTGGATAAAAAGTTGAGAAACAGGCCAGGCACAGTGGCTCAAGCCTGTAATCTCAGCACTTTGGGAGGCTGAGGTGGGCAGATCACGAGGTCAGGAGTTCAAGACCAACCTGACCAACATCGCAAAACCTCATCTCTAATAAAAATACAAAAATTAGCCGGAAGTGGTGGCGCATGCCTGTAATCCCAGCTACTCAGGAGACTGAGGCAGGAGAATCGCTTGAACCCAGGAGGCGGAGGTTGCAATGAGCTGAGATCGAGCCACTGCACTTCAGCGTGGGCAACAGTAAGACTCTGTCTCAAAAAAAAAAAAAAAAAGAAAAAAGTTGAGAAACAGGATAGTCACATGATTTCAAAGGATTACCCTACAGATTATGTATCAATACAAAGCAAATAATGTGTTTTATGGTAGATTATTTAGACATAGCCACTATAATTTCCCTCCCTGTATTCACTTCTTTGGGCTACATGACTTCCCTTGGCTAATGGGACAATAATAGCACATGTGATGGAAACAAAGATGTGAAAGTTTGTGCATTGAGAATTACTTTCGTGTTGCTGGTAATGCTTCCACTACCATAGCAATAAGCTTAGGCTAGCCTGCTGAAAGATGAGGAATGATGTTAACCAGGGCTCCAGATATCCCAGATAGCCAAGCCATCTCAGGCATCACAGCTAAGACCCAGATATGAGTAAGCCCAAGTAAGAACAGCCGAGCTTTGCCCAGACCAAAGAGACCACTCAGCTAAAATTGCTGATCTTCACTTCATCCCGGGAGGTGGAGGTTGCAGTAAGCCAAGACCACACCACTGCTCTTCAGCCTGGGTGACAGAGCAAGACTCTACCTAAAAAAAAAAAAAAAAAGAAAAAAAGAAAAAAAAAAAAGAAAGAAAATAGCTGATCTACAGAATTGTATGCTAAATAAAATAGTTGTTGGTGGAGGCCACAGTAGTTTGGGGTGTTTGTTAAGGAGCAATGAATGGCTGATACATAAGTTGGTACCAGAAGTGTTATGCTGTCATAATGAAAACCCAAAATATGTGGCATTGGCTTTGAGACTGTGGGCAAAGGCTGGAAATGTCATAAAGAAACTGCTAGTCAAGCTGGAAGAAATGACAAGCAAATGATCAATGGAAACTATGAAGCAATGAGAAAAGTGCTAGACAGAAACAGGAAAAATGCTGACCTGTGTTAGGCAGCAGCTCAGCAATTGGCAATAGTATCCCCTGCACTAACATGAAAGATGGAAAAAGCACCTAAAAAATTTCAGATATGGTGAAGGGGGTTTCATTCAAGGCAGAATGGTGAAAACATCAATTATCGAGTTGTGCATAACAAGGTACAGAAAACAAGGCATTAGCTAAATTGTGCTAAAAAGCACAATTTAGAGGAAACATAGAGGAGCCAGGACTGGAGAGTGAAAATAGCCCTTCATCTTGCAAAAGGTTTTCAGGAAAGAAATAATGCCCTGAGGGTAAAGATAAAATCAAAGTGCGGCTTTAACAACCTTTGTTAAGATTTCAGGAAGATTGTACTGACATCAGCAAGATGGTAGCATAGGAGATCCCAGCCTTTGTCCCCTTATATAAAACAATAATTAGACAGATATCTATGAAAAAAAATGCTCTGGGAGAGCTCAGGAGTCCAGTTAAGAAGTTGCAGCAGGCCGGGTGCGGTGGCTCAAGCCTGTAATCCCAGCACTTTGGGAGTCTGAGGCAGGTGGATCACAAGGTCAGGAGATCAAGGCCAGCCTGGCCAACATGGTGAAACCCTGTCTCTACAGAAAAAAAAAAAATAGAAAAATTAGCCGGGCCTGGTGGCAGGCACCTGTAATCCCAGTTACTCAGGAGGCTGAAGTGGAAGAATCACTTGAACCCGGGAGGCAGAGGTTGCAGTGATCCTGCCATTGCACTCCAGCCTGGGGGACAGAGCGATACTCCATCTCAAAAAAAAAAATAAGAGAGAGATAATCAAGAAGTTGCAGCAATGCAGTGAAGAAAAACAAAAAGAACAGAAAATAAATTGTACAGAAAGGGTAGGAAGAACAGTTTCATGTTGTCTTCATTATTCCATCCCCTAGGCTGGCATAGCTCAGTGCTGAAAGAGAAACCACCAGTCCATGAGTCCCCTCATAGGGAAAAAGAGAGCAGAGTAAGCAATCAGCTTCCTGAAACTCCAGGGGCACTGCCTGAAGAATCTGCTTTATCTTTACCACACCCAGATCACTGGGGAGATTGGCATAGCTGAGACATCTGGAGATGGCTAGGAAAACAGAAGGGCAGGCCAGGTGCAGTGGTTCACGCTTGTAATTCCAGCACTTTGGGAGGCCGAAGAGGGCAGATCATGAGGTCAGGAGTTAGAGACCAGCCTGACCAACACAGTGAAACCCCATCTCTACTAAAAATACAAAAATTAGCTGGGCACGGCGGCGGGTGCCTATAATCCCAGCTACTGGGAGGCTGAGGCAGGAGAATCGCTTGAACCCAGGAGGCGGAGGTTGCAGTGAGCCGAGATCGCGCCACTGCACTCCAGCCTGGGCAACAGAGCTAGACTCCATCTCAAAAAAAAAAAAAAGAAAAGAATATGGAAGGGCAGGCCTGTCAGTATCAACTACATGGAAGGTGCCACAGCAGTCTCCGGTGGCCTGCTCTTCAGAGGATCCCAACAACCTTTGACACTGAAGACCTCAACAGCCATTGCAGCTATCATGGATTCTGCAGAAAAAGAGATGTGCCTCCCTACAGAAGGAGCCACCACTGGGCTCCTTGAGCTGGAGCTTTCACCTTCCTTCCTCCTGCCTGCAACCACATGTATGCCTGGACTCCAGAGCTATGGCTGCTCCACACACACCTGTGCTTCAGACCCCAGCCCACAGCCACTCACGAGCATCCATGCTGCAGAAACAGACACTGCTGCCTCAGTGGGCATGCCTGAACCTCAAACATTGAAGCTACCACCACAGCAGGCACACCTGCGCCTTGGGCCCTGGAGCCATAATTGCTCCTCATTGGAGAAAAAGAGAACAGGAGGACCTCAGTAACTTTCACCTCTGAGGACCCTAAGAACTCTCGGCACTTTCTCAGATACCCACAGTTTTGGTCACTAAGAACCCCCACAATCTGCCAAAACCGGCCTCAGCTGAGGGAGCTACATGGAAACTATACCATTGCACACTTCCTTGAGATGAAATCACTGCACCAACCCAGCTGGCACCCTCACATACACCTGTAGGTAAAGCTCTTTTCCCACCAAAACTAGTTTATAAAGTCTGGAAGAGGTGACTGCTTCCTCAAATATGTAGACATCAATACAAGGCTATAAGAAATTCAATAAATCAAGGAAATATGACACCACTAAAGGAACACAATAATTTTGTAGTATCTGAACCCAGTGAAATGGAGTTCTATGAATTGTCTGATGATTAATTAAAAATAATAATCTTAAAGAAGCCCAGTCACAAAACAAGCCTTAACAAATTTAAGAAAACAGAAATCATTCCAAGTGTCTTTTCAGACCACAGTGGAATAAACTAGAAATGAATAACAGCCAAAAAGCTGGAAAATTCACAAATATGTGGGAATGAAACAACACACTCTTGAGCAACCATTGGGTCAAAGAAGAAATCAAAAGGGAATTTAAAAAGTATCTTGAGACAAATGAGAATGAAAATACAATGTACCAAAACCTATGGGACACAGCAAAGGCAGTAAGTACTGAGGGGGAAGTTTATAGTGATAAATACCCACATTAAAAAAAGAATACCAATGTCAAACACACAACCTAACTTTTCAACTCAAAGAACTAGAAAAAGAACAATAAGCTAAGGCCAAAGTTTTAAGAAGGATGAAAATAAGAAAGATTAGAGAATAAATAAATCACAGAGAATAAAAAAATTAGAAACAATTAAACAGAGTGGGTTGTTTGAAAAGATAAACAAAATGGACAACATTTAGCTAGATTAACTAAGAGAAACAATGAGAAGATTCAAATAAATAAAATCAAAAATGAAAAAAGGACACATTGCCAGTCACGGTGGCTCAAGCCTGTAATCCCAACATTTTGGGAGGCCAAGGAGGGCGGATCACCTGAAGTTGGGAGTTCGAGACCACCCTGAACAACATGGAGAACCCCATCTTTACTAAAAATACAAAATTAGCCATGTGTGGTGGCACATGCCTGTAATCCCAGCTACTTGGGAGGCTGAGGCAGGAGAATGGCTTGAACCCGGGAGGCAGAGGTTGCAGTGAACCATAGATCGCACGGTTGCACTCCAGCCTGGGCAACAAGAGTGAAACTATGTCTCAAAAAAAAGAAAGAAAAGAAAAGAAAAAAGAAAACAATTCAGGCCTGGCATGGTGGCTCACACCTATAATCCTAACACTTTGGGAGGCCAAGGTGGGAAGATTGCTTGAGCCCAGGAGTTCAAGACCAGCCTGGGAAACATGGTAAAACCTTGTCTCTATCAAAAATACAAATATTAGCTGGGCATGGTGGCATGCACCTGTAGTCCCAGCTACTCAGGAGGATGAGGTGGGAGGATGGCTTGAGCCCAGGAGGTGGAGGTTGTAGTGAGCTGAGATCATGTTACTGCACTCCAACCTGGGTGACAGAATCAGACCCCTTTGCAAAAAAAAAAAAAAAAGAGAGAGAGAGAAAGAGAGGAAGAAAGAAAGAGAGGAAGGAAGGAAGGGAGGAAGGAAGGAAGGAAGGAAGGAAGGAAGGAAAGAAGGATTCAATTCAAAATAATAACAGAAACAATAAAATGCTGAGAAATAAACTTAAACAAAAAGGTAAAAGAGTTGTAAAATGAAAATTATGAAACATTGGTGACACAGATAAATGGAAAAACATTCTGTGTTCATAGATTAGAGAAATTAATACTGTTAAAATGTTCACACTATCCAAAGTGATCTACAGATTTAATGCAATCCCTGGGAAAATACCAATGACATTTTTTACATAAGTAGAAAAAAATTATACAATTCATATGGAACCACGAAGCACCCTGAATAGCCAACACAATCTTGAGAAAGAAGAACAATGCTGGAGGCACCACACCCCCTGATTTCAAAATATATTACAAAGCACAATAATCACAACAGTATGGTACTGGAATATAAATAGACATATAGACCAATGGAACAGAATAGACAGACCAGAAATGAATCCATGCATCTATGGTCAATTGATCTTTGATGAGGTGTGAAGAATACACAATGAGGAAAGAACAGTCTCTCAAGAAGTGGCTTTGGGAAAACTGGATGTCCACATGCAGAAGAGTGAAATTGGACCCTTATTTCACACCATATACAAAAACCAAGTCAACATTTTGAATGTAAGACCTCAAACCATAAAACTACTAGAAGAAAACATAGGGGAAAAGCTTCCTGGCATTGGACTGGGAAATGATTTTTTGGATATGACACCAAAAGCAGATAACAAAAATAGAAATAGACAAATGAGATTGCATACAACCAAAAAGCTTCTGCATAGCAAACAAAACAACCAACAGAATGAAAAGGCAACCAATGGAATGGGATAAAATATCTGCAAGCCAAATGTCCAATAAGTAATTAATATCCAAAATATATAAGGAATTTATGCAACTCAATAGAAAAAAAAAACCCAAAACCAAACAAACAAAAAACCCTGATTTTGAAATGGGCAAAGGACCTGCAAAGACAAAAAAAATACAAATGTCCAAAGGGTATATGAAATAGTTGCTCAACTTCATTAATCATCAGGGAAATGCAAGCCAAAACCACAATGAGCTATCATCTAATACTTGTTAGAATGGATCAGAAAGATGAAAGATAGCAAGTGTTTGCAAGAATGTGAAATAAAGGGAACCCTTATACACTGTTAGTGGGAATATAAGTTGGTACAGCCATTATGAAAAAACAATATGGGGAGTCCTTAAATAATTAAAAATAGAACTACCTTATAACCCAGCAATCCTACTTCTGGGTATATATAGTCAAAGAAAATGAAATCAATATCTCAAAGAGATAGTTGCAGTCCCATGTTCATTTCAGCATTATTCACAATATCATAATAACCAAGATATAGAAACAACCCAAATGCCCATCAAGGGATGAATGAATAAAGAAGGTGTATAAATGGATAAAGCGTATGTGTGTGTGTGTTACATACATACACACAAATATATATATAATGGAATATTATTCAGCCTTAACAAAGAAGGAAATCCTACTGTTTGTGGCAACATGGATGAAACTAATGGACATTGTGCTAAGTGAAATAAGTGAGAAGCAAAAAGAAAAATACTGTATGATTTTACTTAAATGTGGAACCTATGCAGTGAGCCGAGATCGTGCCACTGCACTCCAGCCTGGGTGACAGACTGAGACTCTGTCTCAAAAAAAAAAAAAAAAAAATGTGGAACCTAAAAATGTAAAACTCATAGAAACAGTAGGGGCCAGGAGCGGTGGCTCATGCATGTAATCCCAGCACTTTGGGAGGCTGAGGCAGACGGATCACCTGAGGTCAGGAGTTCGAGACCAGCCTGGCCAACATGGCAAAAACTCATCTTTATTAAAAATACAAAAATTAGACAGGTGTGGTGACAGACACCTGTAATCCCAGATACTCATGGGGCTGAGGCAGGAGAATCACTTGAACCTGGGAGGCGGAGGTTGCAGTGAGCTGAGATTGCATCACTGCACTCCAGCCTGGGCAACAGAGCGAGACTCCATCTCAAAAAAAAAAAAAAAAAGAAAAAGAAAAAGGAAAGAAACAGAGTAGAATGGTGGTTATCAGGGGTTGTGGGGAGGGAAAGATGGGGAGATGTTGGCCAAGGGGTACAAGGTTTCAGCATGCAAGATAAGTAAGTTCTACAGATCTAATGTACAACAATGTGACTAGAGTTAACAATATTGTATTGTATACTTGAAATTTGCTTACAGTGTGCTTACCACAAAAGGGAAAAAAGCTAATAACATACAACATACCTCATATAATTATATGAGGTAAGGGTATGTTATTAGCTTGCTTGTGGTGAATATTTTGAAGTGTATACATATATCAAATCATCAAGTGGTTTACCTCAAATACATAAAATTTTTAATTATCAACTATAATTCAATAAATTTGGGGAAAAAGACCTCAGGAAGATTTAAGATGGTGCCTAGTAAATTATCTCATCTGGACAAAAGGGATCCTCAGACTTTTTATGAATATAAAGTTTGTCTCATTGTGGCCTTAATCTTGTCTTAATCTTTTGTGAACATAAAGTTGCATCTCATCTGTGGCCTTAATCTATATGGCCTGATTGAACATATTTCCATATGTGTACTGGCCATTAATTTCTTTTCTGCGAAATGCCTTCGTTTCTTATCATTTTAGAGAAGGGAATGTTCTTCCAGGGAACATAATGAGCTGGTAAGTTTCTGGGTTCTACATGATGAATTCATTCTAGCATGACCAGTTTTCTAAACCATCTGAACTCTTTCTATTATTCTGTCAGGGCGGTATTGGCAACTTTACCTCATTTAATTTGGGCCATCGTTAGCTCCAAGTTTTAAGGCTCCAATGCAGAAGAATGTTAGGATGGGCCACAAGCATCCTTGCCAGGATGTTAAATCATGAGTCATGGAAGACTCACACTGATGTGAATCCCCATATCAATAAACTCTCCCCCATCCAGATTTGTACTCCATTCCCCTGTCCATGCAAACAATACCTTCAATATACACTTCCATACTTGCTCTCCTGGCTCCTACTAGTACATATTACCCGAGTACTGCAGGTTTTGTGGGGAGGAGGATAATACATTTTCTCTTATTATAGAGATAGTACTTCTGGGCCTAGACCTTCCTGAGACCAAACCTAGTTATTTGTCTAGATGCAGTAAGAATAAACAAAGGCAGATTTTGAGAAGAACAAGTATCATCTTGCAATCTGTCTGCCTTAGGTGAGACCTTTGCATGGTTTCCAGGCAGTGGAATTCTGCTCTCTCCTAACAAGAGGGATGGGCTGCTTCTGTTGGCTGAAGTGTTGAGGAGACTAGTGTTTCAGTGTTTTCAAGTGTATCTACCTAAATAGAGGTGATGCTCATATTGCCTGGAAGAACATCCCCTTCTCTAAAATGATAAGAAATGAAGGCATTTCACAGAAAAGAAATTAATGGCCAGTACACATATGGAAATACGTTCAATCAGGCCATACAGATTAAGGCCACAGATGAGACACAAATTTATATTCATAAAAGATTAAGATAAGATTAAAGCCACAAGGAGACAAAATTTTATATTCATAAAAAGTCTGAGGATCTCTTTTGTCCAGATGAGATAATCTACTAGGCACCACCTTAAATCTTCTTTTTCCCCAACTTTGCTGAGTTATAGTTGACAACTAAACATTTTATGTATTTAAGGTAAGTCAAGACATCTCAGGGTCTTGACTTTAGCAAAGTAGACTTTCTGGTGCAGTGAATTCTGTTTTGTATGTAACTCTACCACCCTTGCAAATTTTAGGCCTAATTTTTCATATTAACTTTAGGCTCCAGAGGGGGGAAAACTTTCACGGTGCGTGAAGAACAAAAATAAGAATGACAGCAGCAGAATTCTCATTAAAAACAATACAAGGGCCGGGCACGGTGGCTCACGCCTGTAATCCTAGCACTTTGGGAGGCCGAGGCATGCAGATCACGAGGTCAGGAGTTCAAGACCAGCCTGGCCAACATGGTGAAAGCCCGTCTCTACTAAAAACACAAAAAATTAGCTGGATGTGGTGGCAGGTGCCTGTAATCCCAGCTACTTGGGAGGCTGCGGCAGGAGAATCGCTGGAACCCAGAAAGTGGAGGTTGCAGTGAGTGGAGATTGTACCACTGCACTCCAGCCTGGGTGACAGTATGAGACTCCAACTCAAAAAACAAACAAACAAACAAACAAACAAACAAAAAGACAAGTCTGGGCGCAGTGGCTCACACCTGTAATCCCAGCACTTTGGTTGGGAGGCCGAGGGGGTGGATCAGCTGAAGTCGGGAGTTCAAGACCAGCCTGACCAACATGGAGAAACCCTATCTCTACTAAAAATGCAAAAATTAGCCAGGTATGGTGGTGCATGCCTGAAATCCCAGCTACTCGGGAGGCTGAGGCAGGAGAATCGCTTGAACCCAGAAACGGAGGTTGCGGTGAGCCAAGATTATGCCATTACACTCCAGTCTGGGCAACAAGAGTGAAATTCTGTCTCAAAAAAAAAAAAAAAAAAAAAATTAAAGGAAAGAAAATACAAGCCAGAAAATAATGGAGAGCATTATAAGAACTGCCTTTCAAAACTGAAGGTCAAATAAGGAATTTTCAGGTAAGCAAAAGCTGCAGTAATTAACCACCAGCATATCTTCACTACAAACAATGTTTAAAACAATTCTTTGGGCCAGGCGCGGTGGCTTATGCCTGTAATCTCAGAACTTTGGGAGGCCGAGGTGGGCAGATCACGAGGTCAGGAGATCGAGACCATCCTTGCTAATACAGTGAAACCCCGCCTCTACTGAAAATACAAAAAAATTAGCTGAGCGTGGTGGCGGGCACCTGTAGTCCCAGCTACTCAGGAGGCTGAGGCAGGATAATGGCGTGAACCTGGGAGGCGCAGCTTGCAGTGAGCCGAGATCACACCACTGCACTCCAGCCTGGGTGACAAAGTGAGATTCTGTCTCAAAAAAACAAAAAAAACAGTTCTTTGGATAAAAGCAACATGATTCTACATAGAAACTTGGATATAAACGAAGGAATAAGTAGCATGAGATATGGCAAATATCTGAATACATATCAGGCTTTATTTTTATTTTTGATGTCTTTCAAAACCAATATATTTGAGGGTTATGATATATGCAGAAGTGAAATACATGATAACAATTATACAGGAGACAGAGAAGAAATGGCAATATGCTGTTGAAAGATTATTTCAGTATATGTGAAGTAATATAATGTTAGCTAAAGGCTGACTGTGGTAAGTTAAAAATGTATATCGTAGGCCAGGCACGGTGGCTCACGCCTGTGATCCCAGCACTTTGGGAAGCTGAGGTGGGTGGATCACCTGAATTCAGAAGTTCAAGACCAGCCTGGCCAACATGCTGAAACCCCATCTCTACCAAAAATACAAAAATTAGCTGGGCGTGGTGGCACACATCTGTAATCACAGCTACTCGGGAGGCTGAGGCAGGAGAATCTCTTTAACCCGGAAGGCAGAGGTTGCAGTGAGCTGAGATCATGCCACTGTACTCCAGCCTGGGCAACAGGGCAAGACCCTCTCTCAAAAAAAATAAATAAATAAAGATATATATTGTAAACCCTAGAGCAACCACTTAAAAAAATAAAGAGGGATATAACTAATAAACTAATAAAATAATATTGACATATATGTTGCAAATAAAACTCAAAACTCAATAAAACAAAGCAAAAAACAAAAAAAGGAGAAAAGAACAGATGAGATATTTAGAAACAAAATGATGATAGATTTAAACTCAACCATATCAATAATTATATTAAATATAAATTATCAAAACACTCAAAAGATAGAGATTCACCAAATTGGATTAAAAAATCAAGATCCAAAAGTATACTGACTACAAGAAACTGACATTAACTACAAAAACAAAGAGGTTAACCCTGAATGGATGAATAAAGACATAGGAAAAACGAATGGAAAGATAACTGAAGTGGCTAGATTAGTATCACACAAAGTAAGAGAGAACTATGAATATTACCATGAATCAAGTGGCACATTTTATAAAGACTTAATTTATCAAGAAAATACAACAATTTTAAATTTGTATACTCCTAACGAAAGGTTTCAAAAGATAGGCGTACCTCATTTTATTGTGTTTTACTTAATTGCACTTCACAGATTTTGTATTTTTTACAAATTGAAGGTTTGTGGCAACCGTGTGTTGAGTAAGTATATCAGCACCATTTTTCCAACAGCTTGTACTCACTTTGTGCCTCTGTGTCAAATTTTTTGGCAGTAAAGTATTTTGAACATATGTACATAGTTTTTAAAGACATAATACTATTGCACATACTAGACTACAGTATAGTGTAAACATAACTTTGTATGCACTGGGGAACCAAAAATTTTTTGTGATTTGCTTTATTACAGTGTCTGGAACCAAACCCACAGTATTTCTGAGGAATATCTCTACATGAAGCAAACACTGATAGAACTGAAAGGATAAGTGAGTCAATTCTCCATCACAGTTGCAGATTTCAGCACTCCAATCTAAGCAATTATAAAACAAATACATAAAAAAATCAATAAGTGAAGCAGCTCCATTGTCTGGGGTAAACACCCGGGGTTTGATATCTCGCACCAAGAAGATTAAAGACACAGACACACATAAGGAGTTTAGGAGCGGAGAGTTTAATAGACAAAAAAGAAGAGACCTCCCCCTCCCCTTCCCCCTCCCCCTCTCCCTCTCCCTCTCCCCGGTCTCCCTCTGATGCCACCAAAGTTGTGAAAGCGGAGGCTCGACTGTACTGCCGCCATCTCGGCTCACTGCAACCTCCCTGATTCTCCTGCCTCAGCCTGCCGAGTGCCTGGGATTGCAGGCGCGCGCCGCCACGCCTGACTGGTTTTTGCATTTTTTGGTGGAGACGGGGTTTCGCCGTGTTGGCCCGGCTGGTCTCCAGCTCCTGAACGCGAGTGATCTGCCCGCCTCGGCCTCCCGAGGTGCCAGGATTGCAGACGGAGTCTCGCTCACTCAGTGCTCAATCTTGCCCAGGCTGGAGTGCAGTGGCGTGATCTCGGCTCGCTACAACCTCCACCTCCCAGCCACCCGCCTTGGCCTCCTGAAGTGCCGAGATTGCAGCCTCTGCCCGGCCGCCACCGCGTCTGGGAAGTGAGGAGCATCTCTGCCTGGCTGCCCATCGTCTGAGATGTGAGGAGCCCCTCTGCCCGGCCGCCCAGTCTGGGAAGTGAGGAGCACCTCTTCCCGGCCGCCATCCCGTCTAGGAAGTGAGGAGCGTCTCTGCCCGGCCGCCCATCGTCTGAGATGTGGGGAGCACCTCTGCCCGGCCGCCCCATCTGGGATGTGAGGAGCGCCTCCGCCCGGCAGCCGCCCCGTCTGGGAAGTGAGGAGCGTCTCCGCCTGGCAGCCTCCCAGTCCAGGAGGTGGAGGGCAGCCCCCGCCCGGCCAGCCGCCCCTTCCGGGAGGGAGGTGGGGGGCGCCTCCGCCCGGCCACCGCCCTGTTTGGGACGTGGGGGGCGCCTCTGCCCGGCCGCCCCGTCTGGTAAGTGAGGAGCCCCTCTGCCCGGCCGCCACCCCGTCCGGGAGGTGTACCCAACAGCTCATGGAGAACGGGCCATGATGACGGTGGCGGTTTTGTCGAATAGAAAAGAGGGAAATGTGGGGAAAAGAAAGAGAGATCAGATTGTTACTGTGTCTGTGTAGAAAGAAGTAGACATGGGAGACTTTTCATTTTGTTCTGTACTAAGAAAAATTCTTCTGCCTTGGGATGCTGTTAATCTATAACCTTACCCCCAGCCCCGTGCTCTCTGAAACGTGTGCTGTGTCCACTCAGGGTTAAATGGATTAAGGGCGGTGCAAGATGTGCTTTGTTAAACAGATGCTTGAAGGCAGCATGCTCGTGAAGAGTCATCACCACTCCCTAATCTCAAGTACCCAGGGACACAAACACTGCGGAAGGCCGCAGGGTCCTCTGCCTAGGAAAACCAGAGACCCTTGTTCACATGTTTATCTGCTGACCTTCCCTCCACTATTGTCCTATGACCCTGCCAAATCCCCCTCTCCGAGAAACACCCAAGAATGATCAATAAATACTAAAAAAAAAAAAAAAAAAAAGAGAGAGAGAGAGAGAGAAATCTTCCTCAAGCTGAGAAAGTGGGTCACCCAAGAGAGGGTTTCCAGGTTTGGGGTGGGATTTGATCAATTTTGTAGAGAGGCTTGAGAAGGCAGTGACTGATTTACATAGGGCCCAGGGGATTCATTTAACCAGGTGTGCCATTTACATAGTCCACAAAGGAACTAGCCCTCCCACCCTAATCTTTCATTGTGTAAATGTGGCTTCTACCTGGCTGTTGCCATGACACCTGCACATGTGGCTTTACCTGGTTGGTGACACCCATATACTTCGTGGTAACAAAGAAAAGGGAGGGAGAAGTCTGCATGTTGGAATGTACCTGGATTCCAGGTACAGCTGCTGGCATTTACATACTCAAGCTTCCAGCTTGCTTGCAGCTTGACTTTTCAGGCTGCTTTCTGTTAGAAAAGAAGTGGTTTTGGGGCTGCTTTTTATTAAAGGAAAATTCTACCAAGAACTCTTTTACCCTCACTAACTGCCTAAAATAATTTATTAATAACTCCTCTATTGTAAGGATATTTAAGGTTTGAACAACACTGTCAACCAACATGCCCTAATTGGCATTTACATAACACTCCACCACAAAACAGCACTCTTTTCCTTCCTGGCCGTCTAAGGATTGACTACCATCATGAATGACACAGTAACTATCTGAACTAGAAAGTTCGTGACCAACCAACTACTTCAGAGGAAACAAATGATGATTGATGTCCTTCATACCTGGAAGGCAACAGTACCTAAGACAGAAATTTGGGAAAAACTAGCCAAAATGTACAAGACCACACTGGATGTCATCTTTGTGTTTGGATTAGAACTCATTTTGGCGGTGGCAAGACAACTGGCTTTGGCATGATTTATGATTCCTTGGATTATGCAAAGAAAAATGGACCCAAACATAGACTTGCAAGACAAGGCCTGTATGAGAAAAAAAGACCTCAAGAAAGCAATGAAAGGAAGGCAAGAACAGAATGAAGAAAGTCAGGGGACTGTAAAGGCCAATGTTTGTGTGGGCAAAAAGCCGAAGGAGTCAAGATGCTGCAATGATGTTTTCTGCAGCCATTGTGGATTCTTCATGAGAAGATTAATAAACTAATAATGTGAAAAAAAATAAAACACCACAATACGCATTCAAGTGCACATGGAAAATAGATCAAAGAAGGTCATATTCTAGGCCATAATATGTCTCAATAAATTTGAAAGAAAGAAATGAAAGTATGTTTTCTGATCACAGTGGAATTATATGCCAAATCAGTAACATAAATATACCTGGAAAATCTCTCAAATATTTGGAAACTAAACAATAGACTTTGAAATAACTCATGCACCAATGAAAAAAATTACAAATGATATTTGAGATAAATTAAATGAAAATACAATATATAAAAATGTGTGGGGTATAGGTACAGCTATGCTTACAGGAAACCTTGTAACATTAAACGCTTATATTAGAAAAGAAGAAAGATCTAAAATCATTAATCTGGCCGGATGTGGTGGCTCATTCCTGTAATCCCAGCACTTTGGGAGGCCGAGGTGGGCGGATCACCTGAGGTCTGGAGTTGGAGACTAGTCTGGCCAACATGGCAAAACCCCATCTCTACTAAAAATACAAAAATTAGCTGAGCATGGTGGTATGCGCCTGTAATCTCAGCTATTCAGGAGGCTGAGGCAGGAGAATCACTTGAACTGGGAGGCAGAGATTACGGTGAGCCGAGATTACACCATTGGACTCCAGCCTGGGCAACAAGAGTGAAACTCCATCTGGAAATAATAGTAATAATAATAATAATAATAATAATAATGATGATGAAGATGGGGTCTAACTCTGCTGAACCGACTCCATCTTGTTTCTAACTTTTAAGCTGTCCTTGTTCATTCCTGGGCATGGGCTGAGCTAACTTTGGGAAGGGATTCAGTTCATGGTTTGACTCTGAAGCAAAACTGATAATAGCCCTTTCCCAGAAAGACCCCCTTCTTGCCTGGGGACCAGTCCACCTTGCAGTACTAACAAATTAGGTACAAGATTAGAAAGTACAGTGTAGGGGTCATGCAGCCTCTGGTTCCAAGAGTCTGAACCTTCCCAAATGGTTCCTGGGGATAACATCACTATTGAAAAACCTAAGATCAGTGCTTGAGATATTTTGGCAGACCCTGCACTCAGTGGATCAGCTGACACCACCCAGACAGGTAATCTGGCTCCACCAGTTCTGCCATCTCACCCAGGAACAGAAAACAGCAAGAAAAACTCTCTTCGACCCCCTATGATTCCATCTCCAACCTGACCAATCAGCACTCGCCACTTCCCAAATTATCTTTAAAATCTCTGATCCCCAAATGTTCGGGGAGACTGATTTGAGTAATAATAAAACTCTGGTCTCCCACAGCCGGCTCTGCGTGAATTACTCTTTCTCTATTACAATTCCCCTGTCTTGATAAATCGGCTCTGTCTAGGCAGCGGGCAAGGTGAACCCACTGGGCAGTTACAGTATCTGGGCTCCAGCTCCTGACAGCAGGCCAGAGGAGAAGCAAACTCTGAGAGACGTGGCTGCAGTCTGCACCAATGCAGACAGGACCAAAGGCAGCCCAGGCTGAGTCCTGGTTACCAGTGAGACGTGAAAACTTCAGAGAGCTGCCAGGGCTGAAAAGGCCACATGGAGGGAAACAGTGGACCTCTCGGGTCCTCCTGCATGGGTGAGTGACTTGAGGACCAGACAGACTCCACCCAAAACCTTTTTACACTTTATAATAAGCCCTAAGACTGTTTTTTTTGTTTGTTTGTTTTCTTTTGAGACGGAGTCTAGCTCTGTCACCCAGGCTGGAGTGCAGTAGCATGATCTTGGCTCACTGCAACCTCTGCCTCCCAGGTTCAAGCAATTCTGCTGACTCAGCCTCCTGAGTAGCTGGGATTACAGGCACCCGCCACCACGCCCAGCTAATTTTTGTATTTTTAGTGGAGGCAGAGTTTCACCATGTTGGCCAGGCTGGTCTTGAGCTCCTGACCTTGTGATCCTCCCGCCTCGGCCTCTCAAAGTACTGGGATTACAAGCGTGAGCCACCGTGCCAAGCCTAGTTTTTGTTTTTAAAGATGGGGTCTCGGCCGGGTGCAGTGGCTCACATCTGTAATCCTGATCAACATGGAGAAACCCCATCTCTACTAAAAATACAAAATTATCTACTAAAAATGCAAAATTAGCCAGGGCGTGGTGGCACATGCCTGTAATTCCAGCTACTCAGGAGGCTGAGGCAGGAGAATCACTTGAACCCAGGAGGCAGAGGTTGCAGTGAGCCAAGATTATGCCATTGGACTCCAGCCTGGGCAACAAGAGCGAAACTCCATCTGGAAAAAATAATAATAATAATAATGAAGATGGGGTCTAACTCTGCTGCCCATGCTGGAGTGCAGTGGTGCTGTCATAGCTCATTGCAGTCTCATGCTCCTAAGCTCAAGCAGTCCTCCTGTCTCAGCCTCCTGAGTAACTGGGAGGCACATGCCACCACGTCTGGCTATGACTTATGATACAACCATAAAAATGACTGCAATTTCTTTTCCACCTGCTCAGCAAGCATGAGTCCCAAACAACAGCAACAACAATAAAAAATGGGTTGTAAAAGAATAAAATAATATTTCTTGGACATCTGAGATTATGGGCTGAGAGACATACACACTACAAAAATACAAAAACGGACAAAATTAAGCAATATGAAAAGGAAGGCATTGAGATGAGGAAAAATATATACACTGTATTTGATACACTTGGATGACAAACATCTCAAAGGTAGAAAGAATGATCTGGTTAATACATAGATTCTACCAGAGAAGTTTAAAAAAAAAAAAAAAAGAAGAGAGAGAGAGAAACTGGTTATTTATGTGGATGGATATAGAAATAAACTACTAAATGGAAAATGGACTGCTTTTGTAGAATAACCCAAAGGGCCAGCTGAGGACACCCACTCTGTTGTTTGAGCAGTGCATAAACCGTAATTCTGCATCACACATTTGCTTCATATCAAAGACTTCCTCATGATTTCTGCAAATTCTGGGGAACATGTATTTTATGGCCACCCGGACCCACTGAACAATCCATTTCACCAGCATCTCACCTTCCAGGATTGCTCTCTTCTCTCTGTCCTATACTGTACCATCAAAGCTTTTGACTTAATAAAAAGCTACTTTTTATTTTTATTTACAGGCATGGTGGCTCATGCCTGTAATCCCAGCACTTTAGGAGGCCAAGGCAGGCAGATTGACTGAGATCAGGAGTTCGAGACCAGCCTTGGAAACACGGTGAAACCCTGTATCTAACAAAAAATTCAAAAATTAGTGGTGCGTGCCCGTAGTCTCAGCTACTCAGGAGGCTGAGGCAGAAGAATTGCTTGAACCTTGGAGGCAGACACTGTAGTGAGCTGAGATTGCACCACTGCACTCCAGCCTGGGTGACAGAGCGAGACGCCGTCTCAAAAAAAAAAAAAAAAAAAAAAGTTGGGGGGCTACTTAGTATGGGGGCACTCCTTAGAAGCCAAAGAGAAAAACTTTTTTCTCTCTGATTCACTAACATCTCTTGTTCCATTTCTTAATCCATTTCCTGTTTGCCCTGAGAAATGAGCGCCGGCAGTGAGCTGAGATTTTTTTTTTTTCCCTTAACGGAAAATGGGTTAAATTAAGGGACTGGCCAGCAGTGTTTACCTTCTCTTCACTTCTTATTACACTGTCATTACACCATCTGACAGTACTGCACTATGATGGTTAATACTGATTGTCAACTTGATTGGATTGGAGGATGCAAAGTATTGTTCCTGGGTGTGTCTGTGAGGGTTTTACCAAAGGACATTAACATTTGAGTTAGTGGACTGAGAGAGGCAGACCAACCCTCTATCTGGGTGGGCACCACCTAATCGGTTGCCAGTGTGGCTAGAATAAAAGCAGGAAGAAGATGGAAAAGCAGACTGGCTGAGTCTTCAAGCCTTCATCTTTCTCCCACGCTGGATGCTTCCTTCCCACAGACTCCAAGTTCCTGCCCATCAGACTCCAAGTTCCTCAGCTTTTGGACTCTTGGACTTACACCAGTGGTTTGCCAGGGACTCTCGGGCCTTTGGCCACAGACCGAAAGCTGCACTGATGGCTTCCCTACTTTTGAGGTTTTGGGATGTGCACTGATCCACCACTGGCTCCTTGCTCCTCAACTTGCAGACGGCCTATCATGGGACTTTACCTTGTGATCACGTGAGTCAATTCTCCTGAATATGCTCCCTTTCATATATACATCTATTCTATTAGTTCTGTCCCTTTAGAGAACCCTCACTAATACATACACCAACTTACCTCCCTCATTCATAGACTCCTGGTCCTTTCCACCCCAACTCTAGACATTACCTAGGGGATTTCATGCAAATGCCCCTTGTAACAAGTTAGTCCCTTAATTTTTCCAACATTTTTGTCATTGCAGCCCAGTTTTGACTTGTAAAATGTTGGAGACGCACATCAAACAGGTAACAAAAGACTCAAAATGGCATTAAATAAGTCAGCAACAATTTCAAAACTGTCATGACTACGGAACATCAGCATCTCGTGATGTCTGTAAAATATCCACAGTTGCCGCACTCCTCAGAGGTGTGAGGCTGTTTGGGTAGAGCAGCTTCTTGCCTTGACTGATGATGTACCCACATCTCACATCGGTGGTTTCCAGTTGCAGCTGTATCCCAGCACAACTCAGTATTCCTACTTCATGACTCTGCTCAGCTCCCTCACCTCTACCCATGTGACCCTCCACAAGTCTCTCTCTGTTGGCCAGGGTGGTCTTGAACTCCTGGCCTCAAGCAATCCTCCTGCCTTGGCCTCTCAAAGTGCTGGGATTACAGATGTGAGCCACCACACTCAGCCTCCACATCTGTCCTTTCAGCTAGAACTTTGTCCTCTTGGTCAGGTGTGGTGGCTCAGGCCTGTAATCCCAGGGCTTTGGGAGGCAGAGGCGGGAGGCCTCTTGCTTGAGGCCAAGAGTTCCAGACCAACCTGGGAAACATAGTGAGACCATGCCTCTACAAAAATTAAAAATATTAGCTGGGCATGGTGCCAAGTGCCTGCAGGGCCAGCTACATGGGAGGCTGAGGTGGGAGGACTGCTTCAGCCCAGGAGGTTGAGGCTGCAGTAAGCCATGATCATGCCACTGCACTCCAGGTTGGGTGACAGAATGAGACCCTATCTCAAATAACAATTTTTTTTTTTTTTTGAGAGGGAGTGCACTCCTTTTGAGAGGAGTCACCCAGGCTGCAGTGCAGTGGCCTGATCTCGGCTCACTTCAACCTCTGCCTCTCGGGTTCAGGTCATTCTCCTGCCTCAGCCTTCCGAGTAGCTGGGCTTACAGGCACATGCCACCATGCCCAGCTAATTTTTGTATTTTTAGTAGAGACGGGGTTTCACTGTGTTGGTCAGGCTGGTCTCAAACTCCTGACTGGCCTCCCAAAGTGCTGGGATTACAGGCATGAGCCACCACGCCCAGCCAAAAACTTTTTTTTATTATTATTTCTGAGTATCAAAAGATACATTTTAACTTCAGAACAACTTTTAAATTAGCCAGAATTAAACACAGCCTGCTTTAATTTTCCCTAATGTAGTTACATGTATCAAATGTATCAACGTCAGCACTAAGCCCTTAGGAAAGGAAAAAGGCCAATTTGTTGAGAATTGTTACAAAGAACTGGCTGCCCCTGTTCTCCTCTCTTATTCCCAAAGCCCAACTCGGTCAGAATCTGGGCATTCTTCACCCCAGGGTGGGCGTGGCTGGTGACAGCTGAGGATTTTTGTTTTGTTTTGTTTTTGTTTTGTTTTGTTTTTGAGACAGTCTCACTCTGTCTCCCAGGCTGGAGTGCAGTGGCGCGTTCTCGGCTCACTGCAAGCTCCGCCTCCCGGGTTCACGCCATTCTCCTGCCTCAGCCTCCCGAGTAACTGGGAGTACAGGCGCCTGCCACCACGCCCGGCTAATTTTTTTGTATTTTTAGTAGAGACGGGGTTTCACCGTGTTAACCAGGATGGTCTCGATCTCCTGACCTCGTGATCCACCCCCTCGACCTCCCAAAGTGCTGGGATTACAGGCGTGAGCCACCACGCCCAGACAGCTGAGGATTTTAATGACTTCTTCCGGTCCATGTCTTGACTGTTCTGATTCTGCTGGCACATTGATTTAAGGGATTAGGAGGGAAATAAATGTTTATTCAACTGTTAGTGTATCAGAGAGAGAAAGTTCTTCTCTTTGGCTTCTAAGGAATGTCCCATGTTAAGCAGCTTTTTACTAAGTCAGAAGCCTTGACTCTACAGTATAGGGCGGATAAGTGAGCACTCCAGGGTGAGTCCAATATTTCTTTAAAAATGCCCCCACTGGCCGGGAGCACTGGCTCACGCCTGTAATCCCAGCAATTTGGGAGGCTGAGGTGGGTGGATCACCTGAGGTCAGGAGTTCGAGACCAGCCTGAGCAACATGGTGAAACCCCATCTCTACTAAAAATTGAAAAAAAAAAAAAAAAAAAAAAAAATTAGCCTGGCCTGGTAATGCATGCCTGTAATCCCAGCTACTTGAGAGGCTGAGGCAGGAGAATCGCTTGAACCCGGGAAGTGGAGGTTGCCGTGAGCCAAGATCGCACCATTGCACTCCAGCCTGAATGACAAGAGCAAAAATCCATCAAAAAAAAAAAAAGCCCCCGCCCCCAACTTCAGTCTATTCCCTCTAAAGCTGTTACATTAGCTTTAATTGGCTTGCTTCCTCTTAAACAACTTCAGAGGAATTGGGGATGGTTGTTACTATTGGTTTAATTCCTTTATCTTACTTGGTAATAATTTGGTAATAACCAGTTAGAAATCGAAACACTCTTTTGATAAAATCTCATAGTTGCATGTCTCTGACCCTTCTTTCCTTGTCACATCTCTCTTGGACCACAGGTGGGAAAGGATCTCAACTTATTTTTCATTTTTCTTTTCCTCCTCCTCCTTCTTTTTTTTTTTTTTTTTTTTTTTTTTGAAATAAGGTTTTGCTCTGTCACCCAGGCTAGGGTGCAGTGGCACAATAATAGCTCACTGCAGCCTCTGCTTCCTGGCCTCAAGTGATCCTTCAATCCTCCTGCCTTGGCCTCCCAAATTGTTGGAATTACAGGCATGAGCCACTGTGCCTGGCTGGTTCTCAACTTTTAAGGGCACATGAGATTAGCTTGGGCTCACTAAGATAATCCAGGATAATCTCCCATCTCAAGGTCCTTAACTTTAATCACATTGCAAAGTCCCTTTGTCCATGTAAGATTCTGAGGTTCTGGGGATTCACACATGGACATCTTCATGGGGTCGTGATTCTGCCTACCATGAATGATACATTTAAACCTTCAGTAACTGAATTTTGTGCCATAATTCTTCACACATGTAAGAGCATCATGCAGTGGGAACAGTTCACTAGTGTGGATTGTTATGTCGATGGTCACCTGTTGAGTACACATAGGGCTAAAGCCAGGAGGACTTGGTTGGTCTGTTCAAGCTATCCTCCAAGAAGTAAAATCTATGCACTGTTAGAAACACAGAGAAGGCCAGGCACAGTGGCTCACGCCTGTAATCGCAGCACTTTGGGAGGCAGAGGTGGGCGGATCACGAGGTCAGGAGATCGAGACCATGCTGGCTAACACGGTGAAACCCCGTCTCTACTAAAAATACAAAAAAAATTAGCAAGGCGTGGTGGCGGGCACCTGTAGTCCTAGCTACTCGGGAGGCTGAGGCAGGAGAATGGCGTGAACCCGGGAGGCAGAGCTTGCAGTGAGCCAAGATGGCACCACTGCACTCCAGCCTGGGCAACAGAACAAGACTCTGTCTCAAAAAACAAACAAACAAACAAAGAAAACAAACAACAACAAAAAAGAGTTAAGTTCTTGTGGCATATTTCTGCTCACAAAAACATCACCACACTTCTAAGTAAAGACCAAAACACTTTAATGTTGATTTTTTTTTTCAGAGTGTTTGCTGTTGGTACATGTAAATGCAACTAATTTTTTTTTTTTTAAGAGACAGGATCTGCTGCTCTTTTGCCCTTGCTGGAGTTCAGTGATGTTATCGTAGCTCACTATAACCTCCAACTCCTGGGCTCAAGCAATTCTCCCGACTCAGCCTCAGGAGTAGCTGGGACTACAGATTTGTGCCACTACACCTGGCTGATTTTTAAAATTTTTTGTAGAGACAGGGTCTCACTAGGTTGCCAGGTTGTTCTCTAAGTCATGCCTCAAATGATCCTCCTGCCTTAGCTTCCTGAGTAGCTGGGACTACAGGTGTGAACCATCATGCCTAGCCTTGCTACTGATTTTTGTATATGAATTTTATATTCTGCAACTTTGCTGAATTCACTGATCAGTTCTAACAGTTTTTTCGTAGCGTCTTTAGGTTTTTTTAGGCATGAGATCATGTCATCTGTGAACAAGGCTAATTTGATTTCTTCCTTTCCAAACTGGATGCCCTCTATTTCTTTCTCTTGCCTTATTGCTTTGGCCAGGACTTTCAGTGTTATGTTAAATAACAGTGGTGAAACTGGGCATCCTCGTTTTGTTCCCATCCTTGGAGGAAAGGCCTTCAATTTTTTCACATTAAGTATGATGTTAGCTGAGGCAAAGCACTTCTAATATTAAACATTGAAATAAATGTGAGCTCTACATACATTTAAGAAAGATCAATAAAAACAAGTAAGATAATTATTTACCTGCTTATTTCCAATTCAGGGTCAAGAGTGGCCGGAGTCTATCCAAGCAGCTCAGGGCACAAGATGGGACCCAGCCTCAGACAGGACTCCATTCCATCACAGGGCACACTCACACACCCCCACACTCACTCATACTGGGACCATCTGAGACAACAATTCACCTAAGGTGCATGTGATACAGTTTGGCTGTGTCCCCACCCAAATCTCACCTTGAATTGTAGCTCCCATAATTCCCGCTTGTCATGGGAGGGACCCAGTGGGAGGTAACTGAATCATACCGGCAGGTTTTTCCCATGCTGTTCTCGTGATAGTGAATACATCTCATGAGATTTGATGGTTTTATAAAGGGGAGTTCCCCTGCACATGCTCTCTTACCTGCTGCCATGTAAGACATGCCTTTGCTGCTCATTTGCCTTCTGCCATGATTGTGAGGCCTCCCCAGCCATGTGGAACTGTGAGTCCATTAAACCTCTTTCCTTTATAAATTACCCAGTCTCGGATATATCTTTATTAGCAGCATGAGAACAGACTAATACAGCATGGCTTTGGGATGTGGGAGGAAGCGGGAGTACCCAGAGGGAATGCATGCAGACAGAGGGAGAACGGGCAAACCACAAAAACAGTGGCTCTGGCCCAGGACCAATTTCTTCTTCTCATCCACATAATAAAATAATGTTGAATGAAATGATGTTATTTGATGACCTGCCTATTCCACAGGAGAGACAAAAGTACATAATGGTCATGAAACTGGATCACTGCGGGGGCACTCCTTAATTGAGGTGCACATGGTCCCTTTTGTTAGGAGAACAAATTGATTTTAAACTCAGGCACAAAGTCTGGCTGAGAAAATGATGAACTAAAAAAAGACTCAAATAACTTAACTTTAAAAAGATTTTAATAAATGTTTTCCCAATCCCATTGGCAGCCTCAAGTGAATAAGGAATGTTTTCCCCATCATTTTGGGCATCATTATCAAATAGCTCGACACAAGTGCATTTTCTGGCAATCTCTTCAGATGGCTTCTTTTAAATTTGTTGAACAAAAGTTACTTACATCACTTTGGTTAGAAACTCTCAAAAGAGTAAATTATATGTAATCACCTCTCAAATTATGAATGCACGTGAATTAGAATTCTTGATGCAAGTTAACATCAAAACTAAAACATTTTCATTAATGTCGATCTTCAAAATTTTCTTCAGCTATGTGAAATTGAGCTGAATAGTTTTATTTTTGACCAATCTTTCTTTCTTTCTTTTTTTTTTTTTTTTGAGGTGGAGTCTTGCTCTGCCGCCCAGGCTGGAGTGCAGTGGCACAATCTTGGCTCACTGCAACCTCTGCCTCCTGGGTTCAAGTGATTCTCCTACCTCAACCTCCCTGGTACCTGGCACACACCACAACGCCCAGCTAATTTTTTTATTTGTAGAGATGGCATTTCGCCATGCTGACCAGGCTTATCTTGAACTTGACCTCAAGTGATCTGCCCGCCCGGCCTCCCAAAGTGCTGAGATTACAGGCATGAGCCACCACACCTTGCCTGACCAATCTTAAATAATTTTTTTCTCATTGGAGAATCATTTAGTAAATATACTACTGTTTACATTTACTTTATTTATTAATGATTTACTTTATTTCCTTAATGATTTACTTTATTTCCATATATGGATTTACTTTATTTCCATTTATGGCAAGTGATACCAGTTTTCCACATGTGGTAATAATGTAAACTTTTCTTCTAAAATATATTTATTATTAGTAAAAATGAGTAAATTAAGGAAAATAGTATGCACTGAAATTTGGAAAACACTAGCATAACAAATATGAAGTATTTGCTTAATACTTTTAAGCTTGGCAAATAGTAAATACATAATGAAAGATAGCTACTATTTTTTAGATACTTTTAGTTACTTTTTAGTTAAATTATTGTGAAATTCTACATTAACATGATTTAATTTACCATTTAAAATTTATTTAACAATTAGATATTCCCTGTCCACAACACGCCAGGCCCTGGGAATTCAAAGATGAAAATGAATGAAATAGACCCTGCTTCCAAAGAGCTACCATTTTGGTGGTGAGAGAGATATTAAATAACCAGTAAAAATATAATGGTTTTGTTTTTGTTTTTTGAGACAGAGTTTCGCTCTGTCACCCAGGCTGCAGTGCAGTGATGCGATCTCAGCTCACTACAACCTCCGCCTCCCCGGTTCAAGTGATTCTTGTGCTTCAGCCTCCCGAGTATAGGTGCGTACCACTACGCCTAACTAATTTTTATATTTTTAGTAGAGACGGGTTTTCGCCATGTTGGCCAGGCTGGTCTTGAGCTCCTGACCTTAAGTGATCTGCCCACCTCGGCCTCCCAAAGTGTTGGGATTACAGGTGTGAGACACTGTGCCCAGCCACAATATAATGTTTTATGTATTATTATTGGAGCTATGTACAAAGTGCAGTAGGAACAGAGGGGAATAGCCCCGAGGTTTACCGAACAGGGTCAGGGAATTCTTTTTTTTTTTTTTTCTTGAGACAGAGTCTCACTCTGTCACCCAGGCTGGAGTGCAGTGGCACGATCTTGGCTCACTGCAACCTCTGCCTCCCAGGTTCAAGCAATTCTGCTGACTCAGCCTCCTGAGTAGCTGGGATTACAGGTGTGTGTCACCACACCCAGCTAATTTTTATAGAGACGGGGTTTCACCATGTGGTCCAGATTGGTCTGCAACTCCTGGCCTTAAGTCATCCACCTGCCTTGGCCTCTCAAAGTGCTGGTATTACAGGCATGAGCCACCATGCCCAGCTGGGAATTATTATTTTTTTTAACTTTTATTTTAGGTTCGGGGTACATGTGCAGGTTTATTATACAGGTAAATTTCATGTCACAGGGGTTTGGTGTACAAATTATTCCGTCACCCAGGTAATGAGCATAGTACCCAATATGTAGCTTTTCCATCCTCACTCTTCTCCCTCCCTCCACCCTCTATAAGGCCTCAGTGTCTATTGTTTCCTTCTTTGTGTCCATGTGTTTTCAATGTTTAGCTCCCACTTATAAGTGAGAACATGTGGTATTTGGTTTTCTGTTCCTGTGTTAGTTCACAGGAACAGTATGCAGCCATACTGACAGGATTATGGCCTCCAGCTCCATTTATATTGCTGCAAATGAGATGATCTCCTTCTTTTTTTATGGCTATGTAGTATTCCATGGTGTATATGTACCACATTTTCTTTATCCAGTCTACCGTTGGTTGGCATTTAGGTTGATTTCATGTCTTTGCTACTGAGAATAGTGCTCTAATGAACATACATGTGTATCGGGGGAACCAGCCCCCAATATTTTAACGTAGGTTCTTTCTATTTTTCCCTAAATATTGGCCGGTTTGAGAAATAAAGAGAAAGAGTACAAAGAGAGGAATTTCACAGCTGGGCCTCTGGGGGTGACATCACATATTGGTAGGACCGTGATGACGACCCCAAGCTGCAAAACCAGCAAATTTTTATTAGGGATTTTAAAAGGGGAGGGGGTGTACGAACAGGGAGTAGGTCACAAAGATCACATGCCTCAAAGGGCAATAAAGATCACAAGGTGAAGGCAAAATTAGAACTACTGATGAGGGTCTATGTCCCGCTGTGCACATATTATCTTGATAAACATCTTAACAGGAAACAGGGTTCGAGAGCAGAGAACTGGTCTGACTAGAATTTACCAGGCTGGAATTTCCCAATCCTAGTAAGCCTGAGGGTACTGCAGGAGACCAGGGCGTATTTCAGTTCTTATCTCAACAGCATAAGACAGACACTCCCAGTGTGGCCTTTTATAGACCTCCCCTGAGGAATGCATTCCTTCCCCAGGGTATCCATTATTAGTATTCCTTGCTGGGAAAAGAATTCAGCGATATCTCTCCTACTCACACGTCCATTTATAGGCTCTCTGCAAGAAAAAAAATATGGCTCTATTCTGCCCGACCCTGCAGGCAGTCAGACCTTATGGTTACCTTCCCTTGTTCCCTGAAAATCACTGTTATTCTGTTCTTTTTCAGGTGCACTGATTTCATATTGTTCAAATACATGTTTTACAATCAATTTGTACAATAGTGGTCCTGAGGTGACGTACATTCTCAGCTTAAGAAGATAACATGATTAAGAGATTAAAGACAAGACAGACATAAGAAATTATAAAAGTATTAATTTTAGGAACTGATAAGTGTCCATGAAATCTTCACAATTTATGTTCTTCTGCCTTGGCTCCAGCCAGTCCCTCCGTTCGGGTTGCTGACTTCCCACAGCATGCATGCATGTGTCTTTATGGTAGAATGATTTATATTCCTTTGGGTGTATGCCCAATAATGGGATTACTGAGTCAAATGGTAGTTCTGTTTTAAGTTTTTTGAGAAATTGCCAAACTGCTTTCCACAATGGCTGAACTGATTTACATTCCCACCAACATCTGTTATTTTTTGACTTTTTAATAATAGCCATTCTGATTGGTGTGAGATGGTATCTCACTGTGGTTTTGATCTGCATTTCTCTAATGATCAGTGATGTTAAGCATTTTTTCAAATGCTTGTTGGCTGTGTGTATGTCGTCTTTTGAAAAGTGTCTGTTCATGTCTTTTGCCCACTTTTTAATGGGGTTGTTTTTTGCTTGTTGATTTGTTTAAGTTACCAAGGAAAGCAATTGAACAGAAATGTGAAGGGTGAGTAAAGGAAACCACAGAGTTCCCTAATATGGAGGGTGAAGCTTGTGGAAGGGAACATGGGCCTGCAAGGCTTCACAGGACGGCAGGGGCAACCCTGAAGGCCTTTGTGTGCCAACCCCAGAAGTTTAGATTGTATCATGTGGTTAGCAGGGAGTCACTGAGTAACTTTGTTGTGGGAAGTAAAATACAGGTTGAGTGTCTCTTATTCAAAATGCTTGGGATGAGCAGTGCTTCAGATTTCGGATTTTTTCAGATTTTGAAATATTTACATGTACTTAATGAGATATCTTGGGGTTAGGACCCACGGCTAAACATGAAACTAATTAATGTTTTAACGAAACAGAGTCTGAAGGTAATTTTATACATTATTCATACATTTTATACAATTCATACATCCATACGATTTATACATTAACATTATTCATTAACATTTTATATACACCTTATATGCAGAGTTTGAAGGTAATTTATGCAATATTGTAAATAATTTTGTGCATGAAACCAAGTTTGTGTTAAGTACTTATGTGTGGAATTTTCTACTTTTGGTGTCATGTCGACACTCAGAAAGATTCTGATTTTAGAGCATTTCAGATTTCAGATTTTTATATTAGGGATCCTCAACCTGTAATCAGATTTGTATGTTGGAAAAAAAATTATTCAAGCAGGAGCAATGTGAAGAGACCATTGGAGTAGAAAATGTTAGAGGCAGGGACGATGGCGTGAGAGCCATGCAGACCTAAACCCGGGCAGGACCTACAGAGAAGATGCGAGAGAGAAGGAATGGCCAGGTAGAAGAGTTTGCTGGACTTGGCGATGAATGGGATGTGGAGAGAAGGGGGAGACCCCCAAACCTACCAGATTTCTAGATATCCTGCAGTAGGTTCCACTCTTTCAGTCAAACCAGAACAGCATCCTTTGCAGCCATACTGACACTATCATGCAAATTGACAGGAACCATTTGGTTTCCAAATCAGGCAACTGTTGAATGCCTTGTCTTTGGAAATCAGTATTTCATTCACAATACTGCAAATGCCTGCTAATGAGTGTGACTTGAACAGATGTTAAAATAATGTTTTGGGTAACTAGCGTGCTCTATGAACAAGGTTAGAATCTTCCCATTACAATTTTCCACCACCACACACCTGGCATCTTTGCTGATTGAAACTGTTTGATATCATTCACCATAAATCCTTCTTATCTGGCTAATGCAGCATGAAATTATGTCAATTGAAGCAAAACATAATACACAATAAACACTGGCAAAACCAGTGACTATGACAGCAGCTTTGCATATGGAGTACAAAACAGGTTTTTGGTTTTTTTTTCTTTCTTGGAACATATGGCCAATTCTTTTCTTAAGTGAAATGCATAAAACAAAATAAGGAATGTTTGCTAAATGAGCATTGTAAAGTAAAAATTCACTGGTGATGGAAATAGCAATAAGGTGCACAAAAAGGATCATGGATAAAATTTTCTCTGTCAGAAAGTGGTTTTGACAACTTGGTGTCTTGCAAGTCTACGCAGATCTACTACACCAAATACTCAAGACAAACCTTCAGGGGCAGTCACCGAAGACACACAACTCTCCCATCCTCTGCAGAACTTCTTACTTCTTTGCTCTTACTTAATTTAACAGTTAATCCTTAATAATAACATTTACTGGCCAGGCACACTGGCTCACACCTATAATCCTAGCACTTTGGGAGGCTGAGGCAGGAGGATTGCTTGAGGCCATGAGTTTGAGACCAGCCTGAGCAACATAGCAAGACCTTGTTAATATAAAAAATAAAGAAATGGCTGGGTGCAGTGGCTCAGGTCTGTAATCCCAGCACTTTGGGAGGCCAAGGTGGCTGGATCACCTGAGGTCAGGAGTTCAAGACCAGCCTGGCCAACATGGTGAAACCCTGTCTCTACTAAAAATACAAAAATTAGCTGGGCGTAATGGTGGGCACCTGTAATCCCAGCTATTTGGGAAGTTGAGGAAGGAGAATTGCTTGAACCTGGAAGGCAGAGATTGGAGTGAGCCAAGATCGTGTCATTGCACTCCAGCCTAGGCGACAAGAGTGAGACTCCATCTCAAAAATAAATAAATTAATTTAAAAAATTAGTCAGATGTGGTGGTGTGTGCCTTTAGTTTCAGCTACTTGGGAGGTTGAGGTGAGAGGATCACTTGAGCCCAGGAGTTTGAGGTTGCAGTGAGCTGTGATCACGCCACTGCACTCCAGCCTGGACAGCAGAGCAAGACCCTGTCTCAAAAATAAATAAAACAAAACAAAAAAACCATTTATTGAGTACTTACTATCAGCCAGGTATGAGCTAAAAGCTGTGCACATATGACCTCAATCTTCTTAACAATATTGTAAGGCAATTATTATTATTACTCTCTTTTGTTGTTGTTGTTGTTGTTGAGGAAATCAAGGCACAAAGAGCTTTATAAATGAGTCTAAAGCTGGATAGCTAGGAAGTGGCAGAGCGAGAATTCAGACCTGGAGAATTCTAAGTGCAGGGTGACTCCACTGCCTGTAAGTGATAGGAGAAGCTTGGTGGCCACAGGGCCTGGAGTCATATTTTAAGTTCATGCCTGAAACAAGGTCTCTGCATGAGAAACCAGAAAACCTACTACGTTCTTCATATCATTGTAATTCAGCTAGAAAAAATAATTGAAAGTGATACTTCATTTGCAAGAATAAACCCATCACCACTGATAAAAAGAAAGCTTCAATATTTGCATAGGTTCAAGAATAATCTGTTCTCCTTTTTACCAAAAATATAATGGAAAAGTCAACTGTGCAATCAAGACCAAACCTGATATGTTATAATTGAGAAGGATTCTCTTTCAGTCAGGTCTAAACAGGTACTGCAGGTGAGACCTGGTAGGGTGTCTTGGGCTTGGTAGTTGCTCAGTATTCGAGGGCTCTAGGTTTGTAGAGCAAACTCAAGTTGGCCTAATAGTTAATTAATATTCTTGCTACATCTCTGTAAACAATCAAGCCAACTATCTAGACAAGCCCTTTTGTGATTGGGACTCATCTTTGGAGATTATTTTTTATTGCAAATGAGGGAGATTGTTAGAATAATTATGCAAAATTGAAAATAGGCAAAAGAGATTTCTGAGTGTTCTTTCAGTGTGGTGCTAGGTTTGCTCTTTGATTTAATTTCGATCAATTGGGCTGTTTTACAATTCCTTAAAGGTTAACCTAAACAGGTCTAGTAGAGGTGCAAATAGTTTCTGTCTAGTGGAAAAGATAAGCCCAAAAGTTAAAATTTATTGCCTTGTAGGATATTAAAGAGTTTTTAAAATCTAACTTGTCAATCTTATCCTAACAATCAAAAGATTTTAAGGCCAGGTATGGTGGCTCACGCCTGTAATCTCAGCTCTTTGGGAGGCTGAGGCCGTAGGATTGCTTGAGCTCAGGAATTCAAGACCAGTCTGGGCAATGTAGCAAGACCCCATCTCTACAAAAAATAAAAAATCGGGCCAGGCACGGTGGCTCATGCCTGTAATCCCAGCACTTTGGGAGGCTGAGGCGGGCAAATTGCTTAAGGCCAGGAATTCAAGACCAGCCTGGCTAACATCTCTACTAAAAATACAAAAATTAGCCAGCGTTGTGACACACACTTGTAATCTCAGCTACTTGGGAGGCTGAGGCACTAGAATCACTTGAACCCAGGAGGCGGAGGTTGCAGTGAGCTGAGATCACGCCACCGCACTCCAGCTGACAGAGCAAGATTCCATCTCAAAAAAATAAAAAATAAAAAATCATCCGGACGTGGTGGTGCACACCTATAGTACCAGTTACTTGGAAGGCTGGGGAGGGAGGATCCCTTGAGTCCAGGAGTTCAAGTACAGCCTGGGCAAAGGAGCAAGACCCTGTTTCTAAAAAAATAAAAATAAAAGATTTTAAGGGCTGATAAGCGCCCAGTTCTGCAAATTCTCCTTGAGCCAGTATTAATATCCTACCGGCTTCCTCATTAATTAATGAGTTGACTAAAATATTTGACATATGTTCTTTATATGTTTGCATTAAAGTATGATTTTACCTATATTAGCAGAGGTTCAAATGTTTGTTAAATAAATACAGAGTCACACAGATGAAAGCCCAGAGTGTGCACTTTAAAGACCTGCACAGGGGGCTGATGCTATTTTTGTGGATCCAGCCTGATACGGTTTGGCTGTGTCCCCACCTAAATCACATCTTGACTTCCCACATGTTGTGGGAGGGTCCCAGTGGGAGGTAACTGAATCACGGGGGCAGGTCTTTCCCATGCTGTTCTTGTGATAGTGAATAAGTCTCATGAGATCTGATGGTTTTAAAAAGGGGAGTTTCCCTGCACAAGCTCTCTTCTCTTGTCTGCTGCCACGTGAGACATGCCTTTCATCTTCTGACATGATTGCGAGGCCTCCCCAGCCACGTGGAACCATGAGTCCATTAAATCTCTCTCTTGTAAATTGCCCAGTCTTGTGTATGTCTTTATCAGCAGTGTGAGAATGGACTAATGCACAGTCCATGCTCCACCCACAAAGTCACTGTCCTGTTGTAAGGCTGCATCCATCCAGAAGACTAGCACTTTTTTCCTCATGCAAAGATGCTCTGCACACAGACAGGGCATGGTGGCTCACATCTGTAACCAGCACTTTGGGAGGCTGAGGCTTGTGGATCGTTTGAGCCCAGGAGTTTGAGACCAGCCTGGGCAAACATAGTGAAACTGCGTCTCTACCAAAAATACAAAAAGAAAAGAAAAGAAAAAAAAATAGCTGGGTGTGGTGGTGCACATCTGTAGTTCCAGCTACTTGGGAAGCTGAGGTGGGAGAATTGCTTGAACCCGGGAGACAGAGGCTGCAGTGAGCCGAGATCACACCACTGCACTCCAGCCTGGGCAACAGAGCAAGAACCTGTCTCAGAAAAAAAAAAAGATGTACTGCACACAATGTGCTTGTGTAGTTACTTTCCTCTAATTTACACAAAGGCACTTAGAGGCTAGTGGTAGCCCTAAATACCTCTGCCAAAGTAACAAATACATTTTAAAATTGTAAAACCCAACGAAGTATGTATTTCATGAAAACTAATGTAAATATATTATGGGTAACCTGGAAATATTTTCAGTCTCTGGAAAGAAATCTGTCAATACATAACCAGCTATAAAACTCTGTAATTTTAATTCAATGATTCTACTTTAGGGTATATTACCTCAAGAAGATAGATTCTCCCCTTTTCCTCCTCCAAAACCAGATATGTATACATAGCAGCACATTAATAACATCAAAAAATTCTGGTTAGGCCGGGTCCGGTGTCTCACACCTGTAATCCCAGACTTTGGGAGGCTGAGGTGGGCACATCACCTGAGATCGGGAGTTCGAGACCAGCCTGGCCAACATGGTGAAACCCCATCTCTACTAAAAATACAAAAATTAGTCAGGCATGGTGGTGGACCCCTGTAGTCCCAGCTACGTGGGAGGCCGAGGCAGGAGAATAGCTTGAACCTGGGAGGCAGAGGTTGCAGTGAGCCAAGAGTGTACCACTTCACTCCAGCCTGGGCAACAGAGTGAGACTCTGTCTCAAAAAAAAAAAAATTCTATCTGGGTATAGTGGTTCATGCCTTTAATCCCAGCACTTTGGAACACTGAGATGGGAGGATTGCTTGAACTCAGGAGTTCGAGACCAGCCTGGGCAACATGGTGAAACCTATTTTGTATATTACAAAATATACACAAATTAGCCGGGCATGGTGGCACATGCTTGTAGTCCTAGCTACTCAGGAGGCTGAGGTGGGAGGATGACTGTAGCATGAGACAGGGTGGAGGTTGTAGTGAGACAAGATCACACCATTGCACTCCAACCTGGGTGACAGAGGGAGATAGTGACTCAAAAAATAAATAAATAAAAATTAAAAAATTCAAAACACTATACATAGTCACACAATAGGCTATGTCAATACCTGAACTATTTCTATAAACTAATAGTATGTAAAAAAGGGCCAGATAAAAAACATCTAAACTGCTTGATGGCAGGATTGTGTATCGCAACCTCTGTAGCACCCAGCATGTGGCAGGTATGTTGCTCATTAAAAGTATGAAAACAGACTAAATTTGTATACTGTATTTACACTAATATAATATTGTAGCCTAGGCATGGTGGCTTATGCCTGCAATCCCAGCACTTTGGGAGGCTAAGGCGGGAGGATCACTTGAGGCCAGGAATTCGAGATCAACCTGGGCAACATAGTGAAACCCTGTCTCTACAAAAAAATTTAAAAATTAGCTGGGCATGGTGGAATGTGCCTGTAAGTCCCAGGTACTTGGGAAACTGAGACGGGAAGATCACTTGAGTCCAGAAGTTTGAGGCTGCAGGTGAGCCGTGATCATGCCACTGTACTACACTCGCCTGAATGACAGTGTAAGACCCTGTTTCCAAATATATATCTCAGCATTAGCATTTTTGGGTGCTATATATGTAACAATACTATATAAAACATATAGTATTGTTAAGTTATTAAGCATATATAAGTATCCAATTCCAATGAGGCTGGAAAAGACTAGAGCCATGTTGTAGAAGCTCTGGGTGCCAGGTTGTGGAGTTTAAACTTGACACTGGCACAAAGAGCTGCAGAATGTTTTTCAAGACAAGAAGCAACATGATGGGCTGGGTGCGGTGGCTCACGCCTGTAATCCCAGCACTTTGGGAGGCCGAGGCAGGCAGATCACTTGAGGTCAGGAGCTTGAGACCAGCCTGGCCAACATGGGGAAACCCCATCTCTACTAAAAATACAGAAAAGTTAGCCGGGCATGGTGGCAGGCGCCTGTAACCCCAGCTACTCGGGAGGCTCAGGCAGGAGAATCTCTTGAACCCAAGAGACGGAGGTTGCAGTGAGCCAAGGTCACACCACTACACTCCAGCCTGGTCAAAAGAGTGAGACTCTGTCTCCAAAAAAAAAGAAAAAAAAAAAAAAAAAAAAGAAGCAACATGATGAAACCAGTATCATAGGAAGTAGTTGAGATTATTTGGAGAAAAGTTAATGTGGGATAAAGATGTCTCCAGTACCCCGGTCTTGAAAGCTGGCAGAAGATTAGGAGTGAAAGATTCTTTGTTTATATATGGTAGAGGAGAGCCTGACTCTTAAGTGTAGGAAAAAGCCTGATATTCTTATTCTGTAAAGCTGGTTTAAAAATTTCTAATTAATTTGCTGTTACCCAGGGTGGAGTGCAGGGTGCAATCGTAGCTCACTGCAGCCTCCAATTCCTGGGCTCAAACAATCCTCCCACCTCAGCCTCCCAAGTAGCTGGGACCACAGGCACACACCACCCCCAACTGGCTAATTTTTTACTTTTTTATTTTTGTAGAGACAAGGTCTCACCATGTTGCCTAGGCTGGTCTCGAACTTCTGGCCTCAAGTGATTACTGCCTCAGCCTCCCAAAGTTCTGGGATTACAGACGTGAGCCACCATGCCGGCCTTTAATAGTCTTAATTTTCTGGAAAGTCCCAGCTGACCCGGTTCATCGTGAAGCTAGAAACACCCTGGATTTCCATGGGATTATCACTAGAGGGCAACCTAATCATATCCGCTCAAAGTGGTGTTCTCACATTAGCAGCAAGAGTGCGTTTGTGGCGTTTATTAAAAATGCAGGCTCTGGGGCTCCCCCTGAGACCTACAGAGTCAGAATTTGCATTTAAAAAAAATCCTCAGTGATTGGCTGGACTGCAACTCCTGGGCTTTAGCGATCCTCCAGCCTCAGCCTCCCCTGTAGCTGGAACTACATGTAGCGCCATGACGCCCAGCCGAAGTCACATCTTTAAGTAAGGTTCAGCTCTTGCAATCAGTCTGTCTGGGAAATCAAAGGGCATCAACCCCTCATAGCACGGTAGGAAAGGGAAGAAAGGGACGGAAGGAAGTGGCGCTGTCTATTATCTATGGGCAAGGCCTAGTGTTTTAACCAGACTGGATCTTGGTGGACAGGAGCCGCGCGTGGGAGTGACTCAGTGCATCTTTGCAGTTGTGCCTCCACATGAGGGCGCTGGCGAGTTTGGGGCAGTGGTCACTATAGGCTCCATTTCCACCTTTTATGCTGGTGGAATCCCACCAGCTCATATGGCATTTCCCTGGAGTCTTACTGCTCTCAAAGAGCAAGGCTGGGCTTGCCCTGGACCCAAGGAGATAGGATTGTGCAGAGGAAGTCTTCCGGGCTGGAAAAAGCACATTCCCAGAGCAGTAACCAGAACCTGGACCGTCTCTGGTTACAGTTCAACCACGTTCGAAAATCTAAAGCAACAGTTCTCAATTTACCAGCGCTTCAGAATGCCCTGGAGGGCTTGTTAAAACCTAGATTGCTGGGCAGCACCCACAGTGTGTCCGCTTCAGTAGGTCTGAGGCGGGACTGGAGAATTTGCATTGCTCCTGCTTCCCAGGTGATGCCGATGCTGCTGACTGGGGACCACACTTTGAGAAGCATTGCTTGAGGCCAGGAGTTTGAGGCTGCCGTGAGCTATGATTGTGCCACTCTACTCCAGCCTGGGTGACAGGGTAAGGTCTTGTTTCTTAAAAAATAAAATAAAAACCTATTGTAAATACCTAGGAATCCAACTTACAAGGGATGTGAAGGACCTCTTCAAGGAGAACTACAAACCACTGCTCAATGAAGTAAAAGAGGACACAAACAAATGGAAGAACATTCCATGCTCATGGATAGGAAGAATCAATATTGTGAAAACGGCCATAATGCCCAAGGTAATTTATAGATTCAATGCCATCTCCATCAAGCTACCAATTACTTTCTTCACAGAATTGGAAAAAACTACTTTAAAGTTCATGTGGAACCAAAAAAGAGCCCGCATTGCCAGGTCAATCCTAAGCCAAAAGAACAAAGCTGGAGGCATCACGCTACCTGACTTCAAACTATGCTAAAAGGTACAGTAACCAAAACAGCATGGTACTGGTACCAAAACAGAGATATAGACCAATGGAACAGAATAGAGCCCTCGGAAATAATACCACGCATCTACAACCATCTGATCTTTGACAAACCTGACAAAAACAAGAAACGAGGAAAGGATTCCCTATTTAATAAATGGTGCTGGGAAAACTGGCTAGCCATATGTAGAAAGCTGAAACTGGATCCCTTCTTTACACCTTATACAAAAATTAATTCAAGATGGATTAAAGACTTACATGTTAGACCTAAAACCATAAAAACCCTAGAAGAAAACCTAGGCAATACCATTCAGGACATAGGCATGGGCAAGGACTTCATGGCTAAAACATCAAAAGCAATGGCAACAAAAGCCAAAATTGACAAATGGGATCTAATTAAACTAAAGAGCTTCTGCACAGCAAAAGAAACTACCATCAGAGTGAACAGGCAACCTACAGAATGGGAGAAAATTTTTGCAATCTACCCATCTGACAAAGGGCTAATATCCAGAATCTACAAAGAACTTAAACAAATTTACAAGAAAAAAACAAACAACCCCATCAAAAAGTGGGTGAAGGATATGAACAGACACTTCTCAAAAGAAGACATTTATGCAGCCAACGGACACATGAAAAAATGCTCATCATCACTGGCCATCAGAGAAATGCAAATCAAAACCACAATGACATACCATCTCACACCAGTTAGAATGGTGATCATTAAAAAGTCAGGAAATGGCCAGGCGCGGTGGCTCATGCCTGTAATCCCAGCACTTTGGGAGGCCGAGGCGGGTGGTTCACGAGGTCAGGAGATTGAGACCATCCTGGCTAACATGGTGAAACCCGTCTCTACTAAAAAGTACAAAAAATTAGCCAAGCATGGTGGCAGGCATCTGTAATCCCAGCTACTCGGGAGGCTGAGGCAGGAGAATGGTGTGAACCCGGGAGGCGGAGCTTGCAGTGAGCCGAGATTGCGCCACTGCACTCCAGCCTGGGTGACAGAGCGAGTCTCTATCTCAAAAAAAAAAAAAAAAAAAAAAAAAGGCAGGAAACAACAGGTGCTGGAGAGGCTGTGGAGAAATAGGAACACTTTTACACTGTTGGTGGGACTGTAAACTAGTTCAACCATTGTGGAAGACAGTGTGATGATTCCTCAAGGATCTAGAACTAGAAATACCATTTGACCCAGCCATCCCATTACTGGGCGTATACCCAAAGGATCATAAATCATGCTGCTATAGCGATACATGCACACGTATGTTTGTTGCGGCACTATTCACAATAGCAAAGACTTGGAACCAACCCAAATATCTATCAGTGATAGACTGGATTAAGAAAATGTGGCACATATACACCATGGAATACTATGCAGCCATAAAAAAGGATGAGTTCATGTCCTTTGCAGGGACATGGATGAAGCTGGAAACCATCATTCTCAGCAAACTATCACAGGAACAGAAGACCAAGCACCGCATGTTCTCACTCATAGGTGGGAATTGAACAATGAGAACGAACACTTGGACATAGGGTGGGGAACATCACACACTGGGGCCTGTCGTGGGGTGGGGGGAGGGGGGAGGGATAGCATTAGGAGATATACCTATTGTAAATGATGAGTTGACAGGTGCAGCACACCAACATGGCACATGTATACATATGTGACAAACCTGCACGTTGTGAACATGTGCCCTAGAACTTAAAGTATAATAATAAAAATAAATAAATAAATAAATAAATAAATAAATAAATAAAAACCCATTGCAAACTGCCTAGAGAATTAAGTACAGATTAAAATACCACCTGCCCAAGCCCATTAGGATTTCAGTCTCCATTCAAGCAAACAGGCCTCCTACTTAAAAAACTGACCTGTTGCCTCTACCTCCATAACCCACCAGGTGGGGCTGCTGGGCTGCCACAAAGGAGGCTGGGGAAATTTCCACGCTGTCAGGGCACCCACAATGCTTTGAAGGGTGCCAAGAGCACCTTAGCTTCATCCTAAAGAATGTAAATATTTCAGGTTACCCATAACCAATAGCACAGTGTGCTACCCCTGGGTCTTCCCACCGCTCCCCACCACCTCATTAATTTCCCCCCACCTCCTTACATCACTCCAGGGCATTCTGAAGCGCTGGTAAATTGAGAACTATTGCTTTAGATTTTCCAACGTGGTTGAACTGTAACTAGAGAAGGTTCAGGTCCTGGTTACTGCTCTGGGAATGTGCTTTTTCTGGAAGACATCCTCTGCACAATCCTATCTCCCTGGGTCCAGGGTTTACAGTGAACTTTTTTAAGGTAAGGTATTGTATTCTATTAAAATGCAAATAATCTCAAGGGTGATGTCTTAGTCTGTTTGGGTTACTATCACTAAATTGAGTGGCTTATAAACACCAGAAATTATTTTTGTTCAGGAGGCTGGAAGTCCAAGATCAAGGTGCCAGCAGACCAGGATATGGTGAGGGTCCTCTTCCAGGTTGCAGACCGCTGACTTCTTGTATCCTCACATGGCGGGAAGAGGGTGAAAGAGCTAGGGTCCCTTTTACAAGGGCACCAATCCCATTTGTGAGGACTCCACCCTCATGACCTAATTACTTCCCAAAGGCTCCACCTTCTAATGCCACCACATGGGGGGGTTGGAATTTCAACATCTGAATTTGGGGGAGACACAGACATTCACTCCATGATAGGAGATAAGCCATTGCCAATCATTAAAGTTTGAATTAGGACACTAGAGTATTTTATAGTTTGGTTACAAGGGAAGGAAGAAAGATGGATTCAAACATGGAAATCTGGGTTTCCATGAAGGGCTCACTGCAACTTGCAGTCAGAATGAGGACAAGAAACATCTGGGGTAGGACAAGGCCAAAAGCCAGAGGATGGCAAAGGACACTCACCTTGCATTGTTATGGTCCCTGGGGTATCCCTAGATGTGCAATGAGACAGGCCGGTATAATGTTTAAACCCTCTCCTCTTCCAAAAATCAGAGAATCTTGCTAATTTTTTTTTTTTTTAATTGAGACTGAGTCTCTCTCTGTTGCCCAGGCTGGGAGTGCAGTGGCACGATCTCCGCTCACTGCAAGTTCTGCCTCCCGGGTTCACGCCATTCTCCTGCCTCAGCCTCCCAAGTAGCTGGGACTACAGGCACCTGCCACCACGCCTGGCTAATTTTTTGAATTATTTTTAGTAGAGACGGGGTTTCACTGTGTTAGCCAGGATGGTCTCAATCTCCTAACCCTTGTGATCTGCCCGCCTCAGCCTCCTAAAGTGCTGGGATTACAGGCGTGAGCCACGGTGCCCAGCCATTGATATAGTCTTTACAGACTTATCCTATGCTATACTGATTATGTGCTTTTACCCTCTCTAAATATATACTACTTTTCCATGTCATTAAATTATTCTTTTATAACATAATGTTTAATAGTTGCTTGCATAAAAGTGCATTGCATGAATGTACCACAACTTCTTTACTGGTACTCTGACAGTAGATACTTAGAGAATACTTAAAGAGAGTTTAAATAAAGAGTTTCAAATATGAAAATAAAATGTGACATTTTAATATTTTCATTATATTTCAAGTCAACAAGTCCTTATTTGGGGAGAAAAAAATAAAATGTGGCCTCTGCCTTAGGAAAGCTAGAAAAAATATAATTGAGCAAAAGACTAGCTTTTTATCACAAATTCCATCAACTATGACTCGTTTAATGTAACATAACAGGAAGGCAATTTATAACAGAAGAAATAACACACCCAGAGCTGATTCCTGAGTAAGCCAGGCCTGAAAAACACCAAGATAAGAAGAAGAAGAAATATATATATCCCAAGTCCCATTTCATGGAATTCCTTTGATAAAACTTGGAATAAAATCCATAGTTTAATTGTTCCTGCAGGCTAATGGATGCTAAACTGCTCACATGCAATCCAATTTGTGTATGGAGCTGACTATGGTTTCCAGCATAGTCCAGCTCCGGTGGTCTGGAACGTAAAGTTAAGAACTTTATGGAAAAGTTCAAAATGTTGTGAATTGTTAAGAACACATATTTCAAAGTATTTTGGGGAGATATGTGAGTGTGTATGCATCCACCAAAACAGTGCAAAAGGCAACAGTTCCTCCCTTCCTGTAAGGTATCAAACCCTCACAATTGAAAAGACTGTAACTGGCCGGGTGTGGTGGCTCACACCTGTAATCCCAGCACTTTGGGAGGCTGAGGTGGGCGGATCACAAGGTCAGGAGATCAAGACCATCCTGGCTAACACGGTGAAACCCCGTCTCTACTAAAAAAATACAAAAAATTAGCTGGGTGTGGTGGCGGGCGCCTGTAGTCGCAGCTACTCGGGAGGCTGAGGCAGGAGAATGGTGTGAACCCAGGAGGCGGAACTTGCAGTGAGCAAGATTGCGCCACTGCACTCCAGCCTGGGTGACAGAGCGAGACTGTGTCTCAAAAAGAAAAAAAAAGAAAAGAAAATACTGTAACCAACATCATGTCAGAGTTGGAGGCCAGTGGCTAGGTCTTATGCTTCAATGTCTTTTCATTCTCAACCATGGAGTTTCCCCAGTGCACTCTTCAGGCCATTAGCTGCATATGCAAAAACAGATGTCCAAGGTCAAAACAGATTTCCAAGGTCAAAATGTTTCTTTGATGGACTGGGTTAAATAATTTTAAACAAATTTCCTTACTGCAGGACTATTCAGAGTCGTTAATAAGCTGTGTTGTTAGAAACATTCCAATACAGAATGCAGCCTTTCTAAAATTTCCTAAATTTTTTCAGTATGGAATGCTTCTTTCGTGGAACATATTGCAAAACAGAACCTGAGCTTGAGAAACACTGGCTTAGCACAAAAGTGTGGAAATTGGATGATATTATGGTGGTATTCATCTGGGGACTCAGGACACTGAGCATCTTTTTGTTTTGTTTTGTTTTTGAGGTGGAGTCTCACTCTGTCACCCAAGCTGGAGTGCAGTGGCACCATCTCAGCTCACTGCAACCTCCACCTCCCAGGTTCAAGCAATTCTTCTGCCTCATCCTCCCGAGTAGCTGGGATTACAGGCACATACCACCATGCCCAGCTAATTTTTTTGTATTTTTAGTAGAGACAGGATTTTCACCATGTTGGCCCAGGTGGTCTCCAACTCCTGACCTCAAGTGATCCACCTGCCTCGGCCTCCCAAAGTATTGGGATTACAATCATGAGCCACCATGCCTGGCCCTGAGCATCTTAATCGTGTTCTTGACAAGCCACCTTTCCCTATAAGTCCATTAAGGGAAAAACATGCCCAGAGGACAACAATGGTATATTAACATTCATCATTATTGAGATTTGACCTCAATCCAAACAGTGAAAGATAATAGATCATGTAAAGAATTCTTTGTGCCTAGATTAGGTCAAGTCTAGAGCCTAGTTAAAGGGCCTCCTCTCTGCTTTGCCTCATCTTTGATCTTCCCACTATGAAGATGAGAAAATGTTGACCCAAAAAGCAGAAGCAAAGGGAAAAACAAGAATATAATGCTTTCGCCATGCAAGGCTCTCTCAGGCACTGGCAGTTGCAATGTGGAACTGCATCCTTAGCCCTTCTGATCTCACCTGCCAAGGAAGTTCAAAGAGACAGTGAAGAAGAGTACCAGAGAAAAGAGAAGTGGCACCTAACCTGCCTCTTGGATGTAGGGCATTCCGAGCATTGGGCTTTCAGAAAGGAAGCCTCTTGCCAATCCATTCATTCATTCTGTCATTAAGGAGTCATTAAGGAGTGTCATTCATTCTGACATTAAGAAGTCATTCATTCTGTCATTAAGGAGTGTCATATACGGCACTCCTCCTGTATGCTAGACCCTAGTCCAGGTGTGAGGGACACCACAGAAAATGTCTCTGTCTCCAGGAAGCTTCTGGGGCATGATGAAGGGTGTCAAAGAGCAAAATTTCGAATTGAGTTTCAAAGACTGAATTGACTTTTATTAGTGATTCATGAACTGGGCAGCATACAGACAAATAGGAAGGAGCTCCAATGAGCTAAACAGAATGGGTGAGTTTTATAGGCAGAAAAAAGTAGAAGGAAGTGGGAACAGGGAACAAAGAGTACATTGGAGGCCAGGCACGGTGGCTCACGCCTGTAATCCCAGCACTTTGGGAGGCCAAGGCAGGCAGATAACCTGAGGTCAGAGAGTTTGAGACCAGCCTGGCCAACATGGTGAAACCCCATCTCTACTAAAAATATAAAAATTAGCCAGATGAGGTGACAGGTGCCTGTAATCCCAGCTACTTGGGAGGCTGAGGCAGGAGAATCACCTGAACCTGGGAGGTGGAGGTTGCAGTAAGCCAAGATCGTGCCACTGTACTCCAGCCTGGGTGACAGAGCCAGACTCCATCTCAAAAAAAAAAAAAGAGTGCATTGGTCGTTTCAAGGTTACTTTCCTACTAGGGATGTAAGCAAAATCTTGTTGGCTTAATGGGATTTAGCTATTGTCTCTCTCCTGATTTCTTGGAAGGCCAGATCTTACAAATAAACAACTTATGTTTCAATTTGGCAATGTGGAACTTCAGCACTACTGACTCCACTTTCGGCTGGCTGTTTTTTTCCTTAACAAGGTGGGAGACAGACACTAATCAAATCAACAAATAAATATATGTTGAGGATAATAAGTGTTACAAGGAAAAATAAAGCAGGAAAGTTTGTTTACTGTATCCTCAGTGACTGATAAATAGTAGATGTTCAATAAATGTTGTTACATCAGTCTAGAAAGAGTAGGAGGAAGGGAGAGATGGGAAGAGATTCATTAAAGGATACAAAATTACAGCTAGATAGGAAGAATAAGTAGTTCTAGTATTCTACATCATTGCAGATGACTATAGTTAATAATGTATTGTATAGTTTCAAGTAGCTAGAAGGAGGATATTGAAAGCTCCTTAGGCCGGGTGCAGTGGCTCACACCTGTAATCCCAGCACTTTGGGAGGCTGAGGCAGGTGGATCACGAGGTCAGGAGATCGAGACAATCCTGGCTAACACAGTGAAGCCCTGTCTCTACTAAAAATACAAAAAATTACTGGGCGTGGTGGCACGCACCTGTAGTCCCAGCTACTTGGGAGGCTGAGGCAGGAGAATCACTTGAATCTGGGAGGTAGAGGTTGAAGTGAGCTGAGATCACACCACTGCACTC
This sequence comes from Homo sapiens, assembly GCF_000001405.40. Taxonomy (NCBI): domain Eukaryota; kingdom Metazoa; phylum Chordata; class Mammalia; order Primates; family Hominidae; genus Homo; species Homo sapiens. Next base: position 32,202,429 of record NC_000010.11, on the reverse strand, counting down.
CAACCTGGGCGACAGAGTGGGACTCTGTCTCAAAAAAAAAAATAAATAAATAAAGTTCCTGAAACAAATAACTGAAAATAGCTGATAAATGTTTGAGATGATGGATATGCTAATTATCCTGATCTGATCACTATAAATTCTATGTATGGAAACATCACTATGTACTCCATAAATATGTACAATTATACTTTGTCAATTAAAAACATAAAATTACCAAATGCAAAAAAGTTGCTAAATCAATGAATTACCCTCACTAGAATCTTAAAAGGTAGATATTATTATCTCTATTTTACATATTTAAAAAATTGAGATTCAAAAGGGATTAAGTAAGTTACCCAAAGTCACAGCTGATTGACAGGATGTAGATAACCTGAACCCAAATGTTCTGGCTCTAGAGCCCAAGATCAGAGCCACTGTGCTATTATTTATATCGCATCTCCTTGTCCTTATGAAGTTTACAGTCTAACTAAAGTTTAAAATGTAGGTTTGGGTTGGGCACGGTCGCTCACACCTGTAATCCTAGCACTTTGGGAGGCTGAGGTGGGTGAATTGTTTGAGCTCAGGAGTTCAAGACCAGGCTGGCAAACATGGTAAAACCCGTCTCTACTAAAAATACAATAATTAGCAGGGCATGGTGGCGCACGCCTGTAATCCCAGCTACTTGGGTGGCTGAGGCAGGAGAATTGCTTGAACCCTAGAGGCGGAGGCTGCAGTAAGCCGAGATTGTGCCACTGCACTCCAGCCTGGGCGACAGAGTGAGACACCGTCACACACAAAATATAAATAAATGAAATTTTTTAAAATGTAGGTTTGTTTTGATAGAAAATAATAATGGAGGCTGGGCGTGGTGGCTCACCCCTATAATCCTAGCACTTTGGAAGGCCAAGGCAGGAGGATCACTTGAGGTCAGTAGTTCAAGACCAGCCTGGCCAACATGGTGAAACCCTGTCTCTACTAAAATACAAAAATTAGCCAGGCATGATGGCAGGTGCTTGTAATCCCAGCTACTCAGGAGGCTGAGACAGGAGAATCGCTTGAACCCGGGAGATGGTGGTTGCAGTGAGCCAAGATAAAAAAAAATAATAATAAAAAAATAAAATAATGGAACCAGGCCAGGAAAGGTGGCTCACGCCTGCAATCCCAGCACTTTCAGAGGCTGAGGTAGGTGGATCACTTGAGGTCAGGAGTTCTAGACCAGCCTGGCCAACATGCTGAAACCCCATCTCTATTAAAATACAAAAATTAGCCAGATGTGATGGCAGGCACCTGTAATTCCCGCTACTCAGGAGGCTGAGGCAGGAGAATAACTTGAACCTGGGAGGTAGAGGTTGCAGTGATGGTACCACTGCACTCCAGCCTGGGCAAAAGAGTGAGACTCCATCTCAAAAAAAAAAAAATAATAATAATAGAAATAATGGAACCATCTTTAAAGCCTTGCAGAGTAAAGATTCAAGCATGTCTGTACAATGTCTGTTGGTGGAATGGAGTTGGGGCAGTATCCTTTAGAGATTTGAAGTTGCAAAATTGGAGAGATTAATGTTATGTGGCAATAACTCCAAAATTATTCAAGGGTGTTGTTACTAATTATAATTGGTATTTTTTAAAAATAATAAAACCTAAGGTTTTCCCAATTTGTCAGCTTCAAGCTCAACCTTCCAAACATGAAATTTTCACCTCATGTTAAAGATGAGAACATCAGTATAGAAGGATTATCACATCCAACTGCACACCAAGAGCAAAGCTGTTCTCTACTTGTGAATTCATATATTATAAAATGCCATTACCTCTACAGGGGTTCATTTCATATGTAAGTTTAGTCCTTTCCTGAAGTGACATCTCATTTTTCCTCCTTCCTTCCTTACCGGGAAAAATATGTCCCTCATCCTCCCCTCTTCTCTGTCCTTAGACCCTCTTCTACCTATGAAATTCCATCAAATATGCAACAATTTCTAACCCAGTGAGCTATGAGGAACTTACCTACACAAGTTCCCACAAGACATATTTTGTCCTTAGTCTTGCCTCACAGGCCAAAGGATGGGGCGCAAAGGGTGGAAATCAAAACTAAAGTGAAAATCTCACAGGAACTCATACTGTTGCAGCAACAAGACACAGTATGACAACTTAAAAGAGTGTTCTTTTAAAAAGAGAGAGAGAGGAGAGATGGCCCATGTGCCACCTCCCAATATGGCAGTGGTATGAGTGAAAGGAGACAACAGTATGTGAAAGCAAATGTGAGTTATTATTAATAAGTACCTGAAAAAACAGCCTGAGCATAGCACCGTGTGACTCTTACTTTCACTAAAAGCAGAATTTAAATTAAATGGCCACGTTGGTCAAATTTTTAAAATTTCTTGATTTAGACACCAGTGGAATAGCTATAAATGTTGAAACCCCATAACATAAGCTTTCAAAATAGATGTTTCCGCTTTTTGGCAAATAGAAATAAGCAGTTCCATCCCCCAGGCACTCGGGGGTACCTGGGTGATTGTTTGCCCAGGGAATGAGGAAATGGTCCCTGCTGGGTGGGGCTATCTCCCTGGGCCCTGGCTCTGTTCCTTTTTTTCTTGTTGTACTTCTTCTCCAGCAGGGCTAATTAATCTTTCATTTTTCCATAGCTAATGATTAATAATAAGTGCCCCATGCAAAAAGTACAAGGTCCTCAGCTAAAGGAAATCTTTCACCAAAATGCCATCAATGCACTTTGAAGTGTTAACCATCTCCCCTAACATCCTGTAACTTGATGTCATTGAATTAGCTCAATTTTTGAGTAACATATTTTGTGACTTTTCAGGTTTTACAGACTTTTATATTTTATTTATTTATTTATTTATTTATTTAGTTAGTTAGTTAGTTAGTTAGTTAGTAGAGACAGGGTCTCCCTATGTTCCCTGGGCTGGTCTTGAATTCCTGGCCTCAAGCAATCCTCCCTCCTCAGCCTCCCAAAGTGCTGGAATAACAGGCATGAGGCACTGTGCCCAGCAAGACTTGTATATTTTATAGATACAGGTCTCTAAAATATTTAGAGGGCTTGTATATTTAAAGAGCTTTATATTTTGAGAGCTGGTATATTTTGCCTCCGCTGGTGGGTAATTGCTATACCTGAAATGAAACCCATTAAGTGTTGAGTTAGGTACTGAAAGGGGCTCCAAGTCCCTTTTTGGAGTTTGCAGAGGCTGTCACAACTCCCACTGCCTCCTTCAGTCGAAATCCTGAGTCTCCTAGAGGCAGTGAGTGAGCATGTGTATGTGTGTGTGGTATTGGTCAGTTATTAGAGTTTAACAAGTAAGTGTTTGGGGTTAAACAGTGGAAAGATCACAGTATGGATAGTATGAAAAGCTATCTCTTGCTGGGTGGATTTTTGTTTGTTTGTTTGTATTTTTGAGACAGAGTCTCACTCTGCCACCCAGGCTGGAGTGCAGTGGCGCCATCTCGGCTTACTGCAACCTCTGCCTCCTGGGTCCAGGCGATTCTCCTGCCTCAGCTTCCTGAGTAGCTGGGATTACAGGTGCCCGCCACCATGCCCAGCTATTTTTTGTGTTTTTAGTAGAGATGGGGTTTGGCCATGTTGGCCAGGCTAGTCTCGAACTCCTGACCTCAAGTGATCCACCCGCCTCAGCCTCCCAAAGTGCTGGGATTACCAGTGTGAGACACTGTGCCCAGCCTGCTTGGTGGTTTGGAGCATGCCCCTTGGAGAATCTAGACCTTTAATTGAGACCTAATTCTGCCACTTAACCAGCTATGAACTTGAGCAAGCTACTTTATATATCTTTGCCTTCCTCCATTCCTTGTCTGTAAAATGAAAAGAATAATACCACCATCTTGGTAGGGCAACCAGGCAGAAGATCAATAATGAAATAGAGGAGCTGAATAACACTATAGGCCAAATGGACCTAACAGACATATACAAAACACTCCAATCAACAACAGCAGAGTACACATTTTTTTTAAACTGCAGATGGATCATTCTCCAGGATAGACCATATGTTAGGCGACAAGTTTTAATACATTTAAAAGAATTGAAATCATACAAAGTATCTTTTTTGTGTGTGTGAGATGGAGTCTCCCTCTGTTGCCCAGGCTGCAGTGCGGTAGTGCGATCTCGGCTAACTGCACCCTCCGCCTCCTGGGTCCAAACAATTCTCCTGCCTCAGCCTCCCAAGTAGCTGGGATAACAGGCACCTGCCATCACGCCCGGCTAATTTTTGTACTTTTAGTAGAGACTGGGTTTCACCATGTTGGCCAGGCTGGTCTCGAACTCCTGACCTCAAGTGATCCGCCTGCCTCGGCCTCCCAAAGTGCTGAGATTACAGGTGTGAGCCACCGTGCCCGGCCTCAAAGTATCTTTTTTCATCAAAATGAAAAATTAGAAATCAATAGCAGAAGGAAAAGTGGAAAATCCACAAATATGTGGAAATCAAACAACCAATGAATCAAAGAACAAATCACAGAGGAAATTAGAAAATATATGAGACAAAGCAGGGGGCGGTGGCTCATGCCTGTAATCCCAGCATTTTGGGAGGCTGAGATGGGTGGATCACTTGAGGTCAGTGACAGCAGGAGCATCGCCATCTTGGCATCTTGGACAAGCCACTCATTCTAAAGTTCACCTTAATAAAAAAATCACCTAAATCCAAGGGGCATCAGCCTAATGGCTATGGTCAACATGACCATAAACCACAGATAACATCTCCAACCAGAAACATTCCAAACTCCTCCCTGACCGGAGACATGCTAGCCCCTAAATTAGCCCCCTCCAGACAGGAAGATGCTAGCCCAGATAACCCCCCTCGGGCCAGAAAGATGTCTGCCCCAAAATAACCTCCCCTCCTCCCAGAGAGATTCCAGCCCCGTCATAAACTTCTCCACACACATAAACATTCCAAGCTTGTGATAACCCTAAAACCGATATGTACTCTTAGTCTGTAAGAGAAAGTGCTCCTGACCACAATCTGCCAGGAGTGTCTTCAGGTTTTGACTAAAGAAAACCTGTCTTTAACTGCCAGCGGCGTTTCAACTTTCTTTCCTCTTTCTTTAACTCTGACAGTCAGAAGTTTGAGACCAGCCTGGGCAACATGGTGAAACCCCGTCTTTATTAAAAATACAAAAATTAGCCAGTTGTGACGGTGCGTGCCTGTAATCCCAGCTACTCAGGAGGCTGAGGCAGGAGAATTGCTTGAACGCAGGAGGTGGAGGTTGCAGTGAGCTGAGATTGCACTCCAGCCTGGGTGACAGAGTACTCAGTCCAAAATTTATGAAATGCAGTGAAAGCAGTGCTAAGAGGGAAATTTATAGCTATAAACAAACTAGTAAAGAAGAAAGATCTCAAATCAACAACCTAACTTTATGCCATAAGGAAGTTGAAAAAAAATAAAAACAAACTAAGCCCAAAGCCAGCAGAAGAAAGGAAATAATAAAGATTAGAGCAGAGTTAAACAAAACAGGAATCGAAAAATAATAGAGAAAGTCAACAAAATCAGGAGTTGGTTTTTTGAAAAGAATAAAAAAATGGACAAACTTGTAGCTAAACTGAGGAAGTAAAAAAGAAGGAAGACTCAACTAAAATCAGAAGTGAAAGAGGGGACATTATTACTAATTTTACAGAAATAAAAATTATTATAAGGGAGTACTATGCACAATTATGCACCAGCAAATTGGATAATCCAGATAAAATGGACAAATTCCTAAAAACATATACCCTACCAAGACTGAATTATGAAGAAATAGAAAATCTGAACAGACCTAGAACTATAAAGAAGACTAAATCAGCAATATAAAACCTCCCAACAATTCACTGAAAAAAATCTTCCAAACATTTAAAGAAAAATTAACACCAATCTTTCTCAAACTCTTTCAAAAAAATGGAAGAAGAGAGAATAATTTTTAACTCACCCTGCGAGGCCAGCATTATCATGATACCAAAGCTAGACAAAGACACTCCAAGAAAAGAAATCACTGGGATGCAAAAATCTGCAAGAAAATACTAGCAAATAGAATTCAACAGCCCATTTAAAGAATTATACATTATGACCAAGTGGAATTTATCCTTGAATGGAAGGATGGCTCAAATCACAAAAATCAATCCATGTATTAATAATACACCATAGGCCAGAAGCCGTGGCTCATGCCCATAATCCCAGTACTCTGGGAGGCTGAGGCGGGCAAATCACTTGAGGTCAGGAATTTGAGACCAGCCTGACCAACATGGTGAAACCTCGTCTCTACTAAAAATACAAAAATTAGCCAGGTGTGGTGCCACATTCCTGTAATCCCAGCTACTCGGGAGGCTGAGGCAGGAGAATCGCTTGAACCTGGTAGGCAGAGGTTGCAGTGAGCCACGATTGCTTGCCACTGCACTCCAGCCTGGGGGACAGAGCAAGACTCTGTCTCAAAATAATAATAATAATAATAATAATAATACACCATAAAAACAGATTGAAAAGGGAAACACGCATGATAATCTGTACTGATGCAGAAAAAACTCTTGACAAAATCCAACACCCTTTTATGATACAAAACACTGAACAAGTAGAAGGAAACTACCTCAACATAATAAAGGTCATATATGAAAAGCCCACAGCTAACATCATAGTCAATGGCTAAAGACTAAAAGCTTTTTCCCTGAGATCAGGAACAAGACAATTCTTTTTTTTTTTTTTTTTTTGAGACGGAGTCTTGCTCTGTCGCCCAGGCTGGAGTACAATGGCTCGATCTTGGCTCTTGGCTCACTGCAACCTCTGCCTCCCAGGTTCAAGTGATTTTCCTGCTTCAGCCTCCCTAGTAGCTGGGATTACAGACCCCTGCCACCATGCCCCACTAATTTTTGTATTTTTGTAGAGATGGGGTTTCATCATGTTGGCCAAGCTGATCTCGAACTCCTGACCTTAGGTGATCCACCTGCCTCGGCCTCCCAAAGTGCTGGGATTACAGGCATGAGCCACCGTGCTCGGCCAACAATTTCCACTCAACACAGTACTGGAGGGTCTAGGCAAAGCAATTACTCAAGAAAAACAAGTAAATGGCATCCATATTTGAAAGGAAGAAAAACATTATTTCTGTTCACAGATAATAAGACTTTACATTTAGAAAACCCTACATATAGGCCGGGCACGGTGGCTTACACCTATAATCCTAGCACTTTGGGAGGCCGAGGCGGGCAGATCACCTGAGGTCAGGAGTTCGAGACCAGCCTGACCAACATGGAGAAACCCTGTCTCTACTAAAAATACAAAATTAGCCGGGCGTGGTGGCTCATGCCTGTAATCCCAGCTACTCGGGAGGCTGAGGTGGGAGAATTGCTTGAACCTGGGAGGTGGAGGTTGCAGTGAGCTGAGATCGCGCCATTGCACTCCACCCTGGGCAACAAGAGCGAAACTCAAAAAAAAAAAAAAAAAGAAAACCCTAAATATTTCTGAAAATTATTAGAACTGATACATGAATGTAGCAAAGTTGCAGGATAAAAAATCAACATGCAAAGTCAGTTACATTTCTATATGCCAAGAATTAACAATCTGATAAGATAAATTTTAAAAACTATTTTATTTATTTATTTTTATTTTATTTATTTATTTATTTTTTTGAGACAGAGTCTCGCTCTGTTGCCAGGCTGGAATGCGGTAGCGCGATCTCAGCTCACTGCAACCTCCGCCTCCTGGGTTCAAGTGATTCTCCTGCCTCAGCCTCCAGAGTAGCTGGGATTACAGGCACGTGCCACCACGCCCAGCTAATTTTTGTATTTTTAGTAGAGACGGGGTTTCACCATGTTGGCCAGGATGGCCTTGATCTCTTGACCTCATGATCCACTTGCCTCAGCCTCCCAAAGTTTACAGGCTGTAATCCCAAAGGGATTACAGGTGTGAGCCACTGCACCTGGCCAAAACTATTTTATTTATAATAGTATCGAAGAGAATAAAATGCTTAGAATAAGCTTAATCAAGGAGACGAAAGACTTGTACAATAAAAACTATAAAACATTGGTGAATAAAATTAGGGCACAAATAAATAGAAAAAGGTCTCATGTCCATAGAATGTATGACTTACTGTTGTTAAGATGTTTATACTATGCAAAGCAATCCACAGGTTCAAATCCTATCCAAATCCCAATGATATTTTTTGCAGAAATAGAAAAATCCATACTAAAATTATAATTAATATGAAATCTCAAGGGACCCCAAATAGCCAAAACAGTCTTTTCCTTTTTTTGAGATGAAGTCTCACTCTGTCACCCAGGCTGGAGTGCAGTGGCACCATCTGGGCTCATTGCAACCTCCGCCTCCCAGTTTCAAGCAATTGCCCTGCCTCGGCCTCCTGAGTAGCTGAGATTACAGGTGTACACCACCATGCCCAGCTAATTTTTGTATTTTTAGTAGAGATGGGGTTTCACCATGTTGGGCAGGCTGGTCTCAAACTCCTGACCTCGTGATCCGCCTGCCTCGGCCTTCCAAAGTGCTGGGATTACAGGTGTGAGCCACCGCACCTGGCTGAAAACAATCTTAAAAAAGAACAAAGCTGGAGGACTCGCCCCCTCCTGATTTCAACAAAGCTACAATAATCAAAACAGTGTGGTACTGGCATTAAAAAAAAGACATATAGACCAATGGAATGGGGTAGACAGCCCCAAAATAAACCATTGCATATATGGTCAAATGATTTTCAACAAGGATGACAAGACCATTCAATGGAGAAAGGACAGTCTTTTCAAAAATTGATGTTGGGAAAACTGGATATCCACATACAAAAAAAATGAAGTAGGACTCATATACAAAATTAACTCAAAATAGATCAAAAACATAAATATAAGACCTAAAACTATAAAACTCTTAGAAGAAAACATACAAGAAAATCTTCATGACATAAGATCTGGCAGTGACTTTTTGGATATAACACCAACACACAGACAACAATAAAAAAGACATAAATTGGATTACATCAAAATTAAAAACTTATTTGAATCAAAGGACACTATCAACAGAGTGAAAAGCCAAAAACCCATGGAATGGGATAAAGCATTTGCAAATCATATATCTAATAAGGAGTTAATAGCTAGAATATATAAAGAACTCTCACAACTCAACAACAAAACAACCCAATTTAAAAATTGGCAAAGAACTTCAAAGAAGATACACAAATGGCCAATAAGCACATGAAAAGATGCTCAGTATTGCTAATCATTAGGGAAATCCAAAGCGAAACCACCTCATGAGATACCACCTCATACATATTAGAATGGCTGCTCTCAAAAACAAACAAACAAACAAAAATCACAAACACAAAAAGCAAAAAATAACAAGTGTTGGCAAGAAATGGTGAATGTGGAACCCTCCTACACTGCTGGTAAAAATGTAAAGTGGTGCGGCCACTGTGGAAAATCGCATGACGGCTCCTCAAAAAATTGAAAATAGAACTACCACATTATCTGGCAGTTTTCTTTCTGAGTATACACCCAAAATAATCAAAAGTAGGGCCTTGGAGAGATATTTGTATACCTATATTCATAGCACCATTATTCACAATAACCAAAAGGTAGAAGCAACCCAAATGTCCATTGATGGATGAGTAGATAAACAAATTGTGATATATACCTACCATGGAATATTATTCAGCCTTAAAAAGGAAGTACATTCTGACACATACTACAATGTGGATGAAATTTGAGGACATTATCCTATGTGAAATAAGCTACAGGACTAAGTGAAATAAGCTAGTCACAAAATACTGTATGATTCCACATATATGAGGTCCCTGGAGTAGACAAAGTCATAGAGACAGAAAGCAGAATGGTGATTTCCAGAGCCTGGGAAACTGAGGGAATCGAGCTGTTGTTTAATGGGTACAGAGTTTTAGTTTGGGAAGATGAAAATGTCTGGTGATGGACGGCAATGATGGTTGTACAACAATGTGAATGTACCTTAATGCCGCTTAAAATGGCTAAAATGGTAAGTTTTATGTTCATTATATTTTACCATAATTAAAAAAAAATACTGTATTGGGAAAAATAATAGAATAGCAAGTTTTCTATTAAAATTGCCTTTAATTACCAAAAAATTAGTAAGATTTAATGTAGGGTTTTTTGCAGATACCCATTACCAAATTAAAGTTTGTTTTTAAATTTAATTTTATTATTATTTCACTCTGTTGATAGTGTCCTTTGATTCAAAGATGTTTTTAATTTTTAATTTTATTATTAATAAATTTATTATTATTATTTTTTGAGACCAGTCACCCAAGCTGGAGTGTAGTGGTGCAATCTCGGCTCACTGCAACTTCCACCTGCTTGGTTCAAGCCATTCTCCCACCTCAGACTCCTGAGTATCTGGGATTATAGGTGTGCACCACCACACTCAGCTAATTTTTTGTATTTTTGGTAGAGATGGGGTTTTGCCATGTTGGCCAGGCTGGTCTCGAACTCCTGACCTCAGGTGATCCACCTGCCTTGGTCTCCCAAAGTGCTGGGATTATAGGCATGAGCCACTGCCCCCAGCCAGAAGTTTCCGTCTATTCACAGTTTGCAATGAGTTTTTACTTTGAATGAGTATTGAATTTTGGTGGAGACTTTCCTGTATCTAATGAGTAAATTATACAATTTTCCTCCTTTATTCTCTTAGTACATAAGTTACATTGTTTGTTTCTCAAATATTTAACCAACTTCGCAATTTTGGAATAAACATAAATTGGTTGGAAAAAATAAAAATTCCACCAACTTATCATAGGATTATTATATAATATGCAACATAATAACTGGCAGTACAATAAGTGCTCAATAAATGTTTCCAGCCATTTTTAAAATCACAAACTTGAGAGAAAAGGCTGAAATGTTACTCTAAATTCTCCTGCAAGAGTTTACTGAGCAAATATATACAACTCTTATATAGCAATGAAAGTAAATAATTTAAAAAATGCTTGCTGAGGATTCTGTCCTTTCAATTCTTGGGGAACAGTATCTGAGTGATCTGTGGCCAGTGAACTCTCCAAAAAAATTATTTCTAAGAATAGATTGCTGCAAATATGGGGAGCTCCTAAATATGAAACAAGCATTGTCACCAGGGAATGCTGAGAATCCTGCAAGATAAATAGAAATTTAACATTCAGTGTGCTTAAGTAGTAGTCACAATAATTAATACTCTTAAGCAGAATTATATGCCAAATTCTGGCCAGGACATAGCATTAGACAGTTTTTCTGCCCAAAGAGCACTTTGCTGCTCACTTATTTACATTTTCCATTATTTGGAACCCAAATAGATTTTTCTTACTTTGTTACATTAAAAGTCACTGTGGAATACAGTTACAGAGAACCCAAAAAGTATTTTAAGATTTGAAAGTGATTGTCTGGGTAGTTTTTAGACCAAAAGTTGCCATCTAGTGGCACTAATTATTAGTGCAGACACAGTGAAACAAAAGAAAAAAAAGGGAACTAATATTTTTCTAGAAACTGTTCTGTGCCAAGCACTGCAATAGGTACTTTATTTCTTTACATCTTTTAGTCTTCTCCCATCTTCTTTGTTATGAATGTGTCACTTCTGTCATGCCTCCTCACAAGCTGATGATGAGAAGCAAAAGAGTTGTTTCTGTTAACATTTCATGGAGATGCAATAGGAGAAAAGCCAGAGAGGAGTAGTCTAGAAATGGAAGCTTCATTAAAAGAGAGAGAGCAATACAGAATGAGGAGTTCTAGGACTCACATATCAGGCACCTTCTTCCATGATCATGTGAGTTACATGAATCAGTGGATCCCCACATTGCCTCGGATGTAAGAACTCCGTAGAAAGCAGTGAGAACAGTGACCGTGATGCTGATAACTGTATCATAAGCTTTTTGGGACAGAGACCACATCATATAGTGTTTGCATTCTCTGTGGTCCACGAAGCCTCTTCTGTAAGAGCACTCATCCTGTTCATGAGGACTCCACCTTTATGACCTAATCACCTTTGGGAGGTGCAAGATAAATAGAAATTTATCACCTCCACACCTACAATACAATCACATTAGGGATTAGGTGTCAACATGTGAATTTTTTTTTTTTTTTTTTTTTTTTTTTAGACACAGTCTTGCTCTGTTGTCCAGGCTAGAGTGCAGTGGCACTATCTCTGCTCACTGCAACCTTCATCTCCCGGAGTCAAGTGATTCTCCTGCCTCAGCCTCCCGAGTAGCTGGGATTACAGGCGTGCACCACCACGCTGGGTGAATTTTTGTATTTTCAGTAGAGCCAGGGTTTCACCATGTTGGCCAGGCTGGTTTTGAACTCCTGACCTCAGATGATCTGCCTGCCTTGGCCTCCCAAAGTGCTGGGATTACAGGTGTGAGCCACTGTGCCCAGCTTCGACATGTGAATTTTGAGGGGACTTAAACATTCAATCTACAGAAGAAACTAAATATCCCCACTCCTCTGAGGGCAAGAGGAAGAAAGGCTTTGGTCTGCCTCCTGCTCTGTCCACAAGCCTGGGTCCAGGCGGCTGGGAAAGGAACCCTGAGGACTTTCCTAACTAGTCACTTGAAGTCCACTTCATCAATAACGATGCCCCAGCTACCTTGGGAGAAATGGCCTCTCGCCCAGCAGGGATGCAGAATGAGAACTTTCACAAGAATGTTGACTGAAGGAGGTAATCAATACTCTTGCAGTTATTTCAAACACAAAAGCCTATGAAGGCAACTCAATTACTCTCACGCCTCCTTTTCTGACTTACTTTCAGAACCTTGTCAAAGGCTAGTAGTGTTGGGTGCCTTTTTTTTTTTTTATTCATTTACTTACACTATTCAAGCATGCTCTTTTCCTGGTAGAATTTTTTCTGCTTTCTGGATAAAGACACCCAGTGTCCAAAAAGTGAACAGCATGGGAATATGGAGACTTATCAGATGGAACTTTGACCTCCAAAGAGGCTTTGCTGCATCTTTTCTTCCTTCCTTGTCTGTTTTGTCATTTCCTATTTTTTTTTTTTTTTTTTTTAGACAGAGTCTTGCTCTGTCACCCAGGCTGGAGTGCAGTGGCAAGATCTTGGCTCACGGCAACCTCCACCTCCTGGGTTCAAGTGATTCTCCTCCCTCTGTCTACAGAGTAGCTGGGATTACAGGTGCCCACCACCACGCCCAGCTAATTTTTTTTTTTTTTTTTAAAGTAGAGACGGGGTTTCACCATGTTGGCCAGGCTGGTCTACAACTCCTGGCTTCCAGTGATCCACCCACCTCGGCATCCCAAAGTGCTGAGATTACAGGCATGAGCCACCATGCCTGGCCTATTTTGTCATTTCTTATTTTCATTTATTTGGTTCTTTTTATCTGGCAGTGTTGTAGGAGTTATTAAGAAATTATTGGCTGGGTGCGGTGGCTCACAGCCTATAATCCCTGCTCTTTGGGAGGCCGAGGCAGGTGGATCACTGGAGGTCAGGAGTTCCAGACCAGCCTGACCAACAAGGTGAAACCCCATCTCTACTGAAAAATACAAAATTAGCTGAGCATGGTGGCAGGCATCTTTAGTCACAGCTATTCGGGAGGCTGAGACAGCAGAATTGCTTGAACCCGAGAGGTGGAGGTTGCAGTGAGCCGAGATTGTGCCACTGCACTCCAGCCTTGGTGATGGAGCCAGACAGACGCTGCTGCCGAGGAAAACCTTGTATTATTAGGCATGGTCAACCCCACCGTGTTCTTCGACATTGCCATCGACGGCGAGCCCTTGGGCCGCGTCTCCTTTTAGCTGTTTGCAGACAAGTTCCCAAAGACAGCAGAAAATTTTCGTGCTCTGAGCACTGGAGAGAAAGGATTTAGTTATAAGGGTTCCTGCTTTCACAGAATTATTCCAGGGTTTATGTATCAGGGTCGTGACTTCACACGCCATAATGGCACTGGTGGCAAGTCCATCTATGGGGAGAAATTTGAAGATGAGAACTTCATCCTAAAGCATACAGGTCCTGGCATCTTGTCCATGGCAAATGCTGGACCCAACACAAATGGTTCCCAGTTTTTCATCTGCACTGCCAAGACTGAGTGGTTGGATGGCAAGCATGTGGTCTTTGGCAAAGTGAAAGAAGGCATGAATATTATGGAGGCCATGGAGCGCTTTGGGTCCAGGAATGGCAAGACCAGCAAGAAGATCACCATTGCTGACTGTGGACAACTCGAATAAGTTTGACTTGTGTTTTATCTTAACCACCAGACCATTCCTTCTGTAGTTCAGGAGAACACCCTTCCACCCCATTTGCTCGCAGTATCCTAGAATCTTTGTGCTCTTGCTGCAGTTCCATGTTTTCCTTGTTCCCTCCCATGCCTAGCTGGATTGCAGAGTTAAGTTTATGATTATGAAATAAAAACCAAATAACAAAAAAACAAGAAAAGAAATTATTTTAGTCAGATAGAGACAAAAGGGGTCCTTTGGAAGTTTTCGTTTTTTAAAGCATCTCTGGAAAAGTTTCTTGTAAAGCCCCAGCTCTTAGAGCCAGGCTGGCAACCTTTGATAAGCAAATGATGGCCATTAGAAACTGGGTCCACCCAAACATGGCCATTCCTGCAGCCTTCTTGCCCTTGCCCCACATGTTCCTGGCAATATGGCCGCCCCCGCATATCCCCACATGTGTAGAACATCATGGCACCCTGTATTTGCATATTAAAAAGCTAGGGTGGGAGAGCCAGCTTTTTCACGGGCTACGTGAATGACATGCCTGGCCAAACCAATCCCCTGAGCCCTATGTAAATCAGACACCACCTCCTCCAGCCTCTGTATATATACCTGGCTGGTATCCGTGGCAGGTGGGGTTTCCTCTTTTGGCTTTAGAGGCCCCCCTCCCTCTGTCTCTGTATGGGGGAGGGTCTTCCTTCTGTCTTCTCCCTTCCTTCTTGCCTATTAAACTCTCCAGTCATTAAAACTACTCCACGTGTGTCCCTGCCGTTTTTTCTAATTCAACTTGAGAGGAAGAACCTGGTGTTCCTTCACTCATTGGAGCTGTATCAGCAGCTCCACTTAACTTAAATCTCAGAGCTAAAAATGTTGCCTTAAAGAAATTTTTTTAAAGAACAGGTTTAGAGAAATTAGTGGTCTCAAAACTGGAGTAGGGACTTAATTTTTGTCAAGTTAGGGTTGTAGGAGAAACCAGGAAAAGTATTACTGTTCTCTCTACAGCTAAGACAGAGATTTAGGGGGATATGCTGAGGCACACCACTTCCCTAAATTTAGTAACTTGCTAGAGAGCTCCAAGACTCAATAGGAAATTATACTCATGGCTCAGATTTATTACAGCCAATGATACAGAATAAAAGCAAGCAGGAAATAGACATGCAATGGAGGAGTCCAGAGAGGTCTCACACAGGCTTCGGATGTCCTTCCCTGTCCGAGACCACAGGAGTGCTTTCTTTTTCTGGCAGCAAAACTACACTACAGGAACGTGTGTGGAATATCTCTATCCAGGGAAACCCACTGGAGTATCAGGGTGCAAGGTTTACTGGGAGAGGATGGTCACATACGCATATTCTCTTAGCAACCAGCCATGGCAACCAAAATTGAGAACCCAACACAGAATCTAGGTGCCCATCCTCAATCTTGATTTTTTTTTTTTTTTTTTTTGAGACAGAGTCTTACTCCGTCACCCAGGCTAAAGTGCAGTGGCGTGATCTCGGCTCACTGCAACCTCTGCCTCCTGGGTTCAAGTGCTTCTCCTGCCTCAGCCTCCCGAGTAGCTGAGATTACAGGCGCATGACACACCAGGCTAATTTTTGTATTTTTCTTAGTAGAGATGGGGTTTCACCATGTTGGCCATGCTGGTCTCTATCCCTGACCTCAAGTGATCCTCCAGCCTCAGCCTCTGCCTCCCAAAGTGCTGGGATCACAGGTGTGAATCGCCACGCCCGGCCACTCATTTCTGATGTTTGTGTGAAGAAATTTCACCATCTGATCTGGCACAGTCCATTGCTCCTGGTGTGTATGAGAAAATCACCAATCACTAACTATCACAAAGAACATTCCAAGGGCCACATTCCCAGAGTTGGCCAATGGTCAATCATGGTACCCTGATATATGCAAGGAGTAGGCTACCAGATCTGCTTGTTAACTCTTTCCTCCCAGGAGGGCACTAGTAACTCCAACTGGTGGCACCAGAAAGTCAGGAGCTGAAAATATACAACTATGACCCAGGTTGGTCAATTAGGTTCTCCTATAAAATTGACTGTCCATCAACTATCAACAGAAATACTAATTCATCACTAATTTAAATTCATTAACAGATATGACATTCCAAACAAAATTAAAAGAAGGAAATATATTTACGCACAAGTAAAGTATCGTCCTCATCCTAGAGGAAATATAAATGAAAGGCATTTGAAAATGATAAGCATTAGGTAAGTGTGACCCCTGTTAATGCCCCGCAGGACTGGCAAACAGGCTCAGGCCTTCCCTACTAAGAACCCAGCCTGCTTAATGGATGATCTCAGAGGCAGATAAGTGCACTTCATGGTCAGAAGCTTCAGACCCCTGTCCCCTCTTCCCTGTTCCCTGAGCCTGAACAAGACAGCTGTGGAGTTTTGTCTTGATGACTTTTTTTTTCGAGATGGAATCTCGCTCTGTCACCCATGCTGGAGTGCAGTGGTGTGATCTTGGCTCACTGCAACCTCCACCTCCGAAGTTCAAGCGATTCTTGTGCCTCAGCCTCCCGAGTAGCTGGAATTACAGGCACCCGCCACCACGCCCGGCTAATTTTTTGTATTTTTAGTGGAGATGGGGTTTCACCATGTTGGCCAGGCTGGTCTCAAACTCCTGATCTCAAGTGGTCTGTCTGTTTTAGCCTCCCAAAGTGCTGGGATTACAGGCATGAGCCACCACGCCTGGCTTCTTGATAACTCTCTTTAGCTGAAAGTCACTCATTCCTTGACCCACTCGCATTTCCAGCGGATACTCAAACTAGGTGCCTTTTCTCAAAGAGAACTGCATTTACTTTTCCAAAGAGATTTTTTTTTTGAAAATTTCCCCCTAAATTCATTCTTACTGTAGGCTTCTTTGTCCAAATCAGAAACAGAAATTGCATTACCCTCGGCCACCCAATACTATGTTTAGCCACCTTAGATGTTTAGATATTTGAGATGATCTAATCCAGTTTTCTCATTTCCAGGTACAAACTTTTATTTTTATTTTAGACCTGGGGTCTTGGTCTGTAGCCAGATTGGAGTGCAGGAGTGCAATTCTAGCTCACTGCAGCCTCAAGCTCCTGGGTTCAGGTGATCCTCCCCTGTCAGCCTCCTGTACCTAGGACTACAGGAGCGCACCACCATCCCAGCTATTTTTATTTCATTTTATTTTTTCTTTTTTATAGTCTCTAATTGAAGTTATTTATTTAGTTAGTTAGTTTTTGACAGCTCTGTTACTCAGGCTGGAGTGCAATGGTGCGATCTCAGCTCACTGCAACCTCTGACTCCTGGATTCAAGCAATTCTTCTGCCTTAGCCTCCCAAGTAGCTGGAATTACAGGTACACACCACCACATCCAGCTAATTTTTGTATTTTTAGTAGAGGCAGGGTTTCTCCATGTTAGCCATGCTGATCTCGAACTCCTGACCTCAGGTGATCTGCCCACCTCAGCCTCCCAAAGCGTTGGGATTAGTGGATCACCACGCCCGACCTCTAATTGAAGTTAAAATGTATTTTTTTTCTTTATTTTTTGTAGAGGCAAGGTCTCTCTATGTTGTCCAGGCTGCTCTCAAACTCCTGGCCTCAAGCAATCCTCCCACCTTGGCCTCCCAAAGTTGGGATTACAGGCATGAGCCAGTGCACCCAGCCTTCAGATACAGATTGAAACCTGAGGCCACCTAACCTATCCAAGGTCCCACAACTTACGGGTGACACCTGCCTCTTGTCCTGCAACCTCATGTACTACCTCCCACCGCACACAGCATGCTGGGGCCTCTCATGGAACAGCTGACCTAGGCCCACCAACCTGGTGTCATAACAGGGTTCTACAATGTCTTCGTTATCTATTGATGGATTTGAAATGCTTAGGGGGGATATTGTAATGGACCCGGCAAATGGTGGCTTGGCAGCCACGATCATAAATTCACTTGACTAAAATTTTGGAGCTTAATTTTTTTTTTCTTTAAAGAAAAGGGGCCAGGCGTGGTGGCTCACGCCTGTAATCCCAGCACTTTGGGAGGCCAAGGTGGGCAGATCACTTTAGGTCAGGAGTTTGAGACCAGCCTGGCCAACATGGTGAAACCCCGTCTCTACTAAAAATACATAAATCAGCCAGGGGTTGTGGTGGGTGCCTGTAATTCCAGCTCCTTGGGAGGCTGAGGCAGGAGAATCACTTGAACCTAGGAGGCAGAGGTTGTGGTGAGCCAAGATCACACCATTGCACTCCAGCCTGGGCAACAAGAGCAAAACTACATCTCAAAAAAAAAAAAAAAAAAAAAAGGAAACCCCATCCCTACTAAAAATACAAAAATTAGCCGGGTGCAGTGGTGCACGCCTGTACTCCCAGCTACTCGGGAGGCTGAGGCAGGAGGAGAATTGCTTGAACCTGGGAGGTGGAGTTTGCAGTGAGCCAAGATCGTACCATTGCACTCCAACCTGGGTGATAGAGTGAGACTTCATCTCAAAATAAATAAATAAATAAATAAATAAATAAATAAATAAATAGTATTTGAGAAGGACAAATGAAGGAGAGAAGAAGGGAGAAAAACCCAGGAATTAAAGTCAATTAATTTAACATCAGTAACTGAAAAAAAAAAGAGCTATCCATCCCATAATCACTTTCATGGAACATCAGGAAATGAACAAGGCAGCACGTTCCCTCTTAGATAATAAATAATGTTAAATTCACCAGAGTTGTTCTGACAAGATTACAAATTTACTGCATGGAATAATGTGCTGGACATTCTATTTCTGTACATGGTGAGTCTAATGAGAAACAAATGCAGTTCTCATATTCTTCTTTTTTTTTTGAGTCGGAGTCTCGCTCTGTCACCAGGTTGGAGTGCACTGGCACGATCTCGGCTCAATGCAATCTCTGCCCTCCGGGTTCAAGTGATTCTCCTGCCTCAGCCTCCCAAGTAGCTGGGATTACAGGCATGCGCCACCAAGCCCAGCTAAATTTTTTTTGTATTTTTAGTAGAGACAGGGTTTCACCATGTTGGTCAGTATGGTCTCAATCTCTTGACCTTGTGATCAGCCCGCTTCGGCCTCCCAAAGTGCTGAGATTACAGGCATGAGCCACCACGCCTAGCCTCTTCTTTTTTTTTTGAGATATGATCTCTGTCACCCAGGAAGGAGGGCAGTGGTATCATCATGGCTTACTGCAGCCTCGACCTCCCAGGCTCAAGCGATTCTCTCTTCTTACCCACCTGTGAAGCTGGGACTACAGGTACATGCCACCACACCCGGCTAATTTTTTAGTAGAATTAGGGTCCCAATATGTTGCCCAGGCTGGTCTTGAACTCCTGGGTTCAAGCGATCCTCCCACGTTGACACCTCACAGTGTTGGGGTTACAGGCATGAGCCACCGGCCCCGGCCCAATTCTTTCCTTATCTGGATTTCAGCCAGGTACTTCCACCCAATCCTACACACAGATTGTATTCAGAATCCCAACAGAACCAGATGGCCGTTCAGCCCAGTATTGCATTAGTAAGTAGCAAGAATGAGGACAGCTCAGTTCTGAGTTGGGTCCCACAAACACCCTGTCCACAGCCTCAGAGGTGTGGTGGGAGAAGCAATTTATTTCGTGTCTTGTCCCCAGTCCTGTGGGGCTGTCGGGCAGTTGCTGTGTCTGCGGAGATGAAGTTTCCCGCTGGCATCTCCCCACCCACCCGGGGCAGCAGCTGGGGTCTTCCTCCTGCAGAAGCCCGACAGGCAGCTGCGAGTCACCCCACACTCTGATGGTCTCACTCGTGATCAGAGGGGAGCGCCACTTGAACACTGAGAGCCACATAATGCTGAGCTTAACATGCTGTTTAGAACCAGGGCATTACATTTGTTCTGTTTTCCAAGTCTCGTGGGTAAAAAGAAAATAAGCAAGAAATACACTTTTAGGTTTCTTTTTTCCAGAAACTATATAATTGTGGATCCTAACTTTTTCCAGGGTTTTCCTCTTGTCATTTCAAAATAAAAAGTCTCCCCTTGGTTGGGCGTGGTGACTCACGCCTGTAATCCTAGCACTTTGGGAGGTTGAGGTGAGTGGATCACTTGAGGTCAGGAGTTGGAGACCCGCCTGGTCAACTTGGTGAAACCCCGTCTCTACTAGAAATACAAAAATTAGCCGGGTGTGGCAGTGCACACCTGTAATCCCAGCTACTTGGGAGGCTGAGGCAGGAGAATCACTTGAACCCAGGAGGTGGAGGCTGCAGTGAGCTGGGATAGCGCCACTGCACTCCAGCCTGGGCAACAGTGAGACTCCATCTCAAAAAAATAAAAACTTAAAAAAAAAAACTCTCCCCTCAATTCCCCAACTTTTTTTTCCAAATCATGTGACTTCAATGGAGCCAGAAATATTGACTGTGTTTAATAACCTGCCTGCTTTCCCTGTTCTTCTCCCCTCTCCTCACACCCTGTAACAACAGCCAATAAATCAGGAGACAAGGTGCTGGGGCAAGGGAGACGACTTTATTTAGAGAGCCAGCAAATCATGAAGATGGCAGACTGCTGTCCTAACACTGTAACTCATCATGAATTAATATAAACTTCGGGCCCCTGTTATGTTAGGGAAAGGGGAAGAGGAAGGGGGTTGAGACCAAGAGGTGACCGATGACCACAGATATCTGGGCACCAGCAAGGACCCGAGGAGGTTGGGAACCTTCTCTGTCTTGCTCATGTGACAATATTCCTATAAATCTTTTTTTTTTCTTTTGAGACACAGTCTCACTCTGTTGCCCAGGCTAGATTGCAGTGGCACAATCACTGCAACCTCCACCTCCCAAGTTCAAGCAATTATTCTGCCTCAGCCTCCCGAGTAGCTGGGATTACAAGTGTGCACCACCACGCCCGGCTAATTTTTGTATTTTTAGTAGAGACAGGGTTTTACCATGTTGGCCAGGCTGGTCTTGAACTCCTGACCTCATGATCCACCCGCCTCGGCCTCCCAAAGTGTTGGGATTACAGGCGTGAGCCACCACGCCCGGCCTATAAATCTTTAACATAACATTGTGATTTGTGTGTACTCCCTTCTTATTTCCTTGGGAATTAGTTTCGGGAAGGGAATATTATCATCCTCATTTTAAAGTTAAATTAGGCCGGGCGCAGTGGCTCACACCTATAATCCCAGCACTTTGAGAGGTCAAGGCGGGTGGATCACTTAAGGTCATGAGGTCAAGACCAGTCTGGGCAACATGGCGAAACTCCGTCTCTACTAGTAATACAAAAATTAGCCGGGCATAGTAGCGCACACCTGTAATCCCAGCTACTCTGCAGGCTGAGGCAGTTGGCTCGCTTGAGCCTGGGAGGCAGAGATTGCAGTGAGCAGAGATCTTGCCACTGCACTCCAGCCTGGGCAACAGAGCAAGACCCTGTCTCAAAACAAAAACAAAAACAAAACAAAACAAACTATAAACTAAATTCCTCCCATAGTTAGCTTGGCCTAGGATCCTTTGTGCAGATATAAGTAAAAGCAGTTAACAGATACCGTGGGAGTGGGAGTGGTTAGGAGCCAAATGGAGCTGTCATGTTCCCAGAACCAAGCAAGGTCCGGCTGTGTTTTCTTGAGAACCAATAACGAGAAACAGACAAACTAGGAAAGAAGGGAATTTATTGCTATAACCGGATACAGGGAGAAGGCCGGAGATAATTCCACCAGACCAACTCAAAGTGTTACAATTTCTTTTTTTAAAAAATTTATTTTAGACCACGCCTTACAATTTTCTTAGTGCTTATATTGGCTGCGGCTATGTGCCTACGTGCAGTAAAACATTTGCCTAAGGCTACTGATAACTAATTTTGCTTCAACTAGAAGGTCAGAGGCAAAAAAAAAAAAATACTTGCTCAGTCCAATTAAAAGGGCCCCAGGACCTTCAAGGCCTGTCTACTGTGGTACCGGAGTGATTATTTCTAGCTTATGTCCTTCACAGCTTGGTCCGGAGAGCTGCCTTACACTCTCCAATGAATCTATTCAAACAGCTGCCTCAGTTATTTTGACTCGTCTCAGATTTTGTCGACCCGAGAAGGGTTTTGGCACTGGGAATGTAAGACTGTCTCTATTATTTTGGCTTGCTCCAGGTTAGGGAGAAGCCCATTCAAGGCTCCGACTGACCGTATGTTTCATTTCTAGCTTTGATGTCTGGGCACTGATTTCCCTAGGTTTAACTATTTGCTCCATGTTAAGGCGGCGCTGTGGATATCTGCCTGTGTAACTGGAGTGCTATGCAGGCCTGTCTGTGTGACTGTCATGTAGGCCTGTCTGTGTGATTGCCAGGGAGGATTGGCCTGCCACAGTCATGCTAGGCCTCCTTTTTACTGCTACACCCTTGGCGCATCTTCATATTTTTTCCCCATGCGGGAAGAAACTGTCTCTACAGATCAGCCCAGCAAGCTTCCATGACACCAGATCTGGGCCAAGCTGGTGTGCTCCCTCCTCCCCCTGAAATGTGCCCAAACACCAGGCCCTTAGATTCCCTTTTCCTTCAAAGAGACTCTCTAGCCTGTAGCCAACCCGGACAGAGCTCCACTCATGCCACCCACCCACCCACATCTGCACACACACCAACACTGGCTGTCACTTACAGAAAGCTCTGCTACAACAGAGCTTCTCTGAGGGCTGTTCCTCAGAGTTAACCCCCAGGGGACACCCTCAGTGCATGAAGCGGGGGTGAGGGGGTTGATGAATAAATACACCACCTTATTCACCCCTTTCTAGGACAATTCTGGGGCTTTTTCCACAGACTCACACATGTTCCCAGCAGGACCGAACCCTTATTGCCCATAGCAGTAATTTGCTCAGTCACAAGCCCAAATGTCAGAAGGTGTGTGAACCAGAGCAACTCCATCTGGAGTAGGGGCTGGGTACAATGAGACTGAAACCCACTAGGCTGCATTCCCAGATGGTTAAGGCATTCTAAGTCACAGGCTGAGATAGGAGGTCAGCACAAGATACAGGTCACAAAGACCTTGCCAATAAAACAGGCTGCAGTAAGAAGCTGGCTAAAACCCACAAAAACCAAGATGGCGATGAGAGTGACCTCTGGTCATCCTCACTGCTACACTCCCACCAGTGCCATGACGTTTACAGATGCCATGGGAGCATCAGGAAGTTACCCTATATGGTCTAAAAAGGGGAGGCATGAATAATCCACCCCTTGTTTAGCAGTTAGTCAAGAAATAACCATAAAAATGGGCAACCAGCAGCCCTTGGGGTTGCTCTGTCTATGGAGTAGCCATTCTTTTATTCCTTTACTTTCTTAATAAACTTGCTTTCACTTTAGGACTCACCCTGAGTTATTTCTTGTGTGACATCCAAGAACCTCTCTTGGGGTATGGATCGGGACCCCTTTCCTGTAACACAAAGACAATAATTGCACCCAAATTCTCATCTCAGAGTCTGTTTTGGTGGAAATGCAAACTAAAATAAACTTCTTCCTTTTTTTTTTGAGACAGAGTTTCACTCTTGTTGCCCAGGCTGGAGTGCAATGGTGCGATCTAGGCTCACCGCAACCTCCGCCTCCCGGGTTCGAGCGATTCTCCTGCCTCCGCATCCCGAGTAGCTGCTATTACAGGCATGTGCCACCACGCCCTGTTCTCTTGAAGGTGGCCTCCTTCTTTATTTTAGACACAGGGTCTCACTCTGTCACCCAGGCTGGAGTGCAGGGACATGATCATAGCTCACTGCAGCCTCAAATTCTTGGGCTTCAGCTGTCTTCCAACCTCTGCCTTCCAAGAAGCTGGGACTACAGGTGCATGCCACCACACCAGCTAATTTTTTTTTCGTTATTTTTATTTCTTGTTTATTTTTCTTTTTTTATAGACATGAGGTCTCACTATGTGTTGCCTGGGCTGGTCTCAATCTCCTGGGCTCAGGTGATCCTCCTATCTTGGCCTTCCAAAATGTTGGGATTAGAGACATAAGCCACTGCCCCCAGCCTCCGGCTAATTTTTAAAAAATATTTATGTAGAAATGGGGTCTTGCTATGTTGACCAGACTGGTTTTGAACTCCTGGCCTCAAGCGATCCTCCTGCCTCAGACTCCCAAAGTGCTAGGATTACAGGCATGAGCCACTGCGCCTGGCCTCCAAATTCTGTAATAGGTCCTTCCCTAGTTCTCTTCCTGTCTCCCTCCAAGGGTGTTCCCCCGAGTCTGTGGTTGGCCCTTCTTGCCATCGTCTTCTGAACAGTGTCCTCTGCAGTCTCATCCATTCTGACTTCAACCATCATCTTTCTTTCTCTTTTTTTTTTTTTTTGAGACGGAGTCTCACTCTGCCACACAGGCTGTAGTGCAATGGCGTGATTTTGGGTCACTACAATCTCTGCCTCCTGGGTTCAAGTGCTTCTCCGGCCTCGCCTCCTGAGTAGCTGGGATTACAGGCACGTGCCACCATGCCCGGCTAATTTTTTTGTATTTTTAGTAGAGATGGGGTTTTACCATGTTGGCCAGGCTGGTCTCAAACTCCTGACCTCAGGCAATCTGCCCGCCTTGGCCTCCCAAAGTGCTGAGATTACAGGATTGAGCCACCACGCCCAGCCTCAACCTACGTCTTTCAAGAGGCAATCCCAGTTCTGAGCCTCTAGGGCCAACCTCAGTTTGTAACTTCAGCCATGCATCTGTGTTTTCCTGCAGGAACCGTACACCTCTGTGCTTGTGGTGTTCCTAAAAACCCTGTGGGAAAAGCAGGGGCAGGCAGGGCTCACCACGGTGGAACTGGGACCCACATTTCAGCCACTCTCCCACTCCCTGCTGGGTGAAGCATTGAGTAGCTACAGTTAATTACAGAAGCCTGGTCTTGGCTTTACCCTCTTCATTGGGGATACCATGGAGCCTGACTTGGGGACTCCTACTCTGGGGACAGTAGCAGGGAGTGGGTGTGACTTGAACCTCCTGAGTTACCTCCACCCAAATCTGAGTTGCTCCCCAGAACAAGTCCATGGTTCCTGCTTGGAGAGCATTTGTTTGTTTGTTTGTTTGTTTGTTTGTTTGTTTTTTGAGACAGAGTCTCGCTCTGTCGCCAGGCTGGAGTGCAGTGGTATGATCTCGGCTCACTGCAACTTCCGACTCCCTGGTTCAAGCGATTCTCCTGCCTTAGCCTCCCGAGTAGCTGGAATTACAGGTACGCGCCACTATACCCAGCTAATTTTTGTATTTTCAGTAGAGACGGGGTTTCACCATGTTGTCCAGGATGGTCTCGGTCTCCTGACCTTGTGATTCACCCGCCTCAGCCTCCCAGAGTGCTGGGATTACAGGTGTGAGCCACTGTGCCCGGCTGGAGAGCTTTTCGTTAGATCCCCAGCCAGGGCTTAAAACTGATCTGAGCCCATCACCTTCTTCTTCTATTAAATTTTTTAATTATTATTTTTTGAGATGGAGTCTAGCTCTGTCACCCTGGCTGGAGTGCAGTGGCATGATCTCGGCTTACTACAACCTCTACCTCCTGGGTTCAAGTGATTCTTGTGCTTCAGTCTCTTGAGTAGCTGGGACTACAGGAGTGTGCCACCATGCCCAGCTAATTGTTGTATTTGTAGTAGAGACAGGGTTTCAACATGTTGGCCAGGCTGGTGTTGAACTGACCTTAAGTGATCCACCCTCCTCGGCCTCCCAAAGTGCTGGGATTACAGGTGTGAGGCAGCGCACCTGGCCCCTCTTCCATTTTTTAACACCTTCAAAGAGCAGCTCCTTCTCCTATGAATCCACCTTTATGCAGGCACCCGGTTCAATACCTCAAAATCAATCCACTCCTGGCTTTCCTTGCTGCCCATATCCAATCAGTTGCTGAGACCCTATTGGTACTGAAATGGTTCTCTCATATTTTCCTTCCCTCTCTGTTGCTTGCAGAGCCATGTCAGTTCTTGCTGGCAGCTGGACTATGACAGTGACCTTCTACTTGGCCCACCCAGCTCCAGTTTCTCCCTTCCTCTCTGTTCTACCCGACTCAACGGCTGTCACTGGATAAAACCTTCAATGGCTCCCTATTACCTACAGAATAAAGCACAAATTCTGCTGCTTGGTTTTCAGCCTCTTCATGACCTAGGCCCAACTATCTTTTTTTTTTTTTCCTTAACTGATCACTTTTTTTTTTTTTGAAGTGAAATTTATGGCCAGGCACAGTGGCTCATGCCTATAATGCCAGCACTTTGGGAGGCTGAGGTGGGCAGATCACTTGAGATCAGGAGTTCAAGACCAGCCTGGCCAACATGGTAAAACCCCTTCGCTACTAAAAATACAAAAATTAGCCGGGCGTGATGGTGCACACCTGTAATCCCAGCTACTTGGGAGGCTGAGGCAGGAGAATTGCTTGAACCCGGCAGACAAAGATTGCAGTGAGCGAGGATGGCAGCACTGCTCTCCAGCCTGGGTGACAGAGCGAGACTCTGTCTCAAAAAAAACAAAAGAAATTTACATAATATTAACCACTTTTGTTCATTTTGAATGACCAATTCAGTCACATTTAGTGCACTCAAATATTGTGCAACCACCAGCTCTCTCAAGTTTCAAGATTTTTTCCTTTACCTGTAAAAGGAAGCCCTATACCCACTAAGTAATCACTCCCCACTTCTCTGTCCACCCACCTCTTGCTAACCTCTAATCCACTTTCTGTCTTGATGGATTTGCCTAACCTGGATGTTTCATATAAATGGAATGATACATATATGGCCTTTTGTAACAGGCTTCTTTCAGGTAGCTTAATGTTTTCAAGGTTCCTTCATATTGTAGCATGTGTCAGTACTTTGTTCCTTTTTATGGCTGAATACTACTTCGTTAAGAGTTGGCTGGGCACCGTGGCTTACATTTGTAATCCCAGCACTTTGGGAGGCCAAGGTGGGTGGATCACAAGGTCAGGAGTTTGAGACCAGCCTGACCAACGTGGTGAAACCCCGTCTCTACTAAAAATACAAAAATTAGCTGGGCATGGTGGCGCGCACCTGTAGTCCCAGCTACTCAGGAGGCTGAGGCAGGAGAATCGCTTGAACCCAGGGAGCAAAAGTTGCAGAGAGCCGAGATCGCACCATTACACTCCTGCCTGGGCTACAGAGCGAGCCTCTGTCTCAAAAAAAAAAAAAAAAAAAAAAAAAAAAGAGTTGGCTGGGCGCCGTAGCTCACGCCTGTAACCCCAGCACTTTGGGAGGCCGAGGTGGGTGGATCACTTGAGGTCAGGAGCTTGAGATCAGTCTGGCCAACACAACAAAACCCCATCTCTACTAAAAATACAAAATTTAGCCGGGTGCAGTGGTGGGCGCCTATAATTGCAGCTACTCAGGAGATTGAGACAGGAGAATCGCTTGAACCCGGGAGGCAGAAGTTGCAGTGAGCCGAGATTGCGCCACTGCACTCCAGCTTGGGTGACAGAGCAAAACTCTGTCTCCAAAAAAAAGTATACCACATTTGTTTATCCATTCATCAACGGATGGGCTGTTTCCACCTTTGGGTATCACAAATAATGCTGTTGGCTGGGCATGGTGGATCATGCCTGTAATCCCAGCACTTTGCAAGGCCAAGGCAGGCAGATCACCTGATCTCAGGCTCAACATCACAAAACCCTGTCTCTACTAAAAATACAAAAAATTAGCCAGGTATGGTCTTATAATCCCAGCTACACTGGAGGCTGAGGCAGGAAAATTGCTTGAGCGCCGGTGGTGGAGAATGCAGTGAGCCAAGATTGCATCACTACACTCCAGCCTGGGTGATGGGAGTGAAACCCTGTCTCAAAAAAAATTAAAAGCTTAAACAAATAAATAATGCTGCTATAAACACTTGTGTATAAATTTCTGTGTGGACATATGTTTTCATTTCTCTTGGGTGTATACTTAGGAGCGGAATTGCTGGGTCATATGGAAACTCTATGTTTAACTTTCTGAGAAACTGCCAGACTGTTTTCCACAGTGGCTGCACCCTTTATACATTTGCACCAGCAATGCTGAAGGGTTCCAGTTTCTCTATACCCTCACCAACTCTTTTTTTTATTTGAGCCATCCTAGTTGAGGTGGTATCTCATTTTGGTTGTGATTTAATTTCCCTAATGACCAATGACGTGGAAAATCTTTTCATGTGCTTTTTGGCCATGCGTATATCTTCTCTGGAGAAATGTCTATTCATGTCCTTTGCCTGTTTTTTAACTGAGTTATCTGTTTATTTTTTTTGTTTTCTTTTTTTGAGATGGAGTCTCGCTCTGCTGCCCAGGCTGGAGAGTGTGGTGGTGCAATCTCGGCTCACTGCAACCTCTGCCGCCTGGGTTCGAGCGATTCTCCCACCTCAGCCTCCCGAGTAGCTGGGACTACAGGTGCCCGCCATGCCCAGCTAATTTTTGTGTTTTTAGTTAAGACGGGGTTTCGCCATATTGGCCAGGCTAGTCTTGAACTCCTGGCCTCAGGTGATCCACCCGTGTCAGCCTCCCTAAGTGCTGGATTACAGGCGTGTGCCACCATGCCAGGCCCTATGTTATGTTTTTGTTGTTGAGTTGTAAGAGTTCTTTATATATTCTGAATATTGAACCCTTATGAGATATATGATTTGTTAATATTTTCTCCCATTCTGTAGGTTGTCTTTCACATTCTTGATAATGTCCTTTGATGCAAAAGATTTATATTTATTTATTTATTTGGGGGCTTTCCGGCAAAACTGGAAAGCCGGCTAGACAAATTCTAAAAGAGCTGTAACACTCAAAAGATTTTCTTTTAAGAAAAAGAAAGGGAAGAGGAAGAACTGTATCTCACTTTTGTTGCTTTCTATATTTTATATATATATGTATATATACACATATATATATACATATATATACACATATATATACATATATACACATATATATATACATATATACACATATATATACATATATATATACATATATACATATATATACACATATATACACATATATATACGCATATATATACATATATATATACATATATACATATATATACACATATATACATATATACACATATATACATATATATACACATATATATACACATATATATACACATATATATACATATATATATATATATGTATGTATGTATATTTAAAACCAAGGCTGGGCACAGTGGCTCATGCTTATAATTCAGTGCTTTGGGAGGCCAAGGTGGGAAGATATCTTGAGGTCAGAAGTTCAAGACCAGACTGGCCAGGACAGTGAGACCCCGTCTCCATAAAAACTTTTAAGAATAGCCAGGTGTGGTGGTGCATGCCTGTAGTCCTAGCTACTTGAAAGGCTAATGTGGGAGGTTTACTTGAGCCCAGGAGTTTGGGGCTGCAGTGAGCTATGAGTGTACCACTGTTTCAGCCTGGGTGACACAGTGAGACCCTGTCTGTAAAACAAAAATTAAAAAAATTAAGAAACTCCAGAAATTTCTGTGTAACAAAATGCCCATTTGCCCTTGAGGTAGTTCTACTCTACTCTAATAAGCATAACAAACAAAACCAGGACCTAAAACCACTTGTCAATGGGACTGTTTCTTGTATTCTCTTTTCCCTTTCTTCTCTGTTATGATCTGAAGCTTCTTTTTTTTTTTTTTTAAGACTTAGTCTCGCTCTGTCGCCCAGGCTGGAGTGCAGTGGCGCGATCTCGGCTCACTGCAAGCTCCGCCTCCCGGGTTCACGCCATTCTCCTGCCTCAGCCTCCCGAGAAGTTAGGACTACAGGTGCCCGCCACCACGCCCCTGGCTAATTTTTTATATTTTTAGTAGAGACGGGGTTTCACCATGTTAGCCAGGATGAGCTGGATCTCCTGACCTCGTGATCCGACCGCCTGGGCCTCCCAAAGTGCTGGGATTACAGGCGTGAGCCACCACGCCCGGCCATGAGCTGAAGCTTCTAATACCATGTGCATGTTAAGGTTCCTATTCCTGCCTGGCTCTTGTTCTTTTCAGATTGTCAGTTAGCAGCTCTATTGTTAAGTACAAATCACTTTCATTCCCCTTATTAGTCCCGGACCCCAGAGAGGTGGCCTTTCCCCTGGGGTGGGAGGTGTGGGGGGAGGTCCCTTATGTTGTGGGGGGTGGGACGCGGCAGGTCAGAGGGGTCCCTGCTCCATCTCAGGCACAGCCCTGCCTTCCTTCACACCCTTTGCGCAGTTGTTCTTTTCTTTTCTTTTTTTTTTTTTTTGAGACAAGATCTCACTGTGTCACCCAGGCTGGAGTGCAGTGGCAAGATCTTGGCTCACTGCAACCTCCGCCTCCTGGGTTCAAGTGATTCTCCTGCCTCAGCCTCCCGAGTAGCTGGGATTACAGGTGCGTACCACCACACCTGGCTAATTTTTGTATTTTTAGTAGAGATGGGGTTTCACCATGTTGGCCAGGCTGGTCTCAAATTCCTGACCTCAGGTGATCTGCCCACCTCGGCCTCCCAAAGTGCTGGGACTACAGGCGTGAGCCACCGTGCCCGGCCTTATTAAGCCGTTTTAAGAATTAATGGAGGCCAGGCGTGGTGGCTCACGCCTGTAGTCCCAGCACTTTGGGAGGCCAAGACAGGAGGATCACCTGAGGTCTGGAGTTCGAAACCAGCCTGGCCAACATGGTGAAGCCCCATCTCTACTTAAAAACTACAAAAATTAGCCAGGGATGGTGGTGCCTGCCTGTAGTCCCAGATATTTGGGTGGCTGAGGCAGGAGAATTGCTTCAATTTGGGAGGCAGAGGCTGCAGTGAGCTGAGATTGTACCACTGCACTCCAGCCTGGGCAACAGAGCGAGACTCTCTCTGTCTCAAATAAAAAAAAATTAATTGATATGGCTCACCACAAAAAGTTAGAAGTAGGTGATGACAATTTGCAGTTTGTTACAAGGAAACTGTGGCTCAACGAGGCAGTTTGTTACAATGAAAGCAAGTCTCAGAGACTAGAGCTCTTGTCCCACCTACAAATATTGACCAGCAAGCTGGCAAGTAACAGCTGCAGAGCCTGTTCTGTAAGTTCTGTGGAATGGCAGCTTTCTGTTCTTTCAGAACATTGCAGGAAATGTTTACCTAAGGCAGATTCAACAATATCCCAGGAGCTGGACTGCACAGACTTAATGAGGACCGGGTGAGGGAAGCCTCTGAAAGACCAGGACTCAGGGCTGTTTCTTGGGCACCATGCAAAGTATAAGGGGCTACTGGAATTGCAGTGGCAGGAGGATCACGGCAGAACAATCTCTGAAGCCAGTCCAAGGAGCTTAAACCCAGCCATCCCATCAGTATAAAGTTGCTTATAAATCCACTGCGCCAATTAACAAAGCTAACAGAAGGGCTTAGGGTTTCCTCTCTGGAATAGGGGCTCCTGATTAGCCTTTCAGATGCTAACTAAACATCCCCAAATTGTGTGTTTCCAATTAAGAATTGTGAAGGTCAAATCTAACACACACACGCACTTGCGCACACACACACACACAACCTTTGCTGAAGTACAGTACTTAAAAGTAAATCAGACAATATAAAAGCTTACAGCTCTTCAAATCATTTTGTGCTAAGTCAGAAAAAAATGGCATGACTTATATCTAACCATGAATTCTGAAAACAAGCCACAAGTTCACATCTGGGCTCTGTCTTGTACCCAGTAACATAGACAGCCACCTGCCTGATCCCCATACCTCAGTCGGCTTCCCTGACACCCTACCTCCAGGTTTATCCTCTCACTGGGGACCCTGGGCATTTAGGAGTGTCCCTAGAAGGACTTCACATGAAGATGCAGGTAACTAGAGGACCCTTAAAAGGTAGCGCTTCAGCTGGGCATGGTGGCTCACGCCTGTAATCCCAACACTTTGGGAGGCTGAGGCAGGCTGATCACCTGAGGTCAGGAGTTCAAGACCAGCCTGACCAACATGGAGAAACCCCATCTCTACTAAAAATACAAAAATTAGCCAGGCTTGGTGGTGTGTGCCTATAGTCCCAGCTACTCAGGAGGCTGAGGCAGGAGAATCACTTGAACCTGGGAGGTAGAGGTTGCAGTGAGCCAAGATGGCGCCATTGCACTTCAGCCAGGGCAACAAGAGCGAAACTCCATCTCAAAAAAAAAGGTAGCGCTTCAGAAACAGAAAGTCAAATACCACATATTCTCACTTAGAAGCGAGAGCTAAACCATGGGTACCCATGGACATATAGAATGGAATAATAGACACTGGAGACTCCAAAAGGTAGGAGGGTGGGAGGGGGTAAGGGCTGAAAAATTACCTGTTGGGTACGGTGTTCACTGTTTTGGTGATGGGTTCACTGAAAGCCCAGCCTTCACCACTACACAATATGTGCATGGCAGAAATCTGTGCTTGTACCCCCAAAATTTCGAAAAAAGAAAAAAGAAGCAAAAAAGGTAGAGCTTGCACCCACTGCAAATGGTTTATGGGAAGGTGGTGTAGAAAAGGGTCCCTGAAGGTGGCCCTGGGAGAGGAGCCCAGGCAGAGACGGTCCCAGATCATGGGGGAGCCAGGAATGAAAACAGGAGGCTTGGACATCTGGATGTGGGAGGAAGCAGAGGAAACCAGAAGTCAGGAAGGAGCGGTGCAAGATTCTGTTGAGTGCACAAGACCTTGAACATGCTTACAGATTAAATGTCCGTCAGCTGCTTTAGCTGTTCACGGCTTTTCAGATTAGCTGCCCAGAGTGTGGGCAGCTTTTCAATAAGCACTGCTGATTATTCATTCTGGAGAAGCTCTGGCAGTGCCTCTCATACTTTCAGTGCCAGTTAGAATTGCCCCAGGTGCTGATTTGTAATGTAGACTCCGGGTCCCCATGCCCAGAGGTTCTCATTCAGGACACCCGGAGTGAAACACAGGAATTCAGATTTTTAAGAACCACTGGTGATTCTATTGCACATTGGCCCTGATGTAGCACCCTCTAGGTGTGGAGCACTTTTTTTTTCAACAGGAAAATAGCTTTATAAATTAGCAAATTTATTAAATACCATATACTCAATATAACATTTGAACAATTCTTCTTTTTTTTTTTTTTGAGACAGAGTTTCGCTCTTGTTGCCCAGGCTGGAGTGCAATGGCATGATCCCATCTCACCGCAACCTCCTCCTCCCGGGTTCGAGCGATTCTCCTGCCTCAGCCTCCTTGAGTAGCTGGGATTACAGGCATGCACCACCACACCTGGCTAATTTTGTATTTTTAGTAGAGATGGGGTTTCTACTGTTGGTCAGGTTGGTCTCAAACTCTCGATCTCAGGTGATCCGCCGCCTCGGCCTCCCAAAGTGCTGGGATTACAGGCGTGAGCCACAACGCCCTGCCTACAATTCATAAAAGTGTAAAGAAAACAGGGCACGGTGGCTCACATGTGTAGTCCTATCTACTCAGGAGGCTGAGGCAGGAGGATTGCTTGCGCCCTCGAACCCTCCCAGGGTTTCGAGGCTGCAGTGAGCTAAGATCACGCCAGTGCACTCCAGTCTGGGTGACAGAGCAAGGCCCTGTCAAAAAAAAAAAAAAAAAAAAAAGAAAAAAAGAAAAGAGTCACTGAAATCCTAACAGTTTAGATACTGTCATTTCAGGAAATGTTTAGGCATGAATGCATATGAATACATTTGCATAAGCAGGATCATACATTTCGTGGGACTTTTTGTTTGTTTGCTTGTTTGTTTGTTTGTTGTAGAGATGGGGTTTCGATATGTTATCCAGGCTGGTCTTGAGCTCCTGGCCTCAAGTGATCCTCCTGCTTCTGTCTCCCAAAGTGCTGCCTACCAAATGAGGATACTTAAATACCATCTTTTCTTTCTTTTTTCTCCCCCAACCCCTGCTTTTATCCTCCCCTACTCCTACCAGCATCTCCACCACTCTCTGGTGTGTGTCCTTCCATATTTTTCTCCTAGCTTGCATAAACAAACATATCTGTATGGGACTCTGTCACTGTTTGACAAAAATAAGTTCTTTTAAAAAAAAAAATAGAGATGGGGGTCTCACTATATTGCCCAGGCTGATCTCAAACTCCTAAACTCAATCGATCCTTCTACCTTGGCCTCCCAAAGTGTTGGGATTACAGGTGTGAACCACCATTCCCAGCCAAAAAAAAAAAAAAATGTTTTTTTGTGGGGGGTTTATTTTTTGAGATGGAGTTTCGCTCTTGTTGCCCAGGCTGGAGTGCAATGGCACAATCTCAGCTTACTGCAACCTCTGCCTCCTGGGTTCAAGTGATTCTCCTGCCTCAGCCTCCCAAGTAGCTGGGATTATAGGCATGCACCACCATGACCGGCTAATTTTGTATTTTTAGTAGAGATAGGGTTTCACTATGTTGGTCAGGCTGGTCTTGAACACCTGACCTCAGGTGATCCACCCACCTTGGCCCCCCAAAGTGCTGGGATTACAGGTGTGAGCCACTGCTCCCAGCCAGGAAAAAAAAAAAAAAAAAGAGTTCTTATTGTATATTCACTACTCTGTGATTTTGCCCTTTTTTTTTTACTTACTGTTACCTCTCTGAAACCCCTTTAAATGAATGGGTGCAGATTTAATGGTTCCTTCCAATGGCTGCATGATATCCTACGGCAGGGCACAACTTGCATGTTCTCTATTTCTATTATTCTGCCAACAAAACAGTGCTGCAAGACGTGCCTGGCTGACAAGCAGTTTATAATATTTCAGGCTAACCTGTTGTGTTTGGATCTGTTAGCTCCGGTTGTATCATAAACCACACCAAAAGTTAGTGGCCTAAACCAGTAATCATTTGACTCAGCTGAGGGTCAGCCAGGTGGTGTCATTAAGCTCTGGGCTGGCTCTGCTGATCTCTGCTGGGTGCCCGTGTGTGTTTTTGGTCAGCTGGCAATTGGTCAAAACGTGAAGTCTGGGGATTAGCAGGCTGGTTGGCCTGGGGGCAGGAGGGTCTCAGCTGGGGTGTCTTGTCTCTGCTCCATGGGGGCTGTCATCCTCCTGTAGGCCGGCCCCAGCCTTTCCACATTGTGCTCCCAAGGTTCCAAAGCACAGCAAGAGAGGCAAGCCCAAGTGTGCATCTCTGCTTGTGGCATGTTTGTTTTTGTCCCACTGACCAAGACAAGCCATGTGGCCATACCTGGAGTCAGTATGAGAGGTGACTACTCAAAAACATGGGGCCAATGCGGTGGCTGACACCTGTAATCACAGGACTTTGGGAGGCCAAGGCAGGAGGATCACTTAAGGCCAGGAGTTTGAGACCAGCCTGGGTATCACAGCAAGACCTTATATCATTTTAAAAAAAGAAAAAAAAAGAAGAACATAAGTATGGAGGGAGAAGAATTATGCTGGCCATTCTTTTTTTTTTTTTTTTTTTTTTTTTGAGATGGAGTCTCACTCTGCCACCCAAGCTGGAGTGCAGTGGCACCATCTCGGCTCACTGCAACCTCTGCCTCCCAGGTTCATGCAATTCTCCTGCCTCGGCCTCCTGAGTAGCTGGGATTACAGGTGCCCACCACCATGCCTGGCTAATTTTTGTATTTTTGGTAGAGACGGGTTTCACCATGTTGGCCAGGCTGGTCTTGAACTCTTGACCTTAGGTGATCCTCCCACCTTGGCCTCCCAAATTGCTGGGATTATAGGCATGAGCCACTGCACCCGACCATATTGATCATTCTTATACACAGTCTACCCCATCTGCTAAGAGGCTCTAAATGTTTAATAGGAAATGAAAGTCTTGGGAAATTTGTGAATCAGAGGACAGGAGCTTGTCTTTTCCTGCCCAAAGATTGGTTTCAGTGATGTGACAATGTTAGCACATTTCTAATGATCCAAGTGTTGCAGAACATACTCTGGGACTCAGGCTCTGGAAGAGCTGACACCATCTGACCTGTCCTCCCTCCCTCCACAAAAGCTCCCAGTGGAGACCTCTCCCAGCAGCTGCTCTTTGCACCTGTTCCTGTGAGGCCTCAGGAAATTCCCTCTTTCTTTAGCTCTCATATATCCAGGGGTTACATATATACAAACATACTGCCTGTTGGCCAGGTGTGGTGGCTCATGCCTGTAATCCCAGAACTTTGGGAGGCCAAGAGGTGCAGATCATTTGAGGCCAGGAGTTTGTGACCAGCCTGGCCAACATGGTGAAACCCTGTCTCTACTAAAAATACAAAAATTAGCTGGGGGTGGTGGCGCACGCCTGTAATTCCAGCTACTCGGGAAGCTGAGGTAGAAGAGCTTGAACCTGGGAGGTGGAGGCCACAGTGAGCTGAGATCGCACCACTGCACTCCAGCCTGAGCGACAGAGCGAGACTCTGTCTCGGGAGAAAAAAAACCAAACAAATGTAGTGCCTGTTTAAAGAAAGTCCTCTTTGCAGAACCCCAGCCTCCTGCAAGTATTCCTTTCTGACTCTTCGCTGCTGCCTCTCAGGGTCATCTCAGGTCTCCAGCCTGGGACTTCATGGTAGGCCATGCCAAAACCATTAGACTTGGAGGACTTGGTTCTGGTCCTGTGTATTCTCAGGCTAGTTGCTTTATGTCTCTGGATTTCCCTTTTTAAGTCTGTTAAGTGAAGGAATTGATGAGGACAGTGCTTCTCAAAGTTTAATGTGCATGTGAATCACCCAGAGATCTTGTTAGACATGCAGAATTTCAGACCCTTTCTGAGACAGCTGACTTGGCATCTGTTCTGCCAGGCACGGTGGCTCACGCCTGTAATCCCAGCATTTTGGGACGCTGAGGTGGGTGGATCACCTGAGGTCGAGAGTTCGAGACCAGCTTGACCAACACAGAGAAACCTCGTCTCTACTAAAAATACAAAATTAGCTGGGCGTGGTTGCTCATGCCTGTAATCCCAGCTACTTGGTAGGCTGAGGCAGGAGAGTCGCTTGAACCCCGGAGGCGGTGGTTGCGGTGAGCTGAGATCGTGCCATTCCACTCCAGCCTGGGCAACAAGAGCGAAACTCCATCTAAAAACAAAAACAAAAGCTCTAGAGCTGTTTTTTCTTTTCAACCTGGACTGCACGGTAGAATCTCCTGGGGAAGCTTTAAAGTATGAGTGCTGGGTGCCCCTGCCTAGAGATTCTGATTCACTTGGTTTTGGGCGCACCTTGGGCATTGGGCACCACTAGGCTTGAAGGGTTGGGGAAAGGGAGGGCTAGAGGAACCTGGAGGGAGCAGCGTAGAAGAGGACTCAACCACTGCTAAACTGCAGCCTGGCAGGGAAATGGCCAAGGGGGAATTAATATCCCAGCCTCCCTCTCCTCCCACTCTCTCATTTGCTGCCAGAGTGTACCACGCACTAGACCCAGTTGGATTCCAGAGCACAGGGAAGCACAGTTGAAGCAGTCCATAAATGTCATCTCCTGGAGCACCAGATGGAATGAAGAAAGATGGAGAATGGGTCTGAATCCTGGGGCTCAAGATGGAATGAAGGATGGAGAATGGGTCTGAATCCTGGGGCTCAAGATGGGATGAAGAAGGATGGAGAATGGGTCTGAATCCTGGGGCACCAGATGGAATGAAGGATGGAGAATTGGTCTGAATCCTGGGGCTCAAGATGGAATGAAGGAGGATGGAGAATGGGTCTGAATCCTGGGGCACAAGATGGAATGAAGAAAGATGGAGAATGGGTCTGAATCCTGGGGCTCAAGATGGGATGAAGAAGGATGGAGAATGGGTCTGAAAAGGCAAATAGAAATGATCCAGCCAGGTGCAATGGCTCACACCTGTAATCCCAGTGCTTTGGGCAGCCAAGGCGGGCAGATCACCTGAGGTCAGAAGTTTGAGACCAGCCTGGCCAACATGGTGAAACCCCATCTCTACTAAAAATACAAAAATTAGCCAGGAGTGGTGGCACATGCCTGCAATCCCAGCTACTTGGGAGGCTGAGACACAACAATTGCTTGAACCCGGGAGGGAGAGGTTGCAGTGAGCCAAGATAACGCTGCTGCACTCCAGCCTGGGCAACAGAGTGAGACTCTGTCTCAAAAAAACAAGCAAGCAAACAAACAAACAAGAAAAAGCCAAGTGAAATTCTCCAGCAGAGGATGCTTGTTTCAAAATGCAGATTTAAGGGGGCCAGGCGCGGTGGCTCACGCCTGTAATCCCAGCACTTTGGGAGGCTGAGGTAGGTGGATCACCTGAGGTCAGGAGTTCAAGACTAGCCTGGCCAACATGGCAAAACCCCATTTCTACTAAAAATACAAAAATTACCCAGGTGTGGTGGCACACGCCTGTAGTCCCAGCTACACCGGAGGCTGAGGTGGGAGAATCGCTTGAAGCCGGGAGGCGGAGGTTGCAGTGAACTGAGATCACGCCACTGCACTCTAGCCTGGGCGACAGTGAGACTCTGTCTCAAAAAAAAAAAAATGGTGTTTAACACCAGGTTCGGTGGCTCATGCCTGTAATCCCAGCACTCTGAAGGCCGAGGCAGGCAGATCACTTGAGGCCAAGAGTTCGAGAGCAGCCTGGCTAACATAGCAAAGCCCCGTCTTTACTAAAAGTACAAAGAATTAGCCGGGCGTGGTGGCACACGCCTCTAATCCCAGCTGCTTGGGAGGCTGAGGAATGAGAATCACTTTAACCCCAGAGGCGGAAGTTGCAGTGAGCTAATATTGCACCACTGTACTCCACCCTGGGCAACAGAGTGAGACTCTGTCTCAAAAAAAAAAAAAAACAAAAAACAAAAAAACCTGGGTGCAGTGATGCATGCCTGTAGTCCCGG
Organism: Homo sapiens; assembly: GCF_000001405.40. NCBI lineage: Eukaryota > Metazoa > Chordata > Mammalia > Primates > Hominidae > Homo > Homo sapiens. Next base: position 32,163,793 of record NC_000010.11, on the reverse strand, counting down.
CTATTTGAGAGGCTGAGGTGGTGGGAGAATCTCTTCTGCCCTGGAGTTTGAGACCAGCATGGACAACATATTAATAGCAAGACTCCATCCCAAGAAAAAAAAAAAAAAAAGAATGGTGTTTAAATATTTACCAGAGGAAAATGAAAGAAGTGTATTCTTGATAAGACATGGACTCTACCTGACATGAAACGTTCCTCTGAGGACTGAGCCTTGTATCATTTTTACGTAACCTGAATGTCCGACATCCCTCCACCTGTGACCACAGGGGAGGTTGCACTTTATTTTGATGCTCAGCGTCCAACGTCACAACTGTCCACTGGCTTGAGCATAAGAAATAACTTTGCCTCAGATTCTCCCAGCCCCACTGCAGGATTTCTAGGGACCATAGTGCTTCCCATGTGCCCACACCCTCTTAGCTGCAGTTGCCACAAAGCATTTGCTGTCTCCTTCCCTTCCTTTAGGTCCACAGCTGCTGCCCACACCATTTCTGGGAGAAGCCTCACCATGACTTCTGCCCTCCCAAGAAGGCCATGAGTCGTTCCAGTCGTTCCAGTCATCCACAGCTGCTGCTCACACCATTTCAGGGAGAAGCCTCGCCACGACCCCTGCCCCCACAAGAAGGACATGAGTCGTTCCAGGCTGCCTTTGGGTTTCACCAAATTTCCAGTCCTGGGGGGCATTAGATTTGACTTGGCTTTTATGGAGAGGTGAGGCAAATGCCCACCCTTCAACTCTTCTATCCTGGACCACACTTTTAATGGCACAAACTGTTATTTTAGAACTGTCAGGAGTTCTTCCTATGGCTGGAGATAAAGTGTGTATCTCACCTTTGCGGAGGCTGGAAAGCTGCTGTAGGAGAGGGGAGAGCTGGGTTTTGCACCCTAGGGTAGAAGCTCTTTCTGGGATTGGGGCACACTGTCCTTCATTCTCACTGAGGAACCATTTTTGTCCCATTGTGGAAGGCTTGACCCAGGGAAGGAAATCAAATGAAGATGCTTCAGACTGAGATGCTAAAATTATTTTTCCATTATGTAAGCTGGATATATTTTTAGCAGCTCTGTAATTTTGCAGATATATTTTTTAAAGTATGTATGTTGTTTTTTGTTTGTCTCACTTTGTCACTCAGGATGGAGTGCAGTGGCACGATCTGGGCTCACTGCAACCTCTGCCACCCAGGTTGAGCGATTCTTCTGCCTCAGCCTCCTGAGTAGTTGGGACTACAGGCGTGAGCCACCATGCCCAGCTAATTTTTTGTATTTTTAGTAGAGACAGGGTTTCATCATGTTGGCCAGGGTGGTCTCGAACTCCTGAGCTCAAGTGATCTGCCAGCCTCGGCCTCCCAAGGTGCTGGGATTACAGGTGTGAGCCACCACGCCTGGACTAAAGTATGTATTTTGATTGGAATGTCCCTGAAAATTATTGGAATTTTTTGGGAAAGGGGTCTGTGTGTCGGTGGTGGTGGTGGGGATAGTGTATATGTGCGTGTGTATATGTGTGTGTATGTGTGTATGTATGTGCATGTGTGTGTGTGTGTGTTTTGCTCAGGTATTTGCTTCTGGGAGATCATAAGTCCAGAGCTGCTGAAATCCCACACATGATGTCACTTAAGAATAACAACTCAGACCAGGAGAAATATACTCTCAGGTCTTACAACCGCCTCACCTGGGCCATACAGAACCATATGACAATCTGTAGAAAGGAAGGGTTATTTCCCACCTTTGATTGACCTATGGTGGAAAAGGAGGCAGCCTTGCAGGTATGGAGCGGGGGCCCATGCTCTAGCAGGGGGCTTATACTCTGGAAAGAGTGATCCCTCGACGCCAGGGAGGCCGGGGGCTAAGCTGGGGACTTCCTAGCAGTGATATCAACACTGAATTTTGAGTTTTTGTTTTCCGCATTGTAATCCCTTTTAGTCTCAAGATATCAATAAAGTTGAGTCCTCAGAACAGCTTGGAGTTAGCAACACTTTGGAGCCAGGCCCATCCAGTGCTTGAGAGCACAGTCACATTACTGTCACCAGCTGGCAAGGAGTGGCAACAGAGGAGCAGCAAAGAGGAGCAATAGCCAGAAGGAATGCGTGCAGCATGTGCGGGCCCCTCACAGAGTCTCCGAAACATTCGGAGGGAGCCCATGCAGGTTGGACTGTCTGCAGAGAGGCAGACAGAGACCAGAGTGAGTTGGGTGGGAAGGTTGGCCACTCCCTGCCCACCATCACCAAGCCCAGGGAACTTGGGCGTCTTCAGTTAACCCCCTTTTTTTTGAGACAAGGTCTTTCTCTGTTGCCCACGCTGGAGTGCAGTGGCGTGATCATGGCTCACTACAGCCTCCAACTCCTGGGCTCAAGCTGTCCTCTGCCTCAGCCTCCCAAGTAGCTAGGCCTACAGGTGTGTGCCACCATGCCCTGCTAATTTTTTAATTTTTTGTAGAGACAGGGTCTCGTATGCTGCACAGGTTGGTCTTGAATTCCTGGCTTCAAGTGATCCTCCTGTCTCGGCCTCCCAAAGTACTGGGATTACAGGCATGAGGCGCTGTGCCTAGCCCACCCCTCTTTCTTTGAGTTTCAAAACAGCTCTACTCTGCCTAGCATCCTACAGAGCCCTCAAGTCCTGTTTCATCATCTTCTGGCCATCACCCGTTGCCATGAATCTCACAAGAATCAATTGCATCTATTTCTAGCCCTCTGAGCCCAGTCCAAGGGCCCACAAAGGGAATGATTGCAATGCCTGACTCTTTCTTCCCCTCTACTCTCTACCCTCCCATGGGCTTACTCAAAACTCCTCCTTCCTCTCCTGGTTACAGAACAAAAGTTTTTGTGCACATAAATGGGCTGACATAGAGCCAGCTGTGGCCTAGCTCAGCCAGCTCAGAATGTTCTATTGCACTTATTCCTGGCTCTCAGATGGAATCTCCTCGATGGTATCAGGTGGAATTGTTAGGGCAGCTTGCCCTTCATCACCTTTCAATAGGGCACACCTTTCTGCCTAGGATATGTGCAGGAAGACAAGGCCCTTCTGTGGCATTTTTTGAGGCATATCACAGGGACCCACTCCGTCCATCATCTGTCCCAGTATGTGAATATTCCCCTCCTCAGTCACTCCTCATCTAAGTACCAGGCAGCTGTTGCCCAGTGTGTCCAGACCACTCGCAGCACTGGGGCATCCCACCTCCACTGCCCCGGAATCCTGAGAGCAGTCAAACGCTGGTCTCCAGATTCCTGCCGCGCTGCTTTAAATGCAAGTTCCCAGCTCTTCCCTCTCCTCCCATCCTCTTATTCCATGATGCTTTGCATTTTCTCCCCAACCATCCTTGCTGTTTCCTTGTTTTTCTATCACAAATAAATTCCATCATGTTTCTAACTATTAACTCATTTTATTCAATCAACAATATAAGCCAGGCGCAGTGGCTCACGCCTGTAATCCCAGCACTTTGGGAGGCTGAGGCAGGCGGATCACTTAAGGCCAGGAGTTCAAGATCAGCCTGACCAACATGATGAAACCCCATCTCTACTAAAAATACAAAAAATTAGCTGGTCATGGTGGCACATACTATAATCCCAGCTACTCAGGAGGCTGAAGGACAAGAATCGCTTGAACCTGGGAAGTTGAGGCTGCAGTGAGCCGAGATTGCATCACTGCACCTCAGTCTGGGTGACAGAGTGAGACTCTGTCTAAAAAAAAAAAAAAAAAAAAAATCAGGCTGGGCACTGTGGCTCATGCCTGTAATCCCAGCATTTTGGGAGGCCAAGGCGGGCAGATCACGAGGTCAGGAGTTCGAGACCAGCCTGACCAACATGCGGAAACCCCGTCTCTACTAAAGATACAAAAAGTTAGCTGGGCGTGGTAGCGCACACCTGTAATCCCAACTACTCAGGAGGCTGAGGCAGGAAAATCGCTTGAACCCGGGAGGCAGAGGTTGTAGTGAGCCAAGATTGCACCACTGCACTCCAGCCTGGGTGACAGAGTGAGACTCTGTTTAAAAAAAAAAATCAATATTTATTTTAAAGGTAAGTAATGCACTAGGTATTGTTCTATGCATTGAGAACACAGCGATGAATAATATAAACAGGTGTCTGCTCAGGTGCTTACAGTGTAGTAAAGGACAAATAAAAACAAATGAGTAAACAGAAACACATAAATAAAGTACATCCTTTCCATGGTGACAAGTACCTTGATAATGGAATGGTGTGCCAGAGGCACAGAACAGGTGCGTCTTTAGATAATATGATGGGAGAGGCTCTATCCGAGAATGCCAGTTTGCTAAAGGTCTGAATGACGGGAAGAGCCCAGCCACAGGGCAGTTCCAGGTTGAAGAACAACTCTCTAGATGGGTAACACTATAAACTCATGATCGCCGCCCTGGGATGTGTGCATAGAACATCCCGGCAATCCTCTCAGGTATTTGGTCAGGCTCCCTCACCTGCGTTGCTCATTGGCTGTTCCAAAACTTTTCCACCCTATTCAAGGCCATATCTCATTCCTGCCTTCTTCTTGCTCAACAACTGAGTCTGCCTTTTACTTCACAGAGAAACTTGAGTGTGTCGGGGAACTTCATTCACGTCCCACCTCCCCATACCTGCAGGTTCACTACAAATCCATATGTTCTTTTCCTTCCCATCTCAGAAGCGTCCCTTCATCTCCATATTCTCATGTTCCACATTCACCTCTTCCCATCTCCTCAAGGCTGTGACCGGCCCTCTCCTATAATTCCAACTTAGGGCCGGGCGCGGTGGCGCACGCCTGTAATCCCAGCACTTTGGGAGGCCAAGGCAGGTGGATCACCTGAGGTCGGGAGTTTGAGACCAGCCTGGCCAACATGGCATCTCTACTAAAAATACAAAAATTGGCTGGGCATGGTAGTGTGCACCTGTAATCCCAGCTACTTGGGAGGCTGAGGCAGAAGAATCATTTGAACCCAGGAGGCAGAGGTGGCAGTGAGCTGAGATCACGCCACTGCACTCCAGCCTGGGCGACAGAGTGAGACTCTGTCTCAAAAAAAGAAAAAGAAAAAGAAAAAGAATTTCAACTTCTTTTGTGTTGTCATCTTCCATTCAGCATAGAAGAAATGCTCATATCTCCCTTAACAGAAATGCTTTCTTCACTCTCACAAACTGCTAGTGGTCATTTAAGTTGGCTAATATAAAAGTCACAGTAATATCAAGCTATTCAACAAGCATTTTGCATTACATTTCAAAGGTCTTAGACTTTTGCCTAAATTTTGATTTACGAATTCTACTTCTAGAATTTATCATGATTGTGCTCTAAGTCGTAGTGACAAAGAGGGTCATGCTAGTGCTGTTTATAATACTGAAAAGCTATAAAACCATTATGTTCAATAAATAGGAGAAATTATTTAAATAAAATATGTACGTATGGCCGGGTGCGGTGGCTCACGCTTGTAATTCCAGCACTTTGGGAGGCCGAGGTGTGTGGATCACCTGAGATCAGGAGTTCAAGACCAGCCTGGCTAACATGGTGAAACTCTGTTTCTACTAAAAGTACAAAAACTTAGCCAGGCATGGTTGTGTGAGCCTCTAATCCCAGCTCCTCGGGAGGCTGAGGCAGGAGAATTGCTTGAACCCGGGAGGCAGAAATTGCAGTGAGCCATGATCACGCCATTGCACTCTAGCTTGGGCAACAAGAGTAAGAAAACTCTGTCTCAAAAAAAAAAAAGTAGGTATATAATAGAGCACTATCTGCTGCCATTAAACATGCTGTTGTAGGAAAGACAATTATGACATGAAAAATTATTCACGATTTATAAAAACACAAAATGTAGTCAACAAAATGATATGAATACCGTGATACCATTTAAAAAGTATATTTCTGCTTTTAAAAAGACTATAAGTATATTGTGTATACCAAAATGTTAACAGCGATTATCTAGGGGGAGAAGACATTATATAAGGTAGCTTATACTTTCATGCTTAACTGTATATAGTACTCTACATTTTTATTGTTGTTGTTCTTGTTCTTGTTTTGTTTTGTTTTGTTTTTGAGACGTAGTTTCACTCTTCTCTTGCCCAGGCCAGAGTGCAATGGCACAGTCTTGGCTCACTGCAACCTCCGCCTCCCAGGTTCAAGTGATTATCTTGTCTCAGCTTCCTGAGTAGCTGGGATTACAGGTGCCTGCCACCACACCTGGCTGATTTTTTTGTATTTTTAGTAGAGATGGGGTTTCACCATGTTGGCCAGCCTGGTCTTGAACTCCTGACCTCAGGTGATCTGCCCGCCTTGGCCTCCCAAAGTGCTGGGATTACAGACATGAGCCACCGTGCCCAGCCTGTTGTTGTTTTTTGAGATAGGGTCTTGCTCTGTTGCCCAGGCTAGAGTGCAGTGGGGTGATAATGGCTCACTGCCACCTTAGTCTCCTGGGCTCAGGTAATCCTCCCACCTCAACCTCCCAAAAGGTTGGGACTATAAACATGCATCACTATACCTGGCTAATTTTTTTTATTTTTTTACTTTTTGTAGAGATAGGTTCTCACTAAGTTGCCTAGACTGGCCCTTCTGAACTCTTGGGTTCAAGCAATCCTCCTACCTCAGCCTCCCAAAGTGCTAGGATTACAAGCACGAGCCACTGCACCTGGCCAGTATTCTAAATTTTCTATTGTAAGATTATACGGCTTAGTAATGAGAATAAATTATTTTTATATTTCTTCTTTGTTCTTGAGTATTGTTCACTTTTCTTTTTTCAGGAATAAACTCCTTCAAAGCTTAAATGGTCCCAGACAACCCTTTCTCCCTCATTCCTCCAATTCTACACAAATTAATCTTTTTTTTTTTTACATTGGGTAAAATCTAAGCCATCACCTTTCTCTATTTTTTCTTTCTTTCTTTTTTTTTTTTTGAGATGAAGTCTCGCTTTGTTGCCCAGGCTGCAGTGTAGTGGCGCGATCTCGGCTCACTGCAGCCTCTGCCTCTTGTGTTCCAGGGATTCTCCTTCCTCAGCCTCCCAGGTAGCTGGGATTACAGGCACACACCACCACACCCAGCTAATTTTTGTATTTTTAGTAGAGACAGGGTTTCACCATGTTGGCCAGGCTGGTCTCAAACTCCTAACCTCAGGTGATCCACCTACCTCGACCTTCCAAAGTGCTAGCATTACAGATGTGAGCCACCATGTCCAGCCTATTTTTTCTTTATTTTTTTATTATTTTGGGAGAGAATTTTGCTCTGTCACCCAGGCTAGAGTGCAGTGGCCTGATCATGGCTCACTGTAAGCTGGAACTCCTGGGCTCAAGGGATCCTTCCACCTCATCTTCCCAAGTAGCTGGGACTGTAGGCATGAGCCACCATACCTGGCTAATTTTTAAAGTTTTTGTAGAGATGATGTCTCGCTATATTGCCCAGGCTGGTCTCAAACTCCTGGCCTCAAGTGATCCTCCCACCAAAGCCTCCCAAAGTATTGGAATTACAGCCGTGAGCCATTGCATCACCTGTCTTTCAAGATGTCTGTTCCATTTGCCTTCTCTCTCAGTAAATGACCTTGCCTCTTACTTCACAGAGAAAATTAAAACTAACAGGTGAGAATTCTTTTACCTTTCATGCATCCTATAGAGTGCTGGAAGCTAGTGGTACAAAGATTAAAGAGCATAGCCTCCGGAGCTTTCCATCCTGTGAGCTTTGGGGATTTGTTTGGACATCGGGAAAGAGATTTTCCCCCAGCCAGCATACATTACACTAATATTTACTGAAGACTTAATGTATAACCTGTTTGGCCAGATCTAAGGATAAGTTTGAATTATATGATTGAAGATGTCTAAAAGTCATAGCAATAAAATTTAGCAGAGATACATGGAAAAGTTTGTATACAAATGAGAATCCCTAAGACAGCACAGCTTGTGATTGAATTCTAGCTTGTCACTTGTTACGAAAGTTTACTACTGCATCCTTCCTTTGGATGCACTCATATAACAAATACACCAGCAAATCTGAGTGTAGTCTGTGTTCTGTGAAGGCATACAGAGATGGGCACAAACATAATAAGATCACTATGACGATGGAAGTAGAAATAGAGTTCAGTAATCAACCAGAAGAAGACCCTAAGGGAAGCCTCCATGGAGAAGATGAGATTTGAGCTGGAACTTGAAAGACATCTGCCACCATTTATTTATGTATATCCTTGCATGTTCCAGAAGGAGTTAATATAGTTTCAAAAACAAATGCAAGATGTTGACTTCCAGAAAAAAAAGGAGCAGATGCACTTTTCCCTATTCATCTCACCAAGTGCAACTAAAACCCTGGACCTCACATATAAAACACACAAAGACTCTGAAAGGTGGAGGGAAGAAATTAGCCTGACGAGGGACCTCAGAACCTGAAGAACAACAATAGTGAGTTTCCTGGGTTTTCTTTCTGACTCATATTCCCCATTCTGGATGCCAGAGAAGCTGGTAACACAGAAACACCAATAGGAACAAAAATCAGAAACAAAACAAAACTCAAGAAAAATCTGCTCTTTCTAGCCAAAGGAAGAGAAAAGGGGTAGCCTGGCAAGAAGGAAATCTTTTAGATAAACAACCACTCTACTCCAGCCAAACATCACAGATAAAGCTGTGGCTCCACTCTCACTCCCACCGGCAAAGGCTGACTGGAGGGTTCAGAATGCTACTGTTGCCAAAAGCTTGCAGTGATGAGACAGACACCACTGGGGTTGTGTCAGAGGAAGCCTAGTGGAGAGTCAAGACTTTCATCCCTGCCCAGGGTAAGGAAGTGACCTCCCATGGCCTCAGTAGGGGCCATGTGGGGAGCAGTAACAAGGCACCCCTGTGCCCCCCATCTAGGATAATCAGTGGAGGCCTAGTAGGGGGGCTGAGCTTCCACCCCTACTTATCAAAAACAAGGAGGTGTCCCAGGCATCAGTGAAGGCAGAATGGGTATCCTGGGGTCAACACCTACCTAGCAGTAATGAGTAGAGCAATGTGAGAGGAGGTCTGTTCAACAGAAGATTTAAATAAGAGACACAATGTCTAACATAATACCCCAAATGTCTATGTTTCAACAGAAAATCACTCATCATACCAAGAACCAGGAAAATATCAACTGGAATGAGAAAAGATAACCAGGATACACCAACACCAAGATGGCACAGATGTTAGAATTATCTGACAAGGATTTTAAAATAGCCATTATAAAAATGCTTTAGGCCAGGCACAGTGGTTCACGCCTGTAATCCCAGCACTTTGGGAGGCCGAGGCAGGTGGATCACCTGAGGTCAGGAGTTTGAGACCAGCCTGGCCAAGATGGTGAAACCCTGTCTCTACTAAAAATACAAAAATTAGCTGGGTATGGTGATAGGTCCCTGTAATCCCAGCTACTCAGGAGGCTGAGGCAGGAGCATTGCCTGAACCAGGGAGATGGAGGTTGCAATGAACCCAGATCATGCCATTGCACTCCAGCCTGGGTGACAAGGGCGAAACTCCATCTAAAAAAAAAAATGCTTTAATGAGGCCAGGCATGGTGTCTCATGCCTGTAGTCCCAGTGCTTTGGGAGCCTGAGGCAGGAGGATCACTTGAGGATAGGTGTTCAAGACCAGCCTGGGCAACATAGTAAGACCTTGCATCTACAAAAAATAAAACTAAAAAATTTAGTTGGGTGGCGACATGTGCCTGCACTCCCAGCTACTTGGGAGGGTGAAGTGGGAGGATCTCTTGCACTTAGGAATCCAAGGCTGCAATGAGCTATGATTGCACCACTGCACTCCAACTTAGGCAACAGAGTGGAGTGCAGTGGTGCAATCATAGTCTCTTAATAAAAAAGAAAAAAGCTTCAGTGATCAATTATGAACATACTTGAACCAAATGGAAAAAAATATAAATCTGACCAAAGAAATAAAAGCTATAAAAAAAACTCAAGTCAAAAATTTTGAACTGAAAATACAATAAACAAGTGAAAAACTCAATGGATGGGTTCAATAGCAAAACAGAGAAAATAGGCTGGAAAAAGAAAAGAAGAGATCATTAGAGACCTGTAGAAAATTATCAAAATATTTGTGTCATCAAAGTCCCAGGAGAGGAGAAAGGGGACAGGAAGTACTAGAAAAGTATTTGAAGAAATAATGGCTGAAATTTCCCCAAATTAGGCAAGATACATAAACCTAAAGGTTCAGGAAACCTAGAGAATCTCAAACAGGATAAAGCCAAAGAATCCATACCAGGACACGTCACAGTCAAATTCTGAAAACTAAAGAAAAACGAAAATATTTTAAAGCAACATGAGAGAAATACACCTTATGTATAAGGGAAAAACAATTCCAGTGGCAGCAGATTTCTCATCAGAAACCATGAGGCCAGAAGGAATTGGCACAGCATTTTTCAAGTTCCGAAAGAAAAGAATTGTCAACCCAGAATTCTATATCCAGTTAATATCGTCTTCAGAAATGAAAGGGAAATCAAGACATCCTCATATGAAACAAAACTAAGAGAATTTGTCACTAGTAGACCTGCTTTGAAAGAATGGCTAAAGAAAGTTCTCTTAAGAGAAAAGAAGTAATAAAAGAAAAAATATTGGAATATCAGAAAAGAAAATAATAACAACAAAAGTGAAAATAGGAGTAAATACAATAGACTTTCCTTCTCTTCTGGAGTTTTCTAAATTGTGTTTGATAGTTAAAGTGAAAATTATAACAATGTCAGATGTGGTTCCAATGCATGAAGAGGAAATAATTAAGACAATTATCCAATAATGGGGAGGTTAAAGGAATGTAAAGGGAGGTAAGGTTTGTACACTTCATTCAAACTAGTAAAATGTTGACACTAGAAGACTATGATAATGAGTAGTACAAGTGACATTTTTGTAGTAATGGAAAAGTCCTTTGTTTTGATTGCAATGCTAGTTACATGAATCTGATGTGGTAAAACAACAGAGAACCACACACACATACACACACATGCACACACACACATTGTCCCAATGTTAATTTCCTGTTTTTGATATTGTACTATAGTTACAAAAGATGTAGTTATTGAAGGAAATTGGGTGAAGGCTACACAGACTTCTCTGTACTATCTTTACAACTTCCTATGAATTTATAATTATTTTTAAGTAAAGATTTTTTTATAAAGTGAATGTAGTACACCTCGTTAAAATATGAATGGAAGGCAGTAGATGTTCCTAAAAATGAGGTTTTATATATATATATATATATATTTTTTTTTTTTTTTTTTTTTGAGACGAAGTTTTGCTCTTGTTGCCCAGGCCAGAGTGCAATGGTGCGATTTCGGCTCACTGCAACCTCTGCCTCCCGGGTTCAAACGATTCTCCTGCCTCAGCCTCCCGAGTAGCTGGGATTACAGGCATGCACCACCACGCCCGACTAACTTTGTATTTTTAGTAGAGATGGGGTTTCACTGTATTAGCCAGGCTGGTCTCAAACTCCTGACCTCATGATCTGCCCGCCTTAGCCTCCCAAAGTGCTGGGATTACAGGCATGAGTCACTGTGCCCAGCCGAGGTTATTTCTTAATCAGGACTTTTTTAGTTGCAAGTGGCAGACACCTGAATCAAACCACTTCAACCAGAAATTTATTAACACACATTAACTTCATCACTTAGTTTTGCTTCTGTCTGTGGACTCGTTTCACTTTATGCTGCAGCAGCCAAGCCTCCTCCAAGGAACATGACTAAGGATTAGCAATCTGAGAGCTTAAGATCCAAGAACAAGGGAGTCTCTCTATCCTTCCTAGCATGCAAATGTAACATTGGAGACCTCCAAATGTCTCCACAAGTTGGAGAACACTCCAATTTGCCTGGCTTGGTCACATGCCTATCCCTGGGCCAATCGCTATGGCCTGGAGGTAGAATGTTGTGAGTGACAGCCCTTCCCCTTGCTCCACCCACAAAATGGAATTGGGAAGGAAATGCTGTAATAGAAGAGGGAAGGGATGTTGGCCAGCAAATACACTGAAGTCCACTCCAGAGCCTCCAGTGTCCTGCAGGGATTACAGAAGTAAGAGAATAATGAGAGTCCCTCTTACAAATGGAATCATACGGCATTCTTTTTTTTGTGACTGGCTTATTTCACTTAGCATAATGTCCTCAAACTTCATTCATGTAGTAGCATGTGACAGAATTGCCTTCTTTTCAAGGCTGAGTAATATTTCATTGCATGGATGTGTCACATTTTGCTTAGCCATTCATCCATGGATGGACACTTGGGTTGCTTCCACATTTTATCTATTGTGAATAATGTTGCTATGAACATAGTTGTACAAGAATGTTAGGATTTTAAAAGGAGAGAAAGATCACAAAAGAACATAAAACATCCCATAAGGCCATAAGCAGTGGCTCACGCCTATACCTTCACAGCACTTTGGGAGGCCAAGGCAGAAGGACTGAGACCAGCCTGGCCAACGTGGTGAAACCCCTTCTCTACAAGAAGTATAAAAATTAGCCAGGCATGGTGGTGCATGCCTATAGTCCCAGCCACTTGCGGGGTTGAGACGGGAGGATCTCTTGAGTCCGGGAGATCGAGGCTGCAGTGAACCTGCACCGCTGCACTCCAGCCTGGGCGACAAAGTGAGACCCTGCCTAAAAAAAAAAAAAAAAAAAGAGAAAGAGAGAGAGAGAGATAGGAGTGTAAATAAGAGAAATGAGAGGGGAAGCAGCTGAGCTGGCCAATCATATCTCCTGGGCAAAGCCATTCCAGGTCCTGTGGGTGAACCAACACAGCTTCCAGGATGTATTTGAAATAAGAGTCAAAAGAGCTTCTGAAACTTCGAAAAGCTTTTGTGAAAATTCAAATTCTTGTGTTGAATTCAGAACCCCAGCAGGTTGTAGGCATATGGTAAACATGAGTGATTTAACTTCTAGTTAGAGGAAAAACAAGGTAAAAACCACAGGAAATTGTTTTTACTTCACGGATCCATTTCAGATAAGATAAGGCTGAATGAGGGAGCAAACTTAGAAATCAGATAAGGAGTCAAAAACAACAACAGGAATAAACCGAAGGGAAGGGCATGATGTCATGCAAGCTTTCTGTCATTCAAGAGAACATTTTGAAGGTCATCATCTGGTGTTAGTTGGAGTTTAATTTTTGCTTCTCACAGCAACTTGTATCAGAGAAAGAAAATGCTTCTGCACGCAGATCCCACAGTCCTCGGTGAGGAGGTTAGGCTGTGCTGTCTCTAGCGAGCAATACTCCTGTTAAGTGACTTGGTAAGCTGGGCGCAGTGGCATGTGCCTGTAGTACCAGCTACTTGGGAGGCGGAGGCAGGAGGATCACTTGATCCCAGGAGTTTGAGTCCAGCCTGGATACATAGCAAGACTCTGTCTAAAAAACAACAACGGCTGAGCGTGGTGGCTCACGCCTGTAATCCCAGCACTTCGGGAGGCTGAGGCCAGTGGATCCACTTGAGGTCAGGAGTTTGAGACCAGCCTGGCCAACATGGTAAAACCCCGTCTCTAATTAAAAAAAACCCAAACAAACAAACAAACAAACAAAACACAAAAATTAGTCGGGCGTGGTGGCGCACAGCTGTAATCCCAGCTGCTCAGGAGGCTGAGGCAGGAGAATCTCCTGAACCTGGGAGGTGGAGGTTGTAGTGAGCTGAGATCATGCCACTGTACTCTAGCCAGGGCAACAGAGTGAGACTCTGTCTCAAAATAAATAAATAAATAAAAACAACAACAACAAAAAAAAACACAAAAAGACTTAGTGGAATGGTTCTGCATGCTTCCTCAAATCTCCCAGGTGTGCCGGGCGTTATTGTTGACAGGTAGCTATTAAGCACCTCATCTATAAGAAATAAAAACAATAATGAGCAGGACCAAGGACTTCTCTTCATTTTTGTTTTTTGGTTTTGTTTCACTCTGATACTCTGTTTACAAATACAAGCATAAATGAAAATTGCCTGCATTTGTTGTGTAGCTACAGGACATCTTGCTAAAACTTTTGATCTCATTGCATCACCACAACAATCCTAGGAAGTGAGTGATATTATTATTGCCACCTACAGAGGAGGGCAGTGAGGTATGGATTCATGTGCAAGCACAGGCCTGACTCCAAAGGCTGCATTCTTAACTTCTTCCTCAAGGCTTTCTGCTGAAGAGGAAGCTTAGCTATTTTCTCCAAATACAAGGGAATCTGCTTTATTGCCTGTACACAATTGGCACTTTTTTGGGGTGGGAGGATAAGTTAAAGAGACCTTTGCATGAAGTTGTGATGTTCCCTACCAAATGTAAGTTAAAGTTCCCAATGACTTGCTGTTGGTTGTCAAAACAGAGATTAACAGTCTGAGTCATGGAGTCATTTATTTCAAATTTGGCTTCTGCGCCCATTGTGAAGTAATTTAAAAAATGGGCCACGGGCATGGGAATGGCTTGAGTGACGTCACAATTGGGCAATGTGATCCCACCCTGGGAGGCTGAGACCTAGATTCAAATGGAGTACTCGCCTGTCTGTCCCTTCTCTGCTACGGTTCAGGTTAGATGAGCTGCTCCCGTTGGTGGTTTTTATCTCTTAGCTACACAGCTGCCTGTAGCACTCTCGTCTTTCAGAATGAGTTGCCAACTTTCCATTCTGGCCGTCAGAATTAAAACAAAGAATCATCCTCCAAAGTCATCCAGGCCGGTTAGTTTTTTTCTCTCTCTCCCTTTTGGCATTGGTGTTTTAAATGGAAATCTGATTCACCTGTCACCAAAACACACAAGAGAGCGCTGTATCAGAGGTGCTGGACAAAATTTGTCTCCTGGTATCCTATTCAGGGGTGAGCACCCCACCTGCTGAAAAGGGAGCCTCAGAGAGAGGCCAGAGAGGCAGTTCCTCGGCAGGGGGTGGGGAGGTGGGTGGGTGGAATATCTCTGAGACCCCAAGGGAACATTTTTTTTTTTTTTGAGACAGGGTCTTGCTCTGTTGCCCAGGCTGGAATGCGATGGTGTGATTGCAACTCACACTGCAATCTCAGCCTCCCAGAGTTAAAGGCTGGGTGCAGTGGCTCACACCTGTAATCCCAGCACTTTGGAAGGCCGAGGTGGGTGGATCACCTGAGCTCAGGAGTTTGAGACCAGCGTGGCCAACATGGTGAAACCCCATATCTACTAAAAATACAAAAATTAGCCAGGCATGGTGGCGTGTGCCTGTAATCCCAGCTACCAGGGGGCTGAGGCAGGAGGATCGCTTGAACCTGGCAGGCGGAGGTTGCAGTGAGCCAAGATCGTGCCACTGCACTCCAGCCTGGGCAACAGGGCGAGACTCCATCTCAAAAAAGAAAACACAAAAAACAAACAAACAAAAAAAACCTCCCAGAGTCAAGTGATCCTCCCACCTCAGCCTCCTGAGTAGCTGGAACTACAGGCATGTACCACCACAATCAGCTAACTTATTTTTCAAGTTTTTTGTAGAAACAAGGTCTCCCTACATTGCCCAGGCTGGCCTCAAACTCCTGGCCTCAAGCGATCTTCCCACGTCAGCCTCTCAAAGTGCTAGGATTACCAGCCAAAGGGGACATTCTTGACCAGACGATGTCCCGAAGCACGGGAGTACTGGGCCATGTCAGTTCCGTGAGATTCGTCCTCTCTAGAATGAAACTGAGAGGATCAAGTGATATTAAATATAACAATATTAAGATTCAAAAAGTCTTTACCATTGCTCCAACAATCCCACTACTGGGTATCTACTCAAAAGGAAAGAAATCATTGTATCAAAAAGAATCTACCCCACTCATATGTTTATGGCAGCACTATTCATAGTAGCAAAAATATGTAATCAACCTAAGTGTCCATCAACATAGGATAAAGAAAATGTGGTATGTATACAGTATGGAATACTACTCAGACATAAAAAGGAATGAACTCATGACATTTACTGCACCATGGATGGAACTGGAAGCCATTATCCTAAGTGAAATCACTCAGAAACAGAAAGTCAAATACTGCACGTTCTCACTTAGAAGGGGGAGCAAAGCAATGGGTACCTGTGGACATACAGATGGAATATTAGACACCAGAGACTCCAAAGTGTGGGAAGGTGGGAAAGGGTGAGGGTCAAAAAATTACCTGTTGGGTACAATGTTCACAATTCAAGTAATGGGTTCACCAAAAGCCCAGACTTCACCACTATGCAATATATGCTTGTAAGAAATCTGCACTTCTATCCCCTAAATTAAAAAAAAAAAAAAAAGAGGCTGGGTGTGGTAGCTCAAACCTGTAATCCCAGCACTTTGCGAGGCTGAGGTGGAGGGAATCACTTGAGGTCAGGAGACCAGCTTGGCCAACATGGTTCAACTCTGTCTCACAAAAATACAAAAATTAGCTGGGCATGGTGGCAGGCACTTGTAATCCCAGCTACTTGGGAGGCTGAGGGAGGAGCATAGCTTGAACTCAGGAGGCGGAAGTTGCAGTGAGCCGAGATCATGCCACTGCACTCCAGCCTGGGCAACAGAGCAAGACTCCAACTCAAAAAAAAAAAAAAAAAAGAACATAGGTTGAATCAGTGGGTGCACGTGGACACACAGTGTGGAATAACAGACACTGGAGACTGTAAAACATGGGAGAGTGGGAGGGGGTGAGGGCTGAAAATTACCTATTGGGTGCAATGTTCACTATTTGGGTGATAGGTACCCTGAAAGCCCTGGCTTTACCACTACGCAATAGATGCATGTAAGAAACCTGCACTTGTAGGCCCTAACACTATAAAAATAAGCAAAAAAGAATACAGGTTTAAAGATGTAGGCACCCCCTGCTGACAAAAAAATCCCCACTGAAGTGTAAGCATCTGACCTAAGATCCTTTTCTGATATCAGATTTGGTGGTGGCAGGAACAAAAGGGCACCAATCCCAGAAGGGGGAGGCTAGATCAACTTTAGGTCACGACTTACTACTTTCCTGGTAAGTTTTACTTGCTCTAGAATACTCTAGTCTTAATATCTGCTCCCTTTAGGGTTATCAGTCTTGAAAAAAAAATGAAACATTTTTCAGTGTAAGTATGTCCCATGCAATATTTGGGACACACTAATATATCATTTGTTTTTCCATTGCTTTTTTTTTTTTTTTTTTTGGAGACAGTCTCACTCTGTTGCCCAGGCTGGAGTGCCATGGCATGATCTTGGCTCACTGCAACCTCCACCTTCTGGGTTCAAGCGATTCTCCTGCCTCAGCCTCTGGAGTAGCTGGGATTATGGGCACCTACCACCACGTCCAACTAATTTTTGTATTTTTAGTAGAGATGGGGTTTCACTATGTTGGCCAGGCTGGTCTCAAACTCCTGACCTCAGGCAATCCTCCTGCCTCAGCCTCCCAAAGTGCTGGGATTACAGGTGTTAGCCACTGCACTCAGCCTGAAATTCATATTTAACTGGGCATCCTGTATCTCACCTGGCAACCTTAGTTCTTTGATCTGAGAGTTTTCCACGGGGTATCTCACAGACAGAAGGGATGGGATGCCATCATCAAGCATCCCGACGTCAGAGAATGGGCCCAATGCCTTCCTATCCTGGCAGCTTAATATGAACTTGGAGCTGCACTCAGGAATGTCTGGACTGGGCATTAAAAGAACAGTTTTCACAGAGGACTCAAAAGGGACAATTGATGGTGGGAGTGGTGGCCAGGTCTGAGAGTGGTCATGACAGGATGGTGAGGAGGAGTGGGCAGGATGGAGCTTATGCTGAGCATTTGGTCATGCGTATTTGTTTTTCTGTTGCTACCATGGCAAATGACTGCCAAGTCAGTGACTTAAAACAACACCCATTTATTATCCCACAATTTCTGTGGGCCCTACATCCAGGTAGGCATGTCCAGGTCATGGGATTGAAATTCTGCCTCCCACAACAGGCTTTGGAAATTGACAATTCACTCTGGCTGGCCAGGGTTGGACAACCTCTCAAAGCAGAAGAGCAACTTCCTGTCATATCTGAGGCTACAACTGTTCATGTAGCCACTTAGGGTCCAGTGTGATATAACCAGGGTAGAGCCCAAAGAACTTTATTCTGGTTCCAGCTCTGCAGCCGCCACAAGAAAGAAACTTAGACAAGTATTTAAAGTCTCTGGCTGGCCTACTGTGGGAGGCCACGGTGGCTTACACCTGTAATTCCAACAGTTTGGGAGGCTGAGGCAGGGAAAATCCCTTGTGGCCAGGAGTTCAAGACCAGCCTGGGCAACATAGAAAGACCCTGTCTGTACAAAAAAAAATTTTTTTATTAGCTGGGCAAGGTGGCCTGTGCCTGTGGTCCCAGCTGCTCAGGAGGCTGAGATGGGAGGATTGCTTGAGCCCAGGAGTTCAAGGTTGTAGTAAGCAATGATTGTGCTACTGCACTCTGGTCTGGGCAACAGAGCAAGACCCTGTCCCCTCCAAAATAAATAAATAAATAAATAAATAAATAAATAAATAAATAAAGTAAGTAAGTAAGTCTCTGGGTACTTTATCTGTCAGATGTAGCATCCTGGAGGAGGAGTCTGGCTTCTGGTCAAATACCTACGTGTATGTGTTTTTTTTTCTGGCCCAACCCTAGGCAGTTACCTAGGCTTTACCTGGCAGGCCTCCCTGGGAAAAGCTGTCCTCCCCGCACCAGGCATGGTGCACAGCCAGGGCATTGCAAAGGGAGCTGCAGTCGAGGGCTCAGGCCCCGCTGGCCAGCTGTGCTCCTATACATAGCTGTGTTCCTAGCCCAGGTGCCCCTTCCTCAGGCCAAGACCTCTTATCGGGGGAGAGAGGAAAACTATGAAGAAACTTTTTGTCTACCCTGATGGTATTCGGTACTTTTCCACTCAGAGTCTTTGTCCCAGATTCCCTCTCCCCACCCCAGTCCCCCAGGACCATAAAACTGCAGGAGCCCTTTGCTCTGGGCTCCCTCAGTAGCGAGACACCTCCCCTGTGTGCCGTCTCTGCACTGACAGTGCACAAGCCAATGCTCTACGCTGTTCCACAGGGGGAGATGGAACCAGGGGCACTGGTGTTTTCTTCCACTTAGCATCTTGCTTACACTATTGTGGTAAGTGAATAAAGGGTGGACTCTCGCTTTATTTGGTTTATTTATTTATTTGACAAGGTCTTGCTCTATCACCCAGGCTGGAGTGCAGTGGCACAATCACAGCTCACTGCAACCTCAACCTTCCGGGCTCAAGTGATCCTCCCGTCTCAGCCTCCTGAGTAGCTGGGACTACAGGTGCTTGTCACCACACCTGGCTAATTTTTAATTTTTTTTTTTGTAGAGACAGAGTCTTGCTATGCTGCCCAGGGTGGTCTTGAACTCCTGGCCTCAGGCAGTCTCCTTGTCTCATACTCTCAAAGTCCTGGGATTACAGACATGAGCCATTGCACCCAGCCAAAGGGAATATTCTTGACCAGATGGTGTCCTGAAGTGCAGGAGTGCCAAGCCCTGTCACCACCACACCCAGCTAATTTATTTATTTATTTTTATTTTTAGTAGAGATGAGGTCTCACTATGTTGCCCAGGCTGGTCTAAAACCTCTGGCCTCAAGTGATCCTCCCGTCTTGGCCTCTCAAAAGGCTGGGATTTCTAGGCATGAGCCACCGCCCCAGCTTGATGTCCTAAAGCATGAGTGCACAATGACCCCATGAATGCAATGCCCCTCAAAACCGCTGGTTCTTTAATGAGGCCATTTAAGAATTAGAGTTCTGGCTGGGTGCAGTGGCTCACGCCTGTAATTTCAGCCCTTCAGGAGGCCGAGGCAGGTGGATCATCTGAGGTCAGGAGTTCGAGACCAGCCTGACCAACATGAAGAAACCCTGTCTCTATGAAAAATACAAAACTAGCCAGGCGTGGTGGTGCATGCCTGTAATCTCAGCTACTTGGGAGGCTGAGGCAGGAGAATAGCTTGAACCCGGGAGGCGGAGGTTACAGTGAGCCGAGATCGCACCATTGCACTCCAGCCTGGGCAACAAGAGTGAAACTCCATCTCAAAAAAAAAAAAAAAAAAAAAAGAATCAGAGTTCTAGCCTGTCACGGTGGCTCACGCCTGTAATCCCAACACTTTGGGAGGCCAAGGCAGGAGGATCGCCAGAAGTTCAAGATCAGCAACATGATGAGACCCCATCTCTATAAAAAATACAAAAAGTAGCCAAATGTGGTGGTACATTCTTATAGTTCCAGCTACTTGGGAGACTGAGGTGGGAGGATCACTTGAGCCCAAGAGTTCGAGGCTGCGGGTGAGCCACTGCACCTGGCCAAGACTCTCACTTTCATTTCAGTTTGCTGTCTTAATCGGCAGCCCCCGGCAGTTCAGCCCTCTCCAGCTCAGCAGAGCTCTTGACAACACTGCCCAGACTAGTTGCCCTAGTAGTGTCATGAGTTACAAGGCTCATTCATTCATAGATTCAATAACATTTATTCAGCACCTATTATGGGCTGGGCACTTGCTGGGTGCCAGGGATACAAAGATGAGTAAGTCCTGTCCCATCACCGGCATGAAGCCAGTTCCAGTTGAGACACGTTGATTGATTCATTAGGATACAGTGTAATTCCTTCTTCCATCAAGTATTTTTTGAAAGCCTGACTTCTTGCTTGGGACCTCATATAATCCTCACAATGATTCTTTGAGATAAATTTTGTGATTGTCTTTATTGTATGGATTAGCAAACCAAGGTTCAGAGAATAAAATTTTGAGTGAATATTTTAGGCCTTCTAACTAATAAGTGATAGATGAGGATTCAAACTCAGGACTTCTGGTTTAAGTTTAGTGTGCTCTGTCTCTTTCATGCCACCCAGAGATAAGCTCTAAATAAGGACACAGAGGAAGGAATAGATTCTTCTTGGGGCTAAAGGAGGGGAATGCAGCAATATCTCAGGACTTCGAAAAAGTGCTACATACAATTACTATTATTGCTATCATAATTTAAACTCTTACTGCTTTTAATTAATGAAGATAAAAGTTGTGTGTCATCCATAAGACATCTTGCAAAGCCCTAACTTCTCCCTGAGATGGAAAGTTCCCTTGTTATGGGCATTACTCACAGCTGGTCCCTCTGGCCTATGTGCTGATGACATCAATGCTCAAGGCCATAGTGTGAGCGGTTTTCTCCAGGTGGGTTTTTGGAAAATCTGTGCATAATGACCTGCTAAACAATGACTCTCCAAAAATAGTGATTCATGAATGTGGCCATTTAAGAATCAGAGTCCTAGCTTGGCACGGTGGCTCACACCTGTAATCTCAGCATTTTGGGAGGCCAAGGCAAGAGGATGACCAGGAGTTCAAGACCAGCCTGGGCAATAAAGAGAGACTCCTTCTCTACCAAAAAAATACAAAAATTAGCTGGGTATGGTAGTGTGTTCCTGTAGTCCCAGCTACTTGGGAGACTGAGGTAGTAAGCTATGGAGTTTGAGCCCAGGAGTTTGAGGCTGCAGTGAGCTATGATTGTGTCACTGCACTGTAGCTCAGGCGGCAGAGTGAGTTTCTGTCTCTAAAAAAAAAAAAAAAGAGAGAATCAGTCCAGGCATGGTGGCTCATGCCTGTAATCTCAGCGCTTTGGGAGGCCAAGGCAGGAGGATCGCCTGAGTCCAGGAGTTTGAGACCAGCCTGGGCAATATAGCCAGTGTGGTGATGTTGCCTCTAGTCCCAGCTACTCAGGAGGCTGAGGTGGAAGGATGGCTTCAGCCCAGGAAGTCAAGGCTGCAGTGAACCCTGATGGAGCCACTGCACTCCAGCCCAGGTGACAGAGTGAGACCCTGTGTCAAAAAAAAAAAAAAAAAAGGCTGGTTCTGGTGGCTCACGCCTGTAATCCCAGCACTTCTGGAGGCCAAGGTGGGTGGATCACCTGGGGTCAGGAGTTCAAGACCAGCCTGGCCAACATGGTGAAACCCCATCTCTACTAAAAATACAAAAATTAGCTGGGCATGGTGGTGGGCATCTGTAATCTCAGCTACTTGGGAGGCTGAGGCAGGAGAATCACTTGAACCTGGGGGATGGAGGTCGTGCCACTGCACTCCAGCCTGGGTGACAGAGCGAGACTCCATCTCAAAAAAACAAACAAGCAAACAAACAAACAAAAAGCAAAACAAAAAAGAGAGAGAATCAGAGTCCCATCTGGACATAGAGGAATCCACTTACTCCACCTCTCCGGCTTGAAGGGAAAAGCTAAGCGTGGGAGTTTGCAGAATGACAATAAAGGGCGCAGCACAACTTGGAGCTACACGCAAAAGTGAGCATGATGTCACTGTCTCCTCCTTGAAACATTTCTTCTGTTTCCATGAGTGTGAAGGTATTGGGAAATATTTAAGATAAGTGCTGTTGTCTGGGGCTCCAGGACCTCTGGGGCTCCGGGACGTCTGTGCCTCCCGACAGAGATGAAGGCATGGAGGCCAACCCCGGCATGTGCCCATCGCAGGGTGGCTTCCTAGTTTTGTTTGTTCATTTCACCCCCACTTACTTCCCAGTCCTTCTTCCTTTCCAGGCTTCTCATGAAAAACACAGCCATCCCTAAGGACCCCAGAGGCCCTGCACCTTGGCTGTGCATCTGCCCCTGAAAAAATTCTGCAGCCACAGAAACAAATGCAATTTTCTTGTCTCAGGTCACCTTCAGTTAAGCTTGAATCAGCCAGCCCAAGTGACCGGCTATGACATTCATTTCCCTCTTAGATCTCTGCTCCTCCTAAACAATAAAGCTTCAAGGTGCCAACAAGGAAGACTGAATTTTATTCTGTCAGATTGAGTGGTAGCCAACTGATGACCTCACTCAATTTCAGGCTTCCCAGTTATCAAACAGGACTTGCATAAGCACCGATGATCTGAAATTAAGTTTACTGGAGAAGGAGTACAAAGAGCTACTAAGTACCGTGAAGCTCTTGTTAGTTATTGAGTAGTAATAGGAATCAGTAGAATCCCCATTCATTTGTATCTCTTCTCGTAATAAGCATCAATTGAGCACCCACTGCATGCAGGGCCCTCTGCTTGTCACCCATGGGGGTACACAGACACAATCTCTACCCTTCCAGAATTTAGCACCTTAAAACCAGCCAAGTGGAGTGCTGGAAACGAGGGGCAAAAGGTGTCCTCAGTGGTGCGCTAAGTTGGTTCTGAGCAATGTGTCACAGTGCAAACCAAAAATAAAATTCTAAAGCCCACTAACCATCTGAATGGATCCCTCCTTTCAGCCAATGGCATTTGAAAGTTCACCTGAAAAAACTAGTTCAGGCCATGATGGAAGGGGGCGTTGGACATGCCTCATGATCCCCTCCTGTCTTTGGAATTCAGGAAAAGCTGACCAACATTAACATTAACACAGACCTTAAGTCTGATAAGAAACATTTACAATCTATTCTCTCTGAAGCCTACTACCCAGAGGCTTCATCCGCATGATAAAAACTTGGTGTCTACAACCCCTTTTCGTAACCCAAACATTCCTTTCTGTTGATAATAACTTTTTCAACCAATTGCCAAACAGAACATTTTAAAATCTATCTATGACCTGGAAGCTGCCCCATCTTTAAGTTGTCCCGCCCTTCCAGATGGAACCAATACACATCTTAGACATATTGATTAATGTCTCGTGTCTCCATCAAATGTATAAAAGCAAGCTATGCCCCGACCTTGTTGGGCACATGTCACCAGGACCCCCTGAGGTGTGTCATGGGTGCATCCTTAACCTTGGCAAGATAAGCTTTCTAAATTGACTGAGTCCTGTCTCAGATGCTTCTGGGTTCATAACGGATACCCCATACCTACATTTTGAATAAACAAGCAAGACTGATGATGGCTGGGTGTGGCGGCTCAAGTCTGTAATCCAAGCACTTTGGGAGGCTGAGGTAGGTGGATCACTTGAGGCCAGGAGTTTGAGACTGGCCTGGTCAACATGGCGAAACCCTATGGCGAAACCCTATCTCTACAAAAAAAAAAAAAAAAAAAAAATGAGCTGAGCATGGTGGCGCAT